>NC_000008.11:40163132-40466163 GCF_000001405.40 Homo sapiens
AGTAACAATCTGAATATCTGGTTTTTAACTTTTCATTGTTAATGATCACATGATCGCGCTGAGTAGACATAAGCCAGTGTTGTCATTTCATTCTACATATATTTGGAAGATGAAGATACCTACATCCTCACCTTGTTTACAGGATCAAAGAGGCCTGGGATTCTTCAATGATTATCTAGCCTGGCATGTGGACTCTCTGTCATCCTTGAGGGACGTCAAGACCAGGATTCTGTATATATTGGATAGATTTCATATGTATTTCAGTTACTATTCCTTTATACCTTTAAAAAAATTTAAATTGATATAAGAAAGTGATTAAATTTTTCTCTTTCAATTTTAGGGGCTCATTTTTGCTGTTAGAGAGGTTTGTAAAAATTCAACACAAATAAGACAGAGCTGGTTACTTGGGCAGGACAAGTGCATGCCAGAGGCATAACCACTTAAAACTCTGCTCTTCAGCTAAGAAACACCAGAAATTCAATACTCTAGGCACCATGGTTGAGAGATGGGAAGACTTACTTATGCCAACTAAACTCTCAGCCTGCAATATGAACAAGGACCAGGCTTGGTGGCTCACACTTGTAACCTCAATACTTTGGGAGGCCAAAGTGGGAGGATTTCTTGAGCCTAGGAGTTTAAGGCCATCCCGGGTAACATAGCAAGACTTCATCTCTACAAAAAATTTTATAATTAGCTGAGTGTGGTGCCATGTGCCTGTGGTCCCAGCTACTTGGGGGCCTGGCTGAGGTGGGAGGATTGCTTGAGCCCAGGAATTTGAGGCTGCAGTGAGCCAGGACCATGCCACTGCACTCCAGCCTGGGTGACAGAGTGAGACCCTGTCTCAAAACATAATTAATACATAAATAAATTAATAAACAGATAATGTAGGACCATTAATTTATTCATCCATGGGAAAAATTTAAGTGCCAAGGAGGAGGAAAAATTATAAGTGAAAGCAAAGCAAGATCAAGAGTCTTGAAGGCAATTTCTCCCTGGTTTTGGCAAGGTTTGAAGGATTAGCTTCACAGCAGAGACCTCTTAGCTACTGACCACTACAACATTTACCTTTTGCTGCATAACAAGCTGCCCCAGTGCTTAGCAACTTAAAATGACAAGCATTCAATTTAACTCATGATTCTGTGGGTCAGCTTGGGTTCTTCTGGCCTGGGCCAACTCAGCTCTTGTCTGCTGAGCTCTCTCAGGCATCCGTGGTCAGTTGGTAGCTGGGTGATATAGGATGACTTCACTCACCTGTCCGATTGGCAGGTCGTTGGCCACGGCATCTTGACTCTCTTCCACCATTTTTTGCAATCTGCCATATTAGCACTTAGGGGCTTTCATCATAACAGTGCTGGATAAGTATTTGTCAAATTCTATCTTTCTCTTTGCTCTGTTTGTAGACACCATGCTCACCATCTTCTTTCTTTGTGACATTATCTTTTCTGGAAGAGGGTGCACTATAAATGACCACATTTTACCTTATTCATCAGAGTCACCCTCCAGGCCTTCTTCCCTGAACCGAGATTCAGATTAGTTCATGAAACTCAGTCACTCATTTAGAAATATATTTTTATTGACTCCCATGGCTAACAAATTTGATTCACCAAACTCAGTCACTCATTCAGAAATACTGTTTACTCACTCCCATCACTAACTAATTTTTTCTATAATGTGTGAATGTTACCAATGTAATATTCAGAGGATATTCACTGTGGTTTTTCTGTAATTTCTTGATGGTGCAGAGATGGCAGAGACATCTCTCTTATCCTCAGGTACCCATGGCAGTGCCAAAGCAGTTGAAGGGCATGAGCAGATTTCTGAAAAATCATAACTGCCGTAAACCACCCTTTCTTAGTGCCAGCTTCCTTATGAAATATATAGATGCATACCACTGAATATCTGAGCTTGTTCCTCTCGTTAACCTCACTTTGTGGAAAGGTTTTTAAATCAACTGCTAAAAATGCCTGTTCTTTTCTCTGGACAGTGGACATGGAGAGACATGAGCTGAGGGAGACAGACTGACTCAGGGAAAAGAATTAATGGAAGCACATGGCTCCCGCGGGCAGGAAATGCTTTGATAGACCTTTTCCTCTTTTTGTTACCAGGAGGACCTTGACAATAGACTCCACCTTGGAGCAGCTGCTCTGTCCCCCGTAGGATGATCACAGCACATTTTCCTTGTCAGACTTGGAGTCTGCACCAGGGAGTGCTCAGGAAGGGACCAGTACAATGTTGGGGATCTGCCCTTGAGCCTCCAAGCTGTGCGATGGGTGGAGACGTCACCCCAATACACTCACAAATCCTTTTGGCACACGCTTCAGGAAGACCATCTGCTTTCGTTGTTCCTCTGACCTTTTGTTAGCACCCACCCTAAATTGGAAATAAATTGCCAGAAGAAATCTGAAGCCTAAAGCAGTTTTAGACCCTGTTGTCAAAGCAAGTCAAATTAGTAAGTGTTGGTTTAGCACCTAACATGTATCCCAAATTGTGCTAGATGTTGGCAGTGGAAGGAATATTTTTTCAATGTCTAAATAGCTTCAGGACTATATAGGATCTTGAATAATTTAATTTAATCTTTTCAAAATTTCTACAAGGCAAGTATTACTATATGCATCTGATAGATCAGGAAACTGAAGCTCTGGAGGTTCACCAACTTTTCTGGTGCCAGTCTAACTTCGTAAGATAGGAGAGTATAAAGTCAGACTTCTATCTCGATTTCATATATGATTTTATGTCAGCTCTGATGTATTCTCAAGTCTGACGCTTAACTGCTTTTTTTCCCGTAGTCTTATATACCATGTCTAATAGGCTCTATGAAACATTGGCAAAGAAGAGACCTGGTTCTAGCCCCATTCTGATAGGTGACATGGGATAAGGCACTGAAAATTCTGGGTTTCATCTTCTTCTGGAACATAAGAGACTAAATGAGATGACAGACCTTCTAATTCCTAAATTTATAACTATGTTACAAAATGTGGTATGGGCTCCACATTCATTAAGATGGCAAGTAAAAAAAATGGAAAAGAAGTATTGAAGAGAAGGTGGAGAAATTAGATCCATTGTGCACTGCTGGCAAGATTGTAAAATGGCACACCCATTGTGGAAAATAGTTCAGCAGCTCCTCAAAACATGAAGCGTAGAATTGTCACAGAAATCCTGTAATTCCACTTCTGGTAATATATAAAAAAAAATGAAATTAGGAACATGAGTAGATACACCTGTGTTCATAGCAGCATTATTTACAATAGTCTAAATGTGAGAACAACACCCATGTTCATCAACACATGAATGGATAAACAAAAAATGGTATATACATACAATGGAATATGATCCATCCTTAAAAAGGAAGAGAATTCTAACACAAACTACAACATGGGTCAACCTTGAAGACATTATTGCAAAGTGAAATAAGTCAATCATAAAAGAACAAATACTGTATGATTCCACTTATATGAGATACCTAGAGTAGCCAAATTCATAGAGGCTGGGCTCAGGAGAGGAGAAATTAGGGGTTAATGTTTAGTGGGTGCAGCATTTCAGTTTGGGAAAAGAAAAGAGCTCTGGAGTTAGATGATAGTTTCTCAGCATTTAAATGTACTTTATGCCCCTAAACTATTTACCTAAATGTAGTTGAAGTGGTAAATAAAGCTATAATTTAAAAAAGGAAGTTAAAAAAATGTGGTTTGAATTTCAGTAACAAAACACAATAATTCAAAAAAGAATTCACTTTTTTTTTAGAAATGTTCACATCATTCAATTTCCAAATTATTTAGTGACCTTTAAAATATTGCAGATTTACAGGCTTACAGGAGGACTAAGATTACACTCATCTGCATTATAAGCCACAGTGAAAAGGATGAGAAGTTATCCTGGCAAAAGATGGAGAAAGGAGCATTTTAAAGAGGGGAACTAGTTTAAAACAAGATTCTATTTTGGAAAAAGCATAACATGTTCGATAAAATTAGAGCAATTTTCTGGAGCAATGTTGCTTAAACTCAGAGAGCAGGAGAAAGAATAGCATGAGCTGGAAATGGAGATAGGCAGGGCCAAAGCACTTGAGGCTGGGTTAGAGTTTACATTGTGTTATAGGTAATGCTAATAGAGCCATTGTAGACTTTCAAGCTAGAGAATATCAATATTTTTATTCGTGCTTTTAAAAGGTCAAGCTGGCAGCATTTTGGGGAAGAACCAGAGGGTAGAGAGCATAACATGCTTTAGGCAGCTACTGTAGTTGTCTAGATTAGAGCATATGAAGAAGAGATGGAAAGTAGTTGAGTGTCAGAGGTAATTAGGGAGAAAGCATCACCAGAATTTGAAGATGCATTGGCTTCATCCTCTGCATTATGATTTCCCAATTAATCATTTCCCCCCGGGGTCATAGTCACCTTCACTGGGCATCTTCCACTAGAGTGCTGCAATAGCTGAAGGAGTTCACTGCCTTCTGCTCTTACCCTTCAGTGGGTCTTTTATATTACAGCTAGATTTAGCTTTCTAAAATGCCACTCTACACACATAACTTCCCTGCTCAGCACTTTCAAAGTCTACCCATTGCCTACAGTATTAAGTCCAGCTTCCTTAGCTGGGCATTCAAGGCCCATTGTAACCTGGTCTCTCTAAATCTACCTAGCACATTGCTTTAACATGGACTGGCCAGCCACAGTGGCTCATGCCTGTAATCCCAGCACTTTCCCAAACTACCTCCCAGGCCGAGGTAGGTGGGTCACCTGAGCCCAGGAGTTCAAGGCCAGCATGGGCAACGTGGCAAAACCCTGTCTCTACAAAAATACAAAAATTAGCTGGGTGTGGTGGTGTGCACCTGTAGTCCCAGCTACTCGGGAGGCTAAGGTGGGAGGATCAAGATCGCTTGAGCCCGGGAGGTTGAGGCTGGAGTGAGCATGATTACGCCCTCACTGCAAAAGAGCAAGACCCTGTCGCAAAAGCACAAATTAAATAAATAAATAAATGTGGACTCAGTTAATAAAAAAAAAAGTTTCTTCAGCATCTATCAGAGGCCAGATTAACTAACTTGTTACAAAGCATTCCTGCTGCTTCATTTTCTTTTTCTGTCTTATTTATATTTGATTTTTAGAAATATATAGAATATACCATACATATAAAGGAGAAATATAAAATGCAGGTGCAGGTTAAAGACTA
Organism: Homo sapiens; assembly: GCF_000001405.40. Lineage (NCBI taxonomy): Eukaryota > Metazoa > Chordata > Mammalia > Primates > Hominidae > Homo > Homo sapiens. The sequence continues at coordinate 40,168,287 of NC_000008.11, forward strand.
CTGTAAAAAACACTACCTAGCTTAAGACTAGACGCTTTTTAATATATTTGAAGATCTGTGTGCTCTGATCCCTCTTCCCACACTCCCCTAAACATTATCTTGGATTTTATATTTATTCCCATTCTATCTTCCTGGAATGCCCTTGCCCTTCTTTTTTTTTTTTTTTTTTTTTTTTTTTTGAGACAGAGTTTCGCTCTTTTTGCCCAGGCTGGAGTGCAGTGGCGCGGTCTCGGCTCACTGCACCCTCTGCCTCCCAGGTTCAACCCATTCTCCTGCCTCAGCCTCCAGAGTAACTGGGACTACAGGCGCATGCCACCACACCTGGCTAATTTTTGTATTTTTAATAGAGACGGGGTTTCATCATGTTGGCCAAGATGTTCTGGATCTCCTGACCTTGTGATCCACCTGCCTTGGCCTCCCAAAGTGCTGGGATTACAGGCGTAAGCCACCGCTCCCAGCTGCCGTTGCCCTTCTTGTTGCTTTAATACCATTCTTCCTCTGACCTGGCCCAGAATTTAGAAAGATTTTTCTGAAGATTTTAGCTCTTACTAAGTACAGCTAGTGTTGTCTCCATCACCCATGGGCACTGGCATCTTCTGTCATTAATGCTAGTAATCTTTTTATGTGTCAGTGGAAGCAGAAATCTCATTTTCTATTGAGAAGGTGCTTGGTATGCAGAGCTTGCTGCTGCTGATGGGATCAATACTCATGTGCTTTATTCAGAGTGGTCAGATGGTCTGAGGGACCAGGGTGCTGAGAGGTGGTGGCAGGGAGACATTCTCAGGAACCAGACGGGGAAGGTAGAAAGTGCCTGGCATGCCATGAATAGTTGTTGAACTAGTGAATTAATGAATGATTGACAACTCTTTCTGGTCTACAATACTGAACTATAAGCAACGTGAGGATGGGCTACTGTGTGACTCAGTGATTCATAGTCACAACTCAGTTCAGTTGAGTTATTTCTTGAGTACCAGGTTCAAGAGATGCAACGACAAATAGGTCTGTTTTAAAATATCAGCAGTGGGGTCAGGGGAAAGTGGGAGGAGGGAGGAAGGCAGACACATAGATCAATCATTGTAACAGGGCAGCAAGCACAACCAAAGAAAAATACGATCATCAATCAGAGGAGGAAGCGGTTAATGTTTCCAGGAGAAAGTATTGATTGCCTAGAGTTTACTCCCACCCAGTCTGAAGAATCCTACTTGGATTCCACTGCAGCATTTTCTCCCTCTGATTCTCCAGCCTCCTCCTTGCACCCTGCCTGGGATTCTGTGCTCCAACCACATTGGCCCAGGTTACCATCTTCCAACAGGCCCCGACTTTTCATCCTCTGTGTTCTACCCAGTGCGTCTCAAATTTTAAAGCATCTACAAACCACCTGGGGATCTTGCTAAAATGCAAATTCTGACTTGGTCTGGGAAGTGTGCCCTGAGGCCTGAGGATCTGCATTTCCAACAAGCTCCCAGGTGATGCCAAAGCTGCTGCTCTGCAAACCAAAGCTTAGAACTGCAAGGCTACTCTCTCCGCCATGAAATACTGTTCTCTTCCCACACTCTTACTCAAATCCTCTACATTTCTATGAGCTAAGTCAAATGTCTTCCCTGTGATGACATCTCCTCAGTTTCAGGATGGGGCATCAGTGCCGTTTTTCTCTCCACTGCCTGGCAAATCTTTCTCTCCAAGTCTTTTTCCTCAATGAACTGAAGGCTCCTTGAGGGAAGGACTTGGTCACGTTCATCCAAACCCCTGGATGGTGTCTGTTATAGAGTTGGGCCTTAAATACTTGCTCCATTGAATTTGAATTGAACTTAAAATATTATGGCAGTCCTGGTAAAGTGGCTTGCACCTGCAATCCCAGCATTTTGGAAGTCTAAGGTGGGTGGATCACCTGAGGTCAGGAGTTCAAGACCAGCCTGGCCAACATGGCAAAACCCTGTCTCTACTAAAAATACAAAAATTAACTGGGCATGGTGGCAGACGCCTGTAATCCAAGTTACTCAGGAAGCTGAGGCAGGAGAATCACTTGAACCCAAGAGGTGGAGGTTGCAGTGAGCCGAGATCGTGCCATTGCACTCTAGCCTGGGCAACAAGAGTGAAACTCCATCTCAAAAAAAAAAAAAAACCATATATATATATATATATATATATATATATATATATATATATATAGCATATGGATTAAATGTGTATTTGTGTGGTTATATAAGTGTGTTTGTGCATGTGTCCTATTCAATGTACTATGTACTATACAATATACTATACATATAATGTATATATACAATGTACTATATAATGACTAGATCAGAATACATAGACAAACCAGGTCATTTTAGCATTGTGTCACCAAGAATTATAATAAAATATAAATTAACATAGATGATAATGATCAGGGTGGCAGAAATAACCTCCAATATAAATTTGATGAAGGCAAAACACTTTTTTTCTAGTAGGTCACTGGGTCCCCCTGAGTCTAGGCCCGTGTCATGTATGTTGTAATAATCAGTAAATATTTGTGGAATTCTAAATGAATAAAGGGAGAAGGTACTGAACTTTAGTTCTATGAATAAACACAATTGTAACCCCTGGAAAAGGAAGTGGTTAAAGCTATGTTAAGATCTAAGACAAAAACAGAAATAAACAATAATAAAGACAAGCCAAAAAAAATCTGAAAATCTTCCCCTATAGTGAATGCACATTACATTTTTTTTCACTAAGAATATCTTCTTACATGGCAGCAAAACTAAATTGAAGACATTTTTCCATGTGAATTGTTTTTTCCTAAAATATCAAATTGTTGTAGATCAACAAAAACTTTGTTTTTCTTACTATTGAATATCAAAAAAGACCCAGTTAATTGCAAACATAAACGCTTTTTCCTTGCCTCTCCTTCAGTTTTGCTGATGAGGGAGATTTTGCAGCTTTACTTGGTACCAAAATAGCTCTGTTTTGCAGACCATTATCATCTTCAAAGGGCGGGGCAATTATAATGAACTAGAACACAGGAAGTTTACCATTTCTCAGTATTAAAATAGAATTCCTTATTACACAGATGCTTCTCCCAAAAAGGAAAAGCAACTAGAATTTTTACTTTCTTCAATCTGTTGATATTACTGTGCTGTATTAATATAGTAAGGCATTCGTGTCATTAATACTTGGGAAATGCTGCTTCATTCTCTATTTTTATTTGAATGATGTTTCAAAAAATAATTCAAAAACGTTTATTGCCTAAGAAACATTTTAGTCAGCACTGCTTAGCTGAAGCCAGCACTAAAAACACAACCTTTTTAGAACTCCACTTTTTTTATGTAAAGCATTAAGTGGTAACCTAGTAGCAGGATTTGGAATCAAGAATAACATTTGCCGAGTGGCTACTGTAAGACTGATTCAGTATAAACACAATCTCACTTGATTCTCATAATAATCTTTGCAGGTATCTATCATCATTCCCATTCTGCAATGAGGAAATGCTGTCAGAGTGATTAAGTAATTTGCCCATGGTCTCACATAGTAAGTACTGCAGGTGAAACTCTGACTTCTCTTCTCGTTGCCAAAGCCTACAAACATCCTTCTCTATCAAGAGGCCCTTATAAAGCTACCATCTATTTTATTAAAATGTCATGTCTGTGTAAGAAGCTTAACACACAAGGCTGTCTGTATCTTAGATAACAGAATCTCATTTTGCTCATTTCTTCTATAAACGTTTCCTGGGTTTTTCCTACGTACTTGGTAATGTGCTGAGTGCTAAAACCAGAGATAAAATACAGTAGAATCAGGAGAGACAGCCAATTCAAAGACAAATGTAATTTCAAATTGCCAATGTTTCACTGCTTTTGAGTTACAAAAATGCCAACTTTATATGATTTATACTAAAATATGTTATCCAATAAAGAGAATGGCACATTTTGTTCCAATTATTCCAACTCAATATTTTAGAAAAGTAAACAGATTTCTGTGTGATTTCCCAGCATTTTGATTATACTGGCTATGTATATAAATGTTTCTTTTGGTTTATAGGAAGCCTGTCTTCTCCAGGGAACACAGCACTCAGAATCGTCTCGGCCCCTGCATAAGCCTGCATGAGCCTGGGCTCTGGGGACCCATCCTGGTGCATCATTCGTTGGCTCTGTGACAATGGGCACATCGTTTAACCTCTCTTGGCTTCATTCTCCTTACTGGAATGATGGAGAGAGTTTTGCCTATTTCAGAGGCTTGCTCTTCTATACGTGAGCCTATAAGTAACTTGTCTTAAGAATTTCCACTCCTTCTGTACTCTGATTTAAATTTGAAGGCATCAAAACAAAAACAATCAAGATTTCAGATTCCAAATACTTTCATTTTCATTTTTTATTTTGATTAGAATTTCTTCTGAATGAATTTCTGTTTTGTAATTTTAGCATTGCCCTGAGGGGGGGAAAAGGCAGTTTATCACCATGCAGTATATTTTTCAGACAGCCTCTCTTTGACAAACTGATTTTTGTCAGTCTCAACTGACTCACCAATTCCAAATCCCAGGGCTTCCCTGGGAAACTTCCTTGGATCATGGCTCTGCCACACAGGACCGACATCCCAGAGGCCAAAGCAACCTGCTATAAACTGAGATCATTGCTCAGCAAGCTGGTACCACATGCAAGGAGTCTCAAGAGCTAACAGGAAATGATTCAAGACCAGAATTACCCAGAACAAGTGTGTTAGCTTCCTCTGCGCATGGGATAATAAGGAGCTTGCATCACCAACCTTCCGTGAATAGCCTACTCAGTGATTCAACAGGTTTCAAAATTGTGAAATAAGGGATGTCTCTTGCATGGTGTACTTTAGAAGTCTCTACCTGAGGATGAAGGAAGTACCCAGGAGTAGGCATCATTCCACTTTTGTACCATCTTCCACTATGTTTATATGGGTCCTCACTGAGAAAAAGGTATTAAAAGTGAGATGGAAAGAATAGGTCAGCTAGGTGAAAAATGGGAGGAAGAGACAGAAGGATCTGGGTTACAAAAGGCTGAGACCAGGCCGGGCACGGTGGTTCACTCCTGTAATCCCAGCACTTTGGGAGGCCGAAGCAGGTGGATCACGAGGCCAGGAGATCGAGACCATCCTGGCTAACACGGTGAAACCCTATCTCTACTAAAAATACAAAAAATTAAAATTAACCGGGCGTAGTGGCAGGCACCTGTAGTCCCAGCTACTCAGGAGGCTGAGGCAAGAGAATCGCTTGAACCTGGGAGGCAGAGGTTGCAGTGAGCTGAGACTGCACCACTGCACTGCACTCTAACCTGGGCAACAGAGTGAGACTCTGTCTCAAAAAAAAAAAAAAATGCTGAGACCAAAGTAGCCTGGTGGCTTTGGGAATGGAAGTCAAACCTGGTGCGTGGGGTGGAGTTCCTGTAGTTTTTATTATACTCTCAGAGTAAGGCAAGGTCAGTGAAGCATTTTGAAGGGAAAGATGGCAAAGTGGGTCCATATTTTTAAAAGCTCATTTGAATTGCCATGTGGCAATTCAAATAGGATAGGATAAAGAATAAAAGCAGAAATGGAGAGAATAAGAGAAATGTGGCCGGGTGCAGTGTCTCACACTTGTAATCCCAGCACTTTGGGAAGCCCAGAGAGCAGCATCTCTTGAGTCCAAGAGTACAAGACCAGCCTGAGCAACATTTCAAGACCCTGTCTATACAAAAATTACAAAAATTATCCTGTGGTTGTGCACCTGTAGTCCCAGCTACCCAGAAGGATGACGTGGGAGGATCACTTGGGCCTGGGAGATCGAGGCTGCAGTGAACCAAGATCATGCCACTGTACTCCAGCCTGGGTGAGAGTGAGACCCTGTCTCAAAAAAGAGAGAGAAATGTGGTCTCAACAAGCATTAAGGGGATGGTGGGAAAGGATGAAATTAATGGAAGGAGTAGAGGGAAGTGCAAAGGATGAAATTAATGGAAGGAGTAGAGGGCAGTGCAAATGGGCAAAGAATCTGTCTGAGGGTGAGGCTGTGCACAAAGTCCTTGGGATATAGCAAAACAGGTCAGTGAGGCATGAAATCAGAGAGGCAGGCTTTATACAGACTTGTGGTAGTTGCAGGACGAGGGTTGGGGGGAAGTGGTTTGCAGACTGCTGTGAACTACAGACATTTTTTAAGGATATCAAGAAGAGCCCCCTCATTTTCTTCCTTACCCCCGCTGCCCCACTCCTGATTCATGGGCAGGTGAACCTAGCCCATGAAGCAATGCTGACCCAACCATCAAAACATGACACCAGCTTGCTGCCCAATCCTCTGTGGACCAAACTGCAGTCAGTCACCATGTACAATACAATCAAGCAGTAACACTCTGAGGTTCTCGAACGCCCCTTTACAGAGGGAACTTGGCAGGGAGTAGCCATGTGTGAACAACAGGGACTCCCCATTGTTCTGCACTGATGATTGAATAGACTTCCTTGGTGGCCCATGGAGACAGCTGTTTTTACTGAGGAACATTTTGCCCTTTGAATGTGATTAGTAAGACAGAGATGACTCTATTCTTTAAAGGTCTCCAATGACCAAATTTGGCCTCTGAGAACTGGACCGAAACATTTTGTGTGAGTCACGTCTGTTTGCCTCATTTTCTGTCACTAGTTGTTATGGAAACTACATAGCACAGCCTGAGGGTTCAGAATTCCTGAAGTTGGCCTCAAACTTATGCATAGTTTGTACAGCAAACAAGTTTGCTTACTTTGTTAATCTTTAGCTACTTCCCATCCTGCTCAGATTGGAAGCGGAAGAGGTCAATACTGCCTAGCGTCCACTCTGGTCTTTTCACATGAATCAAAATAATAGACTTGACCTTGTGTCCTGCCCTGAGGATGGTACAGATATTTAAAAGAATTCCAAATCACTTCCTGGGTTATCTGATTGTAGGATCAAAGTGGCCCCCTTGCTAACATAAAAATGATACACATGTGAAAAGAATTTAAGACTTCTTCATGCTGTCTTTTTTGGGTTCATCCCAATCTTTTGGCAAAATCTCCAGCCAGATCTTAATGGCCACTGGGTTTACTCTGGGAAATATGCACTTTAGAGAGATGTTTGACATATTTTTGTTACTTGAACTTCTTTGAGATATCTATAGATCTTTGAAACTCAGACACAAGAAAGTTTTATGTCCATGGTGCCTCCCGATTATTCAAAGAAAGGTGATGAGTTTTATGGCTTCTTCAGAAAGGAATCTAAATCAGACAGACCTGGAGTCATAGTCTGGTTCTACCATTTAATAATTGCTTGACTGAGTAAGTAAATTACCTTTGTGAGCCTCTGTTATCCATCTACAAGACAATGCTATTAACAACTATCCCATGGGTTGTTATGAAGACTAAGCAAATTTAACATGCAAATTGCCTAGAACAGGTTTTTATACATAGTAGGCACTTAGCAAATGTTAATTTCCTTTCCTTTTCCATTGCACTACCTGCTTTGTGGCCATGTTGTTGACCAATAGCACTTCCAGTTGCAGATGAGCAGGAATAGACAAAGAATGTGGAATTTTTATAAAGTTCCAATTAAGAGAGCCTGAAAGCCATCCAGGTGTTCCTTCTAAACTTAGATGTGTGATTTAACATGAGGAAGCCATGTAACTTTTGTGCTGTGACCATAAACTGAGAAGGCTGGAGCATGTAATCCTGAAGCCAGGCATTTTAACTGATGTAACGGAAGCAATGTGTATTTTTACTATTAACTAAAAAGTGACTGGGGCAGGTCTCAATCCATAGAGAGGTATTTTGCCAAGGTTAAAGACATGCCTGGGGAAATTTTAAGTCCCAAGAGTATCTGTGACTTGTGTTTTTTTCCAAAAGGTGGTAAACCAAAAATAAAATTCTAAGCTCCACAGCCATCAGAATGAACCCCTCCTCTCAGCCAAGGGCATTCCAAAGTTAACCTGAAAAACTGGTTCAGGCCGTGATGTTCCTATCATGGGAGTCAGACATGCCTCATTATACCTTCCTCCCTTTTGGAATTCAGGCACAGCTGACTAGCATTAACATCAACACAGAGACCTTAGAACTGGTAAAACAGACTCTTTACGTCTGATAAGAAACATTTACAATCTGTTCTTTCTGAAGCCTCCTACCCGGAGGCTTCATCTGCATGGTAAAACCTTGCTCTCCACAACCCATTATCATAGCCCAGACATTTCTTTCTATTGATTCCAGATCTTTAGATAATAATACAACCAATCAGAAAATGTTTGAATCCACCTATGACTTGGAAGCCCCCACTTTCGGTTGTCTTGGCTTTCTGGACCAAACCAATGTACATCTTACATGTATTGATTGATGCCTTATGACTCCCTAAAATGTATAAAACCAAGCTGTAGCTGGCCACCTGGGGTACAGGTTGTCAGGATCTCCTGGGAATGTGTCAGAGGCCATTGGTAACTCATATTTAGCTCAGAATAAATCTCTTCAAATATTTTACAGTTTGACTCTTTTTGTCGACAGGGAGCTTTTGGAACGTCAGTAATAAAGGAAAAAAGCAAGCAGGAAGGGAAAAAAGAGAGGGAGGATAGGCAGTGAGGCAGATGGTGACATTCTTGTGAGGCTCTGATTAGCTTCAGTAAATCTACATTTTACATAAGAAGAAGAGGGAGTAGGGGAAAAAGTCAATGACGCATTGTCCTGTGCTCAGTCAACTACATTTGACATAGCTAAAGTAACCGCATGAAAAGAGGGAGCAGAGGAAATGGGGCTATGGCACAGGGTTGTGAAATTACAGCTATTTGGGAACAAAAGGAAAACAGTGTCCGTTCCCAAGCTTAACTTTCTCTTGTCATAGTGTGTTTGGGGCCCCAAGATTCTATTTTCTTTCACACTACTAACCCCAATGAATATATGCTTTATCTTTTAGAAACTGCACAAAAGAAAGAAAAATGCAAGTTGGAGAAGAGACCAACATGGAGCTTGTGCTTGCTCTCATTAAGAACTCAATCTCTTGAAAAATCACATTCTAATATTTCTATGGGTGAGCACGGATTTCACATCAGCTCCCCATAGCCTTCTTGGGTCCATCAGTTCATCACTTCTAGAAGTTGGCCACCTGTGAAGCCACTTAGGGGAGGTCACTCATCACTGCTGGTGACAGTGGTGCTCTGTGTGTGAATACTCATGTTCATACCCATGGCAGGGGATTTTCTCTCCAGGTTAAACAGTGTTGCTGTGTTTCCCTCTCTCTTCCAGTCTCACACGTTCAGGAAAATTAATCCCCAAAGTCCTCATTCATTATTTAGCAAATATGTTCAAATAGGAGAGAATATCAGCTTAAGTTTAAGCTAAGGCCCTCTGCTAAGGAAATACAAAATATATATGTGAAAAGGAAATTCTAGTTGAAGAACAGTATGAAAACTCCCAAAATGGGCTGGAGAATTTGTGATTACAGTCTTGAGAGATCATTTAAAAATAGAATCAGATTAGCAAATGCGTTCAGTGCTAGGTAGGGGAGTTAGTCATAAATCTAACAGGCTCTATGTAGAGCCACTGAAGACAGACATAGTTAAAACTCAAGTTGATTTCTGTATATTATTTTTAATGACTTAGAATTCAATCCAAAATTTGCTTAGTGTTATTGTGTACCTTTATGCAAATAATGTACACTTTCTAAGCATCAGTTATTCTTCTGTGAAATTGGGATAATTTTACTTTTGTCAAGGGCTGCCCTGAGGAGTGAATCAGATGCTATACGTAAGCTCAGTGGGTACAAGGCCTAATAGTAGTGGCTTAATGCGTGTACTCTTCTTCTTTTTCCTTAATAGAAGAATAAGGTGAAATTAAAAACAAGGTTGATAATTACATGTATATTTTAATGATTCATCAATCAATAAATGATAACATTAACAATAATTTTACTGTCAGTACTTAGAAGTTAAAAGGAGAATGGTAAAATCAGTCTGTTGATCCTAAAAGTTTTATTTTTTCTTTCATCCTTTCATAAATTATATCTGAATCTAGATTACTGAAATGCAACAAATAAAAATATTTACAAAGCTATCTTCTCTTTTAGTGAATATAATGTTATTAGAAAATAACGGTTACTTCATTATTCAACATTCAATGTGTCTTCTGACTTTCTTACTCCAATTTATATAAAAAATTTTTAGAATTTTTAAATAACAATGTTATTGACATAAAATTCACATACCCTGCAATTTGCTGATTTAAAATGTAAATGAAATTATTTTTAGTATATGCACAGAGTGATACAGCCACCATCGCAATAAATTCAAGAACATTTTATCGCCTATCAAAAAACCCTCATCTCCCTATAGTCACTCAGCTTCCCTGCCTCACTTCCACAACTCTAGGCAACCACTAATCTAATTCCTGTTTCTATAGGTTTCTCTATTCTGGACTTTCACATATAAGGAATCATATAATATGTGGTCTTTTGTCTCTGGCTTCTTTTACTTAGCATCATGTTTTCAAGGTTCATCCATGCTGAAGCATGGGTCAGGACTTCATTCTTTGTATTGCCAAATAATATTCCATTGTATGGATGCACCACATTCTATTTACCCATTCAGGATTTAATGTACATTTGAGTTGGTTTCCAAATTTTGGCTATTGTGAATAATGCTGCTATAGAATTACAGAATTTTAGAAGGTGCCATATGGCTTATGTGGCCCGTTCCTCTCCATTTACAGATATGCTAATGAAGCATCACAAAAGTGGGGTGAATAGCCTATGTCTCAGTGCTTCTCAGTAGCAAAACATTAACTAGAACCCAGTTCTTGTAATTATTTTATAACTGCCATTCCCATCTCTACCAATAGTTTGCAAGGTTTTAGAGGGACGGCCTTGCACTAACAGTTAAAATGGATTAAGTAGCAGATATGAGCCAGTCTCTGTATCCCCAGCAATATACAGTGTAGTGGAATATACAACACGACTTGGTGATTGGGTCTGATTCTATTAATCTCTGAAAGACTTATCCTAGTGCAGAGCACGTAGTGAGCATATAATAGGAAATTGTGTAACTAGTATGTTGGAAGAGCTGAAGTCATGGGGTATAAGCATGCAAGCAACTTAATGTTTGATTTTTATTTTCCCTTTAAGCCATTCATTGTGGTAGTTTTTTTGAAATAATCCTAGATAAAAATTTGGATAGGCCCCAATAAATTAAAAGCCCTAGAATCACATTATGTCACAAAACAGCTTTAATTCAGTACTTAGAATAGTAAACCTATGTAAGAATGAAAGGTTTCATCTTCACTGAAGTAGAGTCTTCTCTCGTGCCTAAGGCTCACAGCCAGCCAGCAACATGCAAGGGCTGGGGAGATAAGGTACAAGAGGAGCTGGTGAGGCCTAATAAAATGGATGCTGTGACAAGATGGGCCTGTGTTCTCTAGACCTGGCCAGTTGTTACAACCTGTTTCTTTCATGGCTGCTTTTATGGGTTCTTTAGAGTTTATCTCCCCCGTCACTGGGTGGCTACAATTCTCTTGACACGAATGATTTACACCTTTCTGGTTTGTCACTTTATCCCTCCTTAGCTTCTAGGAATACAGCAACCCTTCAGCCAGATCACCCCTCCTGGTGGCCCTACTGGAAAGTTCTAGATATTCCTTTGTATGAATGGTCCACATCTGGTTCCCTGGAAATTCTCATGCACCCTTTGCCCTCCAAGGGCCAAATCCAGTGTAGCCTTGCTTCTACTCATCTTTCAGCAGCAGGGAAATATCCTTATTCCACCCTTCCTCTTTGTTAAACCAGTCAAGTCTGTCCCTCTTCCCACCCTGCTAAATACTTCAGACCACACATATTCTGTCCTCTGATCAGTTTCCTTCAAGTTCCTCTCTTGACTTGAGATGGTGAGAAATATGTCCTCCCACTTGGAGTGTTGATGTGTTTAGGGGAGGGGACAGAACTCACATCACAGCTCTCTCTCCAAGTAAATATTCCTGAACATTCTTTCTGAAGCTTTTGTACTTTAGATATAGAAGAGGAGTTCAGCAGTCAGGGAACTGCTTTTTATTAAAAACAAACAAACAAAACCTAAAACATTTGACACTTTGCATTTTGGTCTGTAGCCTTACTTTAGAATATCATATCTATTATATCTTGGTCTCTCAAATGTAATTTACAATTTAATGTCTGGTTATACTTTGAAATTGTCTAGAAGGCAGGGTATTACAATAAAAGGAACATTGACTTAGAGTGATACTAGCTATCATGTGTGGAACTCTATACCAGACACCATGCTAATTTATTTATTTATTTATTTATTTATTTAAGATAGTGTCTCACTCTGTCGCTGGGCTGGAGTGCAGTGGTGTGATCTCAGCTCACTGCAACCTCTGCCTCCTGGGTTCAAGCGATTCTCCTGCCTCAGCCTCCCAAGTAGCTGGGATTACAGGCACCTGCCACCCCTGGCTAATTTTTGTATTTTTTAGTAGAGACGGGGTTTCACCATGTTGGCCAGGCTGGTCTTGAACTCCTGGCCTCAAGTCATCTGCCCTCCTTGGCCTCTTAAAGTGCTGGGATTACATGCATGAGCCACCACACCTGGCCCAAATAATTTATTAACATTATCTCATTAATCTCTTTCAACAACTCAATGATAGAGCTATTTTGATCTTCATTCAATAAAGCAGGGACTTAAACCTTCAAAAGGTATCATCTAGAATGGTGTACTAAAGGTGTAGTTTATTTGGGTGCTTTCAACAGGAAGAAACAGAGCAATCGCACACCCTTAAATGGCTTCAACAACAGAAAGCAGCACTATTTTACATAGTAGTTAACCCAGAGATAGGGGCCATGCCAGTGCTAGTTAATCTGACGGCTCAAGGATGCGTCAAGCACCTGGGTTCTTTCAATCTTTTGGTTATGCATCCTTGGTATTTAAGCCTGTCCTAGGCTAGTTCCTTTTGCTATCACATGATGGTTGCCACATTTCTAGAAATCAGATCTAGATGAGACAATGCTTAGAATAATTGTTTCTCCCTTTTAGTAAAACTCTTCCTAAATCTCACCATGAGTGCCTGAACAAAATGGAATTCTGCAACAAGGAAGAAAAAGGAGGATATACTCTAGGTGTAGAGTTGACGACTGGTTACAGGGGTTTAAGTAACTGGACTTAAGTGGTTAAAGGAGTCTTACCTTCTCAGTTCCTTAGTTCCTTCACCTGTAAAATCAGAGTTTTGTGTCCTGGTGATTGTCTATTTGCTTTTTTATTACAGCAAAGCTGATGGTACTTTATGGTATCCTTTAAAAGAAGTAAATATTTAAGAGTATGACTTTTAGGTCATTAACAAGACTGGATCATTGTCTTGAAAGTAAAAACACCCACATTTCAATTATTGTTAGTTTTTTGTTCTTTCAGTGATAAATCACCATATAATGTTATGGAAGAGTTACTCAGGAGCTTCGAATACTTATCTCTAGAGGCAGCAGATGTTTGTTTGTTGTAGATGAAATAAATCTCCAAAGTAGACAGATTTATCTGTCAATCAATATGGGCATATAGAGAGTGAGGAGACAGTGGACCTAGGCAGGCTCACACTGGCTGACCATCACCCAGGTCAGTTGCCACACTCGTTCTGCAACTTTGAAAGGAACACACAAAGCACAGCCTCATGCACAGCCAGTGAACAACTGGGCTCAGATTATCTGCGGACGCTATAGTTTATTTATTTATGTATTTTCTCTTTTTTAGACAAGGGCTTTCCCTGTTGTCCAGGCTGGAATGCAGAGGTGTGATCCTAGCTCATTGCAGCCTCAACCTCCTGGACTCAAGTGATCCTCCCACCTCGGCCTCCCAAGTAGCTGGGACCACAGGGGTGTACCACCAAGCCCGGCTAAACTCATTATGTTGCCCAGGCTGGTCTCAAACTTCTGGCCTCAAGTGATCCTCCCACCTCGGCATCCCACAGTGCTAGAATCACAGATGTAAGCCACCACACTGGTCCAAGTGCAGTTTAGATTGTTGCTCATGCTGTTAGTCATTTCTGGTTTTGGTTAACTTTTATTTGTTTTAGACAGTGTCTTGCTCTGTCACCTGGACTGGAGTGCAGTGGTGTGATCTCAGCTCACTGCAACCTCTGCCTCCGGGGTACAAGCGATTCTCCTGCCTCAGCCTCCCAAGTAGCTGGGATTACAGGTACCTGCCACCACACATGGCTAATTTTGTATTTTTAGTAGAGACAGGGTTTTTACTATGTTGGCCAGGCTGGTCTTGAACTCCCCTGACCTCAAGTGATTGGCCTGTCTTGGCCTTCCAAAGTGCTGGAATTTACAGGCGTGAGCCACCATGCATGGCCTCAAATAGTATTTTCTAATAGTATTTTGCACCTTTAAAATATTTGTTCAAACTCTATTTTAGGCTAACCTTTGAGTACATAGAGATGTTTGCTCTATTGCAGATCTTGCTCTAAAGTTGATCTTTCTTCCAAGCTCCTGACTTTTATATGAAGCTGAAGATTCCCTAATTATACTTCCATAGCTCAGGAAAATAACTTTCAGACTTATCCAAAATCAAGCTCTTAATCCTAACTGGAAGTTTTCAATACCTGCTTAACACTCAGTTCTCAATTGTATTTTCTCAGAGAAGTTTCCCTCACTGTCCTGGTCTAAATGAACTCACTCTGTTGCATCCTCCTTCTCTCTCATGATGTTTATCACACCATGCAATTATATATTCATTTGTGTGCCTCCTTGCTCAGTGTTTCACACTTCACCAATCTGTGCATATCAGGAGGGTAGTGACCATGTCTCTTTTGTTCACAATTACATTACTTGGCACAGTATACAGTAGGTGTTCAATAAGTATTGTGGAATTCATGAAGGATACTGCACCATGTTTCAGAAGTTTGAAGATGCTAGTTTTATTATATCTGAAGAAACCCACCACCTTATGCAAAAAGAAATTACTGGGATGCTTTAATATCTAAAACATCTCTGCTGAAAGAGTCTTGTTTGTTGAATGGATTTAGAAAGAGATAAAACATTTGATAGTGAAGAAATGTTATAGTATACTGTCTTTAATTCCTGGATTAAAATTTGATATGTTAAGAGAAGTCCAGGGTAATAATAGACAAAAATTACTAGATAACTCAAACAAAATGTACTTGATATTCACTTATCATGAAATACAGGTTTGTGGACTAGATTTCTTGCTCATTAGGAATATTAAAGATCTTCAACTTCCCTTTTTTTGACAAATTAGCAAGTTTATGTCCAAATAGGTTACTTGGTTTGCTCTCTACCAATGTCACATTGTATAGGGGACACTAATCACTGGTCTTCTAATTCCTAGTCTGGTATTTATTTCATTTTGTAATTATTTTTTAAAAGTTATGAGGACCATAAACATATTATTTTGTGACATAATCTTAGCAAAAGGGCAAAGAAAGAAACTTTCAGGATCTTATTGTTAAGTAGTTGGAATTTTTAAGTAACTTATTTTACTAAAATTTCTCTAATTCATAGTAACACTTATTTCTTTATTTCTTCAGAAAAAAACGTTGTTGTGAACGTTGGTCATCCATAAAATAGAATATTATTTAGTGATAAAAGAAATGAACTATCAAGCCATAAAAAAAAGTTCAAGAAACTGAAGTGTATATTGCAAAGTAAGCGAACCCAATTGAAAAGGCTATATACTATATGATTCCAACTTTATGACATTCTGGAAAAGGCTAAACTATGGAGACAGTGAACAGATTAAAAAAAACAATGGTTACCAGGGTATGTAGGGGAGGGAGGGATGAATAGGTAAAACACAGAAGATATTTAGTATAGAGAAGCTATTCTATATAATGGTGGATACGTCATTATACATTTGTCAAAACCTGTAAAATTTACAACACTAAGAGTGTGAACCCTAAGGTAAACTATAGACTTTGGGTGATAATGATGTATCAATTTGGTTAATCAATCATAACAAGTGTACCACTCTGGTGGGGGATATTGATATTGGTGGAGGTTGTGCCTGTGGGGTCAGGAGGCATACAGGGACTCCATACTTCCCACTCAATTTTGCTTTGACCCTAAAACTGCTCTAAAAATAAAATCTATTTATTAAATGTGAATAAATAAATAGGTAGGTAAGTAGGTAGATAGATGATAGATAAATGTTGCTCATTCCTTTTATTTTCATTAGTGATGGTTCCCACTGTGCAAACAATTTGTGGAGTGCCCTGCTTTAGATAGCAATAGGCAGTGTGGCACGGCAAGGCATCAAGTCAAACCAGGGTCAGCACTTGGGTTCTGCAGGCTGCACATTGCCTGCCATGGTGAACGTGTCCCTCCAAAATTCCTATTTGAAATCCTAACTTTCAAGGTGATGGCATTAGGAGAGGAGATTAGGTCATGGGGGCTTTGTTTTCATGAATGAAATTAGTGAAAAGAGGCCTGAGGGAGCACCCTTGCCCTTTCCACCATGTGAGGACACAGCAAGAAGACGGCTGTCTGTGAACCAGGAAGCAAGTCCTCAGCAGACACTGAGTTTGCTGGCACCTTGTCTTTGGACTTCCCAACCTCCAGAAATATGAGAAACAAACTTCTCTTATGTATAAACTACTTCACTTATGGTACTTTGTTATGGCAATCCAAATGGATGAAGACTCTGCCCAGGCTTATGGGCACCATCCACATAGACTAGGATCTGATTCTCCTTTGAGTTGTAACATAGCAGCCCTCATTCGAGTCCATCCTCCCTTAGAAAATTGACTGTGACTTTGGTCAATAAATTTAAGCTTTTTGTATATTTGGCATTTCATTTCCTATAAAATTGAGATCATAACATATACTTCATAAAGTATACAAAAATAATATCCCAGAGGAATAATTTCTGCTGGGGGCAGAGACCTATTAAGTGTGGCCTGCTCTAAAGGTTGTTAGAAATGTTATTTATCCATTACGGCAAATCCTTCAGGTTTCCTCCTTAGGCTGGACTTTGGAATCTTCTTGGAAGATGAGGTTCTTCTTCAATTCTTCAATTAAAAAAAAGGCTAAGTTTGATGAACTACAACATCAGGAATAAAAACAGGAAACAATATTCCAAGTGTGATTCCATCTACCAACGTAGAAGTATGGACTACAGGCCAGAATTCAAGATCTCTAAGCCATGCTCCAATTATCCATATTTGTTACTTTTGATATTTTCTGTTGCTTTTCCTTTTAGGGTGTAGCAGTTAAAACTTTCACTCTAAAAGTGCTCAGTGCCTGCCTTAGGAGATACTGAGCACATCACAGCCCATCTTGGAAAAACAGACCTGTAAGGATTTGAATAGATGGCAGTAGCCTAAAAAGAAGGGAAGGGAAGCAGGCTAATGACCAGGAGGTGATTTCTGTAGCGTGGGAGGAAAAAAAAGTTATTGTTAGCCATCCTGGTTCCAAGGGGAAAAGGGGCCGCTGCTGCCTAAGTAAATTGCCTGACAGTGAGGCTCAAGAAAGAATTTCCTTTCCTAGGGAGACAGTATTATTGGATCTCTTAGGAATTGCTTTCTTTCTTCCTGATTGAATTATTCTTAAATACAAGGTGTATCTCCTTGTTTGAGTAATAATGCAAATGCTGTTTTATATAAACTGTCTTCCCTTGACTCATCAGAAAATAAAACAGAATCATGGTATCTATAATCCAGTGGCAAATATTTTAGAAAAAAACTAATCTAAATGGAAGGTAGCCTCACTGACTATTTAGAGCCTAATTCTTTTTTTTTTTTTTTAATTTTTTATTTTCTTGAGACCGAGTCTTGCTCTGTCACCAGGCTGGAGTGCAGTGGTGTGATCTCAGCTCACTGCAACCTCCACCTCCCGGGTTCAAGCGATTCTCCTGCCTCAGCCTCCCAAGTAGCTGGGACTACAGGCGCATGCCACCATGCCTGGCTAATTTTTGTATTTTTTAGTAGAGACGGGGTTTCATCATGTTGGCCAGGATGGTCTCAATCTCTTGACCTCATGATCTGCCCACCTCGGCCTCCCAAAGTGCTGGGATTATAGGCTTGAGCCACTGCGCCTGGCCTAAAGCCTAATTCTTTTAATACAATCAACTCACACTGGGCAAAGAGGTAAATCAGCAGAGCCAGAGAGCTGGCATCTATCCCAGTTGGTACAAATGCTCGGGATGTTCCCTATCTACCAGCTAAGGAAGTGCGGAAGACAGTTGCTCTTCTCAAACCAGTCTGAATGAACTCGCTGTATTTATTACGCACACACTTACATCTTAGGAGAGGTGATTATTTATTTAAAAAGAAACCCCGATGGGCTGAATTCTGCTAGGGCTGATGGAGGGCTTAAAAATATAAATCGATACAATTTCATTAAGGACCTCAAAGCAAGATTCATAAAAAGTATTTTGCCCACAGACAACCAAGAGTTAACTATACAGGAGACACCGTGTTGAGAAAGCCTCCAAGTTACTGCAAAAAAAGATTGAATGATATTGGCCACAGAGCACAGACGCCATTCAGTCCTTATTACTGGAAGAAATCTCAACTTCCTTTATGAAAGAAAAAGGAAAATTAAAATTTAGAGAATTTGAGAGTCTGATAAATCTGTATTGATTCTCAGAAAGCAGGCATGAATTTTAATATGAGCCTAACCATGACTCAGTATGAAGTCTATATTTTATTAATCCATAGACACTCATTGTCAATTAATATATTGTTAAGGGCGCATATCCAGTTAACAAAAACATTCCTTGAACTCTGCTAGGCACCACTGTGTTGAGAACCGGGGAAAATTATTGGTTAAAAAAAACTCCACCCTTCCTTGTAGAATACTTACCTATTTTGAAGAGACAGACTAAAAAAGTAAACAGACCAGAAACAATAAAGTAAATATACATTATGATCTATGAAGTTAATAAACAAGGAACTAATGTCCAGAATAGATGTCTAGGGAAGGCCTTTCTGATGGTTTGGCCTTTCTGAGATCAAAATGGTCAAAAGAAGATGAAATTTAAAGGAATTGTTTAGGTAAATAAAATAATAATCATAAAGATGAATGGTAATTTCTGCCATTCTAATAGCCTTGTCAAGAATGTCCTACAGAATAATAGTTCTTATACTTCAGCATGTGTCTGAATCGCTTCCTAGAGGGCTTATGAAAACACACATTCCCGGGCACCACCTTCAGGGGTTCTGATTTAGTTCGTGTTGGGTAGGGTCTACACATCTTTTGCTGTTGTTGCTGGCTATTTAAAGCACACTTTTTAGGCTCAATGCTGTTTGTTAACAAATGGCAGAGGTATAGGTTAACAAAAGTGAGGTATTTTAGGCCAGGTGCAGTGGCTCAAGCCTGTAATCCCAGCATTTTGGAGGCCAAGGTGGGTGGCTCACCTGAGGTCAGGAGTTCGAGACGAGTCTGGCCAACATGGTGAAACCCTGTCTCCACTAAAAAATACAAAAATTAGCTGGGCATGGTGGCAGGCACCTGTAGTCCCAGCTACTCAGGAGGCTGAGACAGGATAATCGCTTGGACCCAGGAGGCGGAGGTTGCAGTGACCCAAGATCATGCCATTGCACTCCAGCCTGGGTGACAAGAGTGAAACTCCATCTCAAAAAAAAAAAAAAAAAAAAAAGTGAAGTATTTTACACTTGTATTACTACAGCTTCCAAAGCATTTGCATGTACTTTATCTAATTTGATCTGTATAATTATCATGAGAAAGAAAGAGCAGATGACTTTATCTCTATATTATTCATTTAATAATTCATTCATTCATTCAATACATATGTTTTGAGATTTTATTAGGTGATCATCCCCATGCAAGGTGTGCTGGGGATGCAGTGCTGAGCAGAATGGACATGGAGCTTAGCACTCCAAAAAACAGGCATACATTAAGCCAAGAATCACACGCTATATACAGTAACTATAAAATGCACACAACAATCACATTATATAGATGAAAAGTGGCATAAAAATGCACAAAGAGAACATATAACTTGAAAATGTTTGAAACTTCCAAGGTTATTCAGTTATTCAGAGAAGAAAGCCATGGCAATCTCCAAGTCCCAACGCTATTTCCCCTCTACCACGACTGCCTCTTCAGATGTACAAGGTCGGAAAATGACAAAGTCAGGAAAAGGACAAGGCACTCAGATCAGGAAGTGCCACTGTCTAGGACTGAATCTAAGGAAGACCCACACCCTGTGGATGGGGCCCACTACGTGCAAGAGGTCTACCAAGAGAAAGTCATCATGTCGGGTAGCTGGCGACACTTTATCAGTGAGCTTATGATCTCCTCCCTCATCAGGAAGCACTCATCCAAAATGCCATCAAGAAAGGAAGGAAACTAGCATTTTTTGATGTTCTATCACATATTAGGCATCTTTTCTACTATATTTGTACTTATCATTCCCTGCTTGCAGATGAGTGCACTCAGGCTCATGGAGGTTAAATAACTTAGCCAAGATCACACATCTTGGCAGAACTTAGATGAAAATCCATCTCTGTCTGACAATAAAGTCAGTCTGGCCAGTAGCTCAGAGCCAAGTAGAGTCAGAGCTTTAAGGAAAAGAGGAGCTCCCAAGAGGCCATGGCTGTGAGGTTAACTCTTGTCTCTGGCACAAGCATTAGATGGAGACCAGTCTGAACATTTATTTCAGAATTTGCAGGTATATGGGACCAGAATTAGGGGATGTGCTTGAAATAGATGCTGAGATCCATGCCTAATAAATTCGATTCAGCAAGTCTGGGATGTAGCCTGATGTGTGCTTATGTATATACTGTATATGCATACACATACATATACATACATGCATATATGCACACACACACAATTTTAACTCGTTTCCCAGGTCATGTTAAAGCCCAGTTAGGTTCTGTTTTATTCATTTGGCCGTTTTCAAGCCTTAGTGTAGGTAGAATTGAAAAGCAGGTCAATATGGCTAGGACAAGAACAGAAATAGAAAATAAATACACATTTGAACATTTTCATGTGTAAATAAAATTATTATTATTTCATACCATACAACTCATTTGCTCAAAAATTCCTTGCTTGTCAAACTTAATGTTTCTAAGAATCTTGATACTGGGGAAGACTGCCCTAGCCAGCATATCTTAATTCTCTTATCATCCTGGCAGATCTGCCTCTGTAAATTGATTTTGTTATGAATTTTATTCCTGGGAACTTATCTCTTACAACCTTGTTACCCTTGGATTTATAAAGCTGAAGATCACATGCAGGACTGTGATCACCATCATACGAAACCAGGTGGATATATAGGATTCTTTAAAACCTCAGTGAGTCCTTCTTGTCCATACCAAAGCCATGAAATAAGACCAGGATGCCAAGTAAAAGCAAACTGTCAGAAAATATGTAAGACTTCTTGAAAATAAAATACGTGGTTGCAAAAACAGGAGACTCTTGTGGAAGAACCAGAGCGTAAAGCTGAGGAAATTCCCCAGAAAAAGAACAAAAAACCTGTCAGAAAAAAAACAAAGAAGTTCGAAAAATCACCTCAGGTTGTCTATTATTTAACTATTAAGAGTTCCATAAAGAGAATGGAGAAATTGAACAGGAGGAGATTTATTACAGAAATAATTCAAGAAAATTTTCTAGAATTGAAGAACATGAGTTTTTAAATTTAAATGATTCACCAAGTATCAAATACAATGAAATACAAAACAAACAAAATCAGCCACATTATTATAAAGCGTCACTTAGGATAAAGATTTTACAGGATTTCAGAAGAATAAAAAGAGGTTACAAACAAATACCATTAATCAGAAAAGTAATCTATTCCTTTTAAAGTTGGAAAATAGGGGCCGGGCATGGTGGCTCACACCTGTAATTCTAGCACTTTGGGAGGCCAAGGCAGGTGGATTACCTGAGGTCAGGAGATCGAGACCAGCCTGGCCAACGTGGTGAAACCCCATCTCTACTAAAAATACAAAAATTAGCCGGGCGTGGCACCACGCGCCTATAATCCCAGCTACTCGGGAGGCTGAGGCAGGAGAATAGCTTGAACTTGAGAGGTGGAGTTTGCAGTGAGCCGAGATCACGTCACTGCACTCCAGCCTGGGCAACAGAGCGAGACTCTGTCTCAAAAAAAAGAAAAAAAATTTGGAAAATACCACCTTCAACATTCTGCGGGCAATGATGTTCAATCTAGAATACTACATAGAGCCCAAGCTGTCTGTCAAGTATGATACAGAAAAAAGGCAGTCCTTGCTATCAAAAATGCATATTCCATGAACACTTTCTGTGGAAGTTACTGGGAAAAATGCTCCCAAAAAAGAGGAAATTAAAAAGAAAGAGGAGGACATGGGATTCACAAAATAGGAAATTCTAAATAGTGATAAAAGAGCATTTTGCCAGGCCATGATTTTAACTTTTTAATATAAATAGTCATCAGTTAGTAATATTTCAAATAACAAGTGTCATGAAAATGTTTAAAAATTTTAAAAAATCAATGAAGATGTTACTAATTTGGGGGAATAAGTGGTTTCTGGGAAAAAAACCAACACATTAGTCAAGAATGGAAATGTAACTGCAGGAGTCTCAGAGCTTGTTATTCATAAATAGTTTTAGATGATAATAATATATTCACTCACTAGAGATTTACCTGTCAATATGGTATTGGGAGAGCGGAACATAAGGCAGGGGAGTGGCATATAACTGCTAAACCTATGGCTTGCCGTGGCTCTTGCCTGTAATCCCAGCACTTTGGGAGGCCGAGGCGGGCGGATCACAAGGTCAAGAGTTTGAGACCAGCCTGACCAACATGATGAAACTCCGTCTCTACTAAAAATACAAAAATTAGCCGGGTGTGGTGGTGCGTGACTGTAGTCCCAGCTGCTAGGGAGGCTGAGGCAGGAGAATCGCTTGAACTCGGGAGGTGGAGGTTGCAGTGAGCCGAGATCGCACCACTGCACTCCAGCCTGGGCAACAGAGTGAGACTCCATCTCAAAAGAAAAAAAAAAAAGCTTCTTCACACCTGTATTCCCAGCGACTCAGGAGGCAGTGGGAAGATCGCTTGAGCCTAGGAATTGGAGGCTGCAGTGAGCTACGATGGCAGCACTGTATACCAGTCTTGGTGACAGAGTAAGACCCTGTCTCTAAAAAACAAAAATTATTAATTAAAAATAAAAACAGCTTGTGTTTATTGACACTGTGTACTGAGGGCTGTTCTAGATGCTTTACATGTTCTCATCCATTTAACTCTCATAATTACCAAATAAGTGTATATCATGCATCAAACATATAAGGCACGTGAGATATATAAAGTAACTGGTTCAAAGCCACACAGCTGGGAAGGAGTGGTCTCAAGCATTAAGCCCAGGCAGCCTGGCTCCACTGTTCTTATTTGTAACTTCTACCCAGTATTGCTCCTCCAGTCAGCTAGCAGAGCCAGCAAGTAATAGCTTATGTCTATAAATGGAAATCAGGAAATGATTACATAAGCATCTCATGTAGAATTATGGAGGCAAACACAAAAGGAAACAGAAGATCAGCCAAAGTATTTGCCTCTAAGGAGTGTGACTACAGGCTTGGGAGGGTAGGTAGGCAAGGCTGTTGTGTGTTAAAGGCCTTTCCATATTTTTTATTGATATGCTTATATTACTTTGATAACAGCTAAAATTAATATTTTTTAAAGTTTTTAAAAATTACCTGCACTTTAGTTTCCCCATATAGAAAACTCATTCTAAGGTGCTCTACAGCAATGCCCACTATCTATGATTCTGCCATAACCTCGTATAATCAGGGCTAGGTGGGAACAGGTCTCAGACATAGGGATACAGGCATATAAATTCATCTTGCATAATAAAATTGAAATGTCTAGGAATATCATGGACATGGCAGTTGGTGGTAATGATGGTTGTTTTCTCTGTCCCTCATTATAGCCCCTCTTTCTCCCATCTCACCACTCTTCACTGATGCTGTATATCCCCCTTCCCCAAGTTTCTTGGTGCCATTGTCAGAGTTAGTAGTTTGGGCAAGATTAATCCTTGGCCTAACTCGAAGTGGCAGTTCTTTAGTTCTTGAGCTGAATACCCAGACTAAAATTAGACTGTAGTTTAAAGTTATGTGTTAGAGAGCTCATTTGGATGAAAAATCCAGTGAGGGGATTATTCATGTTTGAAACATGAACAATGGAGTTAAAACTCTGTTGATAATCTGGGGGAAAATAGATAAGATTTGTAGTCCTTTGCATGTTCAGAAAAATCTCAAGAGAAAAAAGATATTTCTCTTAGATTCTCACAGCTGAATTATTTGACCTTCTTACATAGAGTGCATCGAGCATATTTCTAAGCATAAAAAATAAGCCACAAAGAAGAAAACGTATGTTTTGATGGAGCAGGCTTAGTAGAATAAATTGTAAGAGAGAAACTGTAAGGAATAGTAATGATTCATAGGCAGACAATTCAGAACTATTTAAATGTCTAGGATAGAATAGAGCTGAAACTGAAAAAGAATATTGGTCTTAAGATACCAATTTTCCTTTAACTGGCAGAGAAATGGCAATATAACAGATAATAAAAAGTTTCTAAGACAAATCCAAGATAATTCAAATTTTTGAAATGAAAGAAAATTGAGCGATGGCTTAAAGAGATTAGACACTTAAAGGAACAGTCTACATTCTCACTGTGTAGTAAAGTAAGACACAGAGACGTACTCACTTGCCCAAGATCACACAGCAAATGAGCGGCAAAGCCAGAATCAAAGCCCAGACTTTCAGGTGCTGGTTAATCATTGAAAAAAAAGTCCTGCCAGACACATTTGTGCAGAATTGAATATATAGGGAAGTGGGCAAAGAGCTCAAAGTCCCTGGGTTGCAGCAGCACCCTGTGGGTGCTCAGAATTGCTGTGATTTGGTGTTCTAGAAGAAGGTATGGCAGGATGCAATCAGGAAGCAGTTTGATGCAAGCACTTCTGGAAAAGCGACCAAACAGGTGTCAGAAGAAAGGGACTTGAATATGCAAGGCTCCAACAATTTGTTGAGATTTATTGTCTCATCATAAGCAAATATGCAATTTTATCCTCATAATTTTTTTTCTTAAAGAAATCATAGGCCAGGCATGGTGGCTCATGCCTGTAATCCCAGCACTTTGGGAGGCCGAAGCAGGTGGATCACGAGGTCAGGAGATCGAGACCATCCTGGCTAACACGGTGAAACCCTGTCTCTACTAAAAAATACAAAAAACTAGCCAGGCATGGTGGCAGGTGCCTGTAGTCCCAGCTACTCAGGAGGCTGAGGCAGGAGAATGGCGTGAACCCGGGAGGCAGAGCTTGCAGTGAGCCGAGATAGCGTCACTGCACTCCAGCTTGGGCGACAGAGCAAGACTCCATCACACACACAAAAAAAGAGAGAGAAATCACAGGCCGTGAGTGGTGGCGCAAGCCTGTAATCCCAGCACTTTGGGAGGACCAGGATCACGAGGTCAAGAGATAGAGATCATCCTGGCCAACATGGTGAAACCCCATCTCTACTAAAAACACAAAAATTAGCTGGGTGTGGTGGCGCATGTCTGTAGTCCCAACTACTGAGGAGGCTGAGGAGGGAAAACTGCCTGAACCCGGGAGGCAGTGAGCCTAGATCACGCCACTGCACTCCAGCCTGGCGACAGAGTGAGACTCTGTCACAAAAAAAAAAGAAAAAAAAAAAAAAGAAAAAAAAAGGAAATCACGTAAAATTATATACAATTGAGGCCCCATCCTACCTAGAACCACAGAACCTCTTGGATATAGACTTCATTGAATATTACTATGATTTTTAGTTGAACAAATTTTAAGAGTGGAACCTTAAGAATTAACAATGACTCACAAGTAGACAATCCAGAACCATTTAAATATCTAATAATCACCTAATTTTCATTTAAATCTACCTAAAAATTAAATGATTATTTACATTACAAAGTGCTCAATTGTAAAGGGCAAAATAATAAATATCTTAGATTTTGCGGGTCACATAATCTTTGTCACAACTACTCCACTGTGTCTTTGTAGTATGAAAACAGCCATAGACAATACAAAAATGAATGTATATGGTTTTGTTCCTATAAAACTTTATTTACAAAAATATGCAGTGGGCCAGATTTAACCCACAGGTGGTAGCCTGCCAACCTTTGATCCAGAGTTTCTTTAAATCAGATTTCTCAGCCTCAGCACTATTGACGTTTTGGCCAGATAATTCTTTGTTGTGGGAGCTGTCTTGAGCATGTGCTCAACAGCATCCCTACCCACTGTTCACTAAATACCAGTTACTCCCACCTGTACCTCTTGCAGTTGCGACAACCAACAATGTCTCCAGACATTGCCAAATGTCCCTTGGGAGATGACATTAGAAAAACCACTGATTTAAATTAACGAACTTCCAAACTGTGTGGGTTTGGGGGTAGGCGTTCACATCGGCATAACCTGTGGGACCTTCTCTAACTATATGTCCTCCATCTCTGCATATCCTCCAACCCCTCCCCTCCCTTCCAAGATGCTGGACCACCAGCAGTGAGGAAGTCCCATTGGTGATTCAGAAATACAATTTCACCTTCATCTGTCGATCATAACTTTGGTTTTATTTTACAAGTACAAGATTCATAGCAACTGTTTCAGGTTTATATTGTGTAAACTGAGGCTCCACTGTTTGTCACTAAGACTTTTGACTGCTAAGTTTGATATTTTATATAATCAATCATCTCTAAAAATCTAAGGCGTATCTTAGGTATAGTTCTTGTTGGTGAATATTTAATATGGTCTGGCTTTTTAAATTCAAGATGTTGTAGGAATAAAATTTATAGTAGGGTGCATGTGGAATACATTTGATTCTATAATCATTGATCCTCTGCAAAAGCCAATCCAGCAGTCTCTAATTCTGTACCTTTAAAGAAACAAGAAGAAGAAAATACACAATTGTCAGAATTGTCTACTCTACTGGAAGATTATAAAACGTGAACAATAAGAAGTTTATCGATGCTACATCATCTCAAAGGCCCATGATATGTGGTTGAAAATACTGTCTTGGATAATTTCTATGTTCCTTTAACATGGGAGGGTCAGAGAGCAAAACCAATGCTATAGTAGTCTCTGCAGCTTCGTTTTGTTTCTACGTATGAGGAAAAAAGGCAAGTTTTCATTTCATTTTTGACAGGTGGCAAGAGAGTGTTGGGCAATAACTTTTGAAGGTGGTTTTGCTGCAGTGTCCCGTAGTCTGGTATAAAGAGGCAACTTTGCCTCTACTTTCTAAATTAGGTTTTGCTTTTAACAACCCTGCTATTTAGGAGACATTTCTACTATAGAAAAACCATTACAAGCTTTGTTCCTCTTGCTCTTAAAAATGTCATTTCATAATAAATCTTTACACATTTGACTGTAGAACTCAGGGTTCTCAATTCCCTAAGTAAATAAATTAGTCATAATTCAATATTTGGTTATAAGATTTACAGTTCTGTTCCTTACAGTTTCTCAGATGAGTACTCTATAATTGAGCTCGAGCGAACAGCTCCATTAATTCTGATCTTGGTGTAAAAAGGGTCCTAAAAGTGCAGAGATGCTAAAGCAGACACAGGGGAACAAGGAAAAGAATAATCCTTCCCTTAAGTCTTCATCCCCACGCTTCACAGCTGTGCTTCCCCTGCATATTTTTATCTCTAGAGAAATCATGCCTTCCACATTTTAAAGTCAGCATAGCATTTGTTTCTAAGCCAGGTCCACCTTAATCAGATAAATGAACTATTTTTGATCTAACTGCAATTAGAATAAAGAGAAGAAGAGGGACTATACTCAGCACACCTCTAGGACAATCCCTGTTTTTCTCTGCGGCATTTCTGAGATAATACCGATATACATTATCAAGGGCTCAACAGCTGAGTCAATCAGGAGGCCAAAGCAATTTGTACTGGTTATCAGATGGATACTGAGACATCTGGGAAACTCTTATGGCATTTTTTTTTTCCAGAGAATTTTTATTTTTTGACGTATGTGGTTATAGTACTGCTGGCACTCAATGCCAGAACCCTTATGACTAATTACCCTTCCAGGGACATGACTTTAGGTAAGCAAAAAGCAAACTTACCAAAGAAGAAAATTTCCTTGTTTAGTGCCCGAAGACCTGGTAAGAGAGATTAGCTTATTTTTAGCAAGGAAAATGATGCCTCAGTATACAACCTGCCTCTTTATATCCAATAATAAGAGAGAAATGTATAATTGTCACCAGGTGCTAACACCAGTAAAGGCATTTCGGGTTGGGCAGGTTTTGTACCAAAAAAAAAATGTTAAAAAAAATCCCCATGGACAAATTTAGCCTTTAAAGAAATGTGTTCTTTCTGGGTAATAGGATTGCTGGTTGGACTCTGTCAACCAGCAGGAGAGAAACACACGGTCGGCAATAACAGTTCTTGCTCAGTGCTTTTCATTTGAAAGGTACCTACAGAACCCATTTCTAAGAGACCAGATGCCACTGACCTTGCTCCACAGTGTTTTTTCCTAATCCACGCATGGAGAAAATCAAGGACAAAGTTGTAAAACAAAGTCCAAGGACAAAGGTACAAAGCGGCTACCATGTACACCCATATTCATCTGTGTCAGAAAGCACATAACCGGTGGGGCATGGTGGCTCACGCCTGTAATGTTTGGGAGGCCAAGACAGGCTGATCACTTGAGGCCAGGAGTTTGAGATCAACCTGGGCAAGATGGTGAAACCCCGTCTCTACTAAAAATACAAAAATTAGCTGGGCGTGGTGGAGTGCACCTGTAGTCCCAGCTGCTTGAGAGGCTGAGGCAGGAGAATTCCTTGAACCCAGGAGGTGGATGTTGCAGTGAGCAGAGATTGTGTCACTGCACTCCAGCCTGGGCAACAAAGCAGGACTCCATCTCAGAAAAAAAAAAAAAAAGGAAGAAAGAAAAGAAAAAAGAAAGCACACAACCTATATGCACATACACACATGCACACATACACACATGCACATATATGCATACATGTGTATGTGTTTGGCAGCTGAGTTTTTCACCTGGTGAAATTCACTTTCTTGATTTTTGTTTGTTTTTTAAGCAACCATATTAACTGCAATTGGCCACTGCCTCACTTCAACATAACGTCTTTCTTTGGCAGCTTAGGAGAAGGGCTTCTAAAAAAGTTAAAGAAAAAGAAAGAAAATTATACAAATTCAGATGCAATAGTGCAAGTTTTAATCCCAGTTTCATTACCGACTCTCTGCTTAGTCTCCCCACGTGGAAAAGGAGCTTAGCAATGCCTTTTTGTCTTTCTTACCAGACAAGAGGACAAAAGGGTGGGGGGAGGGGGAGTGTGGAGAAAAGGCTTTTAAAATTAGGAAAATACTCTCAAACTCAAAATATACAATCACTGTGATGAGTGGTATATTTATGCAAAATCAAGTCAGTAAAGGTAGGTAAGGGTGCAGCTTGCTCTTATAGAAAACTTAATCAATCCTCATCATTTCTGGTCTAGAGCCTGCTATCTGGTCTCCATGCCTTCATTCTTATCTCACTCACATCCATCTCTCAGAGCTTTTGCAGTGATCTCTCTAAAGTGTTCATCTTACCATTCCTTTCCTCCACATAAAACACATTTTCCCCACATGAGATGTGTCACCTTTAACATAAACTGCCATGCATTTTTAACATGGCTTACAAAGCTTCCTATGGTTTGATCCATCCCTGATTCTCCAGCCTCCCTCCCCTCCACTCCTTCCCTTGAATTTTGATCTTCAATAATTCCAAACAACGTTTAGTTCCCTAAACACGCTGTGCCATGGTTATCCTTGTGTGGTTGCAAAACATTTTCTGCTGCTTGCAATCCCGTTCCTGCCCAAAGCTGCATGAACAACCAGTATGCCTTCCGTGTGCCTCCACTCTCTCTGGCATATGCCTATTCTTTTCCACTTTAATGTGTTTACCTGTTTACTTTCCTATTCAGACACCAATAATCTTACAACCATGAAACAGGTCTAATTCAATGTCAATATCAAGGGCCTGGTATATAGTACCTGACACATAGAAGGTGCTCAAGTGCTTGCTGAGACAATGAATGAATGAAAGGAGGAAGTGTATTCCCAAGCCTTAGAATATCTATCTACTCCAAATTGTTTACATGATGGTTACATATTTTACATTATTTTACATATTATCTTTCCCCTTTCAATGACGTAACCAATGCGCTACATTCCTGCGGCCGCCAGATTATCCTTTCGCTTTTCCTTTCCCGAAACTACTAAAGCCACTGTGTTTCTGTTACTTTGCTCCAGAAAATAATCTCCTGAGCCCTCATCCATTCAAATGTTTTTATATTCTCTACTGTGCTTGTTAGTCAGGCCATTTTACTATCAGAGATTCCTTTGCCCTGATAGAGGAATAGGAGATTCTCAGCCCCCAGGAGAGAACAAGGACAAGGCGAGGAAGGTGGTGGGAGGAAAAAGAGTGTCTCTGCAAACAGAGGCAGATTTCGAGTACAAGAGCTAGCGTGATAACCTCACCCATGGGCTGAAGACACAAACGAAGTAATTCAGCTCAGCATTATGGTGATAATGGTACCCACCCCTCAATTTAGACAGTTATTATGTAAGTGCTTTAAACAGTATCTTAATCTAGTGAAGTTGTATTTACTCCTCTAAATACAGATACTTAAAAAAGACTGCTAAAATAAAACAAACAAACAACCAACAAAAAAACTAGCCATTACGACCTCCTTACCAAAAATTAAAAATTAAAAAAAATAAAAGAAGAAGAAAAAAAGAACATTTCCTTGGGTCATTTAACCCAACACACTAATCAAAAAGAAAGATTAAGCAATGTCTTCATGTATTTATAGAACTAACCCAGCAACCAAAAATGAGTCACCTCAAGACCATTTGAGTAACATATTTGTGTAGAAAATACACAAAAATATTTTGAACTCAAAGACCAGCGGGTACCTATATATTCCCTCCTGGTTGCTAAAACACTGTATCTTCAACATATTCAATTTTCTACTGACTCTTTTACTAAGGAAACCATAAGCTATATCCATTTGATAGCCAAATCCTAAAAATCATAAATTTTTATCAAAGATTTAATAAAACAGTCATAGTTCACAGACGCAGTAAACTATTTAACCTGGAAAGAACCTTTGAAGTCATCTAATTTGGCCTTCTGATTATGCAGACTGAGAAACGGGAGAACGTGATTAATTATCTAAAGTCAGGCAATGGGGTAAATGGGATTAAATTCAGATCTCCCTGAATTTCCCTTAAAATTGAAATTCCCTGAATTTCCCTTAAATCATAATGCACACAGCAAACCACATGAAATGCCAGATCGCATACACAGTGTAAACACATATATATAAGTACAGATAAATATGTACTGCTAAACAAAATGGATTCAGTTTGTTGCTTCTAGCATAAAAAGAAAAAACAAAATTTAAGGGAAATATTTTTATTAGATACAATCTCAACATACTTCTTCAAAACTCACTATATATCATAATATAATTGTTATTTTTTATTTTGCATGTTTTTGAAATTTTAAAAGGCGAAAGCGAATTGCCCATGTCAGTAAATCCCTCAAACGGGTTAGAGAACTCAACCCCTCTTCAAACGAAGGGCAGACTTCTTTTTCCCTACGTCTGAGTTGAAAAAGGGCTCCCTCTTGTGTTCCTTTAGTGTAATGCAGACTTCTGCCTTAAAAATTGCCCTCCTTCCTAAAGAATTTCCTCTATTCCACCCCAGAGAGAGAAAATACGGATCTGAAACGTAAAATAGCCAGCTTGCCACTCACCTCTTTTCATTCTGCATATGCTAAGGATAAATCAAAGCATAAGTATGAATAATGAGTGTTCATATTTTATTCCTGACTTTGTTGTATTCAGCGTGGTAATTCATTACCTCTCAGTCCAGAGTACACACAGTAACTGTCATTTAAGGAAAAAGGAAAATAAAAAGAGCCCTTTCCTTTATACACAGACCTACTGCCACTCGAATGTGTTATTTAGTTGGTTTTTCAAGAGCCGAACCAGGCCAATCTCTCTCAACATCAATTAATTTGTTAACTAATGTATTAATATAGCCAATAATTTCTTTTGGAGCCTCTAATTTTCATAAAGCAACATATCAGTAGTGTGGGAAATACAAAAAGTAATATAATAGAAGATATATTAGAAGATAAGATATGTAATCTCAAGTGACATAAATATACATAAATAATAAGTTACAAGATAAAATATATGATTGCAAGTGACATATATGACAGCTTTCATGAAGTAACACACAGTGCAGGAAGAGACCAAAGGAGAAAAATGCTTCGTGAGGCAGTGGCAATCAGGGAGGGCTTTGTATAGCATGTGGTGTGTCACCTGGACCTGAAATAATGAGCACATTTTCACCACTAGATATCAGGCTTGGAAAAAGATTCCACATACAAGAAAAAAATAGAACTGAAAATGGGATCAATTCTGGACTTGCTGGAATAAGGGTTTGCACAGAGAAGCCATTGCTAGCTGGGCAGAGGGGGGACTAGTCTTTGCGAGGAGGCTGTAAAAATGCAACGCGAAGCCTTAAAATCTCAGTATCCTGAGTGTACGGGAGTCAAACCAGTGACCTTGGTTTTATTTTTAGCGCCATGCTCTTCTAATCGGCTGAACTAACAGGATCAAGAGAATGAACTTGCAGGACCAGGAGAATGAAGTGACAGTGAAAAGAACAGCGAATCACAAACACATGGGCCACAGCACTGCGCAGTGACATTATGAATAGAGGGCCTAATGGCTTATCTATTGATCTATCTGCTCTTAATTCTGCTTGGCTGTTACTTTCTTCAAGTAACATTTCCAAATTACATTCAAATATCAGTCTCCATTAAGGAAACAGGACTGTGGAACAGATAATCCAATTGTCATTTCTTTTCGTCTTTGGAATGGGTTCTAATGGTAATTTGAAGAAGAGAATTCATTTTTCCAAATTCATTTTTTTCAGACTGCTGTTAAAATTTATGGGCTCTCCCTTATAAATCCATCAGACTACCTAACACTAAAGTTTTTCATGAATAATCTGCAGAGGAAATGATCCACCATTGCTAAATGGACATCACTTGCTTACTGTCACATTCATTTAATTCAATTATTTTGTATTACCAAAATGGAACATTTTTATATGAGCACCAGAACAAGAAATGTCATCTGCCTCCTCATCTCTGGCCTGGTTCCACTCGAATCCCACTGGCATGAGACTTTAATTTAACATTGAGTTCCCTAAATTCTTGAAATGATGTCCTTTGATGTCTCTTCAACATACTTGTTTTCTCATTCATAGAAATGAATGAATTCTAGTTTCCTGGTTATCAATACTGAAGATATTTTCTTTAATGGGACACACTCTTCTATCCTCCTTTACCTTTTTAATGATTTTGTCATATCTTGTTCCCCCTATGGCATGGAATTTTCCAGAGTGGCCCTTATAAGTAAAAGCTGAAAGAGGTTTGTGGGGTGTGGGGTAGTATCACTGACAAGCAAAGGATTTAAGATTTAGGAATGAGCTATGCTTTTTATTTGTTTATCTTAAAGTAATGGGCAAAGTTCTGCTACGCAATAGTCAACTACCAATGATCACCTACAAAGTTTTGCTCCATAATACAGCAGTCACCTACCAATGACCGCCTGCCAGCATTAAAAGCCAACTGCTTCCCTTCTGAAAACGGCTGACAAAAATTGCTACATGCCAAGGACTCCAGCTGTCTGAACAACAGACGACACATTCTGCAATGCTGGTGCCCTCTACTGGCTGACACTACCTGATGCTTTACTCTAGAGAATTCGTGTCCTGATGGGAAAGCTGCAGATAGGATTCTAACACAGCCAGTCTTTGAGAAACAATTTAAGATCAGTTTGAATGGTGAGGACAGGGAGGACGGGGAGAGGTACCAGTTTCCTGCTATCCACCCCATAGTTATCATTCCTGTTACCGCTAGCATAAAAACCAGTTATCAGATCAAAGAAGTGGTATATTCTGGGATAATGTGGAATAATTGGTCAGAGAAAATAGCCATATATACACATACATACACACACATACATACATGGGTGGATTTGCTTCAGATATTCTGATGGAAGAAATGAAACATTACAGATAGAAAAAATAAGTTTTTATTGTATATTTGGAAAGATTTGGGATATAATTGCATTCTGTACTAATTCCTAGAATAAACAAAAAATAAATTGAATGTAGATTTTTTAAAAGCATGATTTTCAAACAGAATTATATAATAGCAAGATACAATGCCAATCACTTCAAGTTTAACACAACAATCATAGAAGATGTTTGCAAAAGCCTTCAGTGGATACATCAATTTTCCCAAGGGCCTCTCTCATCTTTCTAAGCCCAAATCATTCCCTTTTGAACAATCCATCACGTCAACATCCTTATGCATTTTCTTCAAACTTCAAGGGGAGTAATTTTCCCAGATCTACATTGGCTGGTGATTCTGACAGTTTTCCAACACCACCCTTGTCAACTACATGTAATTCTGCCTCTTTGAACGTTTTTAGGCTTGCTCTGCAGTGTTATCAGAGAGGGATGATTGAGTGAGTTCTAATTTTATAAATGATTAATTTATTAATGAATATCTTAATATATAATAGCTTTTTCCTTTCCAAAGATATGAATTCACAGAATTCACTCGCAGATAATTAATTCACAGAATAGTGAACTCTCTCCCTCGTCTACATGGCTGACTTGACAATGACTCCAAATGGGGAGGTGGACTCTTAACCCTTTCCATTATAGCCCTGCTTTTCTCCTTCTCAGTGAACTCTCAGCCCAATCAGACACTGCTGAGAATCTGAGGGTCACTTCCTGGTCATTATACTGATATTACAAATGGCAAGTTGGAGACTCATCGCTCAGGAAGCACTGTGTGAGACTGGACAGAGTTCAGCACTGGTCTTATTAGCATCTGCCTTGGCTTGTTTATTGGTATACTGAGAGTCATGCATTTGTGCCAAAAGCATGAATAACACAGTAGCTTCCTGTGGCCATCATAATTATCATTTTAGCTGGAAAAAAAAAAGCATTTGAAAGAAGCAAAGGGGGCATCTCTGTTTATATAGCCCATGCCTTAAGCACTGAGAATACGATCTGAAATCAAGACTTAATGAATTTAAGAAATATTAGTTGCTTCAGTTTGCCTTTGGGGTGGAGAGGTTTATGTTTTTATCATAAATAAGTTTGGCACAAATTGCGAGCTAAACAAAATCTGGGTGTTTGTTTTTGTTTTTTGAGACAGGGTCTCACATTTTGTCACCCAGACTTGAGTGCAGTGGTGGGATCATGGCTCACTACAGCCTTGACCTCCCAGGCTCAAGAGATTCTCCCACCTCAGCCTCTCAAGTAGTTGGGACCAGAGGCATGCACCACCACACCTGGCTAATTTTTTTTTTTTTTTTTAGTTTTTGTAGAGATGGAGCTACTCTTGAACTCCTAGCCTTAAGCAATCCTAGCAACTTGGCCTCCCAAAGTGCTGGGATTACCAGCACATGCCACCATGCCAGGCCTTAAACAAAGATTTTATCTTTGAAGCCTCCTTTTTTTTTTCCTCTTGTTAAAAAGAACCAAAACTCTTATAATTACCAGGTCTTATGTGGTTCAGTCTCAGAGCTGTGGAACAGTCAACAGAATGCAAAAACAGCTCAAATATTTTGTTTACTTTTCTTGAAAAGCCTGAAGAAGATCTAAAAATACATGGTCCAAGACAGCTTCGTAAAAATCTCCCTTTCTTTCCTATTTTCTTCCATTATACTCTTTAGCTGCTGAGATGCACCTCTCTTAAAAGCCCCCAAACAAAATGACTTCCTATTCCAGTCTCGATAAGTTTGCTCTCCTCTCTGTTATCTCTGTGTTTTTTAATTCAATTTACATGTTTTGGCCAGACGCGGTGGCTCACCCCTGTAATCCCAGCACTTTGGGAGTCAGAGGCGGGTGGATCACTTCACATCGGGAGTTCGTGACCAGCCTGGCCAACATGGTGAAACCCCGTCTCTACTAAAAATAGAAAAATTTGCTGGGTGTGGTGGCACGCACCTGGAATCCCAGCTACTTGAGAGGCTAAGACAGGAGAATTGCTTGAACCCAGGAGGGAGAAGTTGAAGTGAGCCAAGATCATGCCGCTGCACTCCAGCCTGGGCGACAGACTGAGACTCTGCCTCAAAGAAAAAAACAAACAAAACCAAACAAACAATTTACATGTTTTAATCCTCCCTCTTTTCCTCTGGTGTCTGGAATTCTCTTGCAGCTAAGTTCCCAGTTTTTGCATGATAAAAACTCAAGGGTGGTAAAGACCTAGAAAGAGGGGAGAGGCCTTCTGAGGATAGCCAAGAAGTAGAAAAGGCAAAAAAATCAAACTCTCCTTGGATGAAATTGGGCATGGGTAGAAGGATGGGAACACTTAAAAGTTAATAATCTTTGCCATATCTAAATATATATCAAATATGCCAAAGTAACTGTAATTAGTGGCTGAAAAAAATACTAGTACCCTGTTGTTTTTACTCACGCTATAAGTACAGGGTAAGCTATCCCGGAGGCTTATCATTAAAATAGAATCAGCAAATATGAAAACTTAGAAAATTCTCTCTGCTTGACTCAGCTCAGTGTCCATATGGATTTAAAAAAATACAGCTCTTAACACTTTACACCATGGTTTATCCAACTGTGGAGCTACGTGTGTGCGCATGGGAGCATGTAAAAAGATCGCCATCCTGCCATCCGTGGACAGCTGTTGTAAAAATTAAATCACTAATTATACAATGTCAAGGTTGGAAGTGTTACCCACACAATGGGTGGGCTCCATTGCTTGGTGGGTAACTGTCAATCACCACAACCAAGGAGCATGTAACAAGAGGACCTTATTACTTACAGCAAGTAAAGAGGGCACTGGGAATAATTCCCCGAAGCAGTACCTTCTCAAACAATGGTGAAATAGGGCTTTTATTGAGCTAGTTAGCTGAGTCACTGTGCGTAGAGATGGAGTAAAGGCAGCTTTACTCACAGTCACAGTGGCTGATCATGCTCCTACATATGTCACGTGTAGAAAATGGTGAGTAAGCTCTGCCTTGGGCAGGGATTTTAGTATGATAATGAAGGGAGTTGGCCAAAGTGCACTTCCAACTCAGGAATCTGTATCCAACTGTTTTCTGTTTTTTCCAGGGCTAAGTTTCTTCCTGGA
The DNA here is from genome assembly GCF_000001405.40 of Homo sapiens. NCBI lineage: Eukaryota > Metazoa > Chordata > Mammalia > Primates > Hominidae > Homo > Homo sapiens. Next base: position 40,205,386 of record NC_000008.11, read on the forward strand.
ACTTTTTTTTTCTTTTTCAACTTCTATGTTAGAGTCTGGGGTACATGTGCAAGTTTGTTACCAAGGTTGATTGCCAATGGGGAGGTTTGGGGTATGAATGATTCTGTCACCCATGTACTGAGCACAGTTCCCAAAAGTTAGTTTTTCAACCCTCCCTGACTCTATCCTTCCCATCTCTGGTAGTCTCCAGTGTCTACTGGTGCCATCTTTATGCTCATGAGTACCCAATGTTTAGCACCCACTTGTAAGTAAGAATATGTGGTATTTGGTTTTCTGTCTTTTCTGGAACTTTTTGAAATGGCAAGAAGTCAATGTGCAATAGACACAAGTGGGTACTTTTTCACAGTGTGTACCCGAGAACCCAGGGACCCTGGGTTACAGAAGGACCTATAGAGATTATTTTAATTATCCCCATCCCTAGACATTGATTTAAAGGTTAAGATTCAGAAGAGATAAGCCCCCAAGTTGGGGCTTAGCCACGGATGGTTCCTGGCTTTGCCAGGGAAGAATTCAAGGGTGAGCCAGCGGTGTTAGAAGTAATCTTTTATTCTTTTATTTTTATTTATTTACTTATTTTTATTTTTATTTTTTTGAGACGGATTCTCACTCTGTCACCAGACTGGAATGCATTGGCATGATCTCGGCTCACTGCAACCTCCCCCTACCGTGTTCAAGCGATTCTTCTGCCCCAGCCTCCCGAGTAGCTGGGACTACAGGCATGCGCCACCACACCCAGCTAATTTTTGTATTTTTAGTAGAGATGGGGTTTCACCATGTTGGCCAGGATGGTCTCGATCTCCTGACCTTGTGATCCACCCACGTCGGCCTCCCAAAGTGCTGGGATTACAGGCGTGAGCCACCGCTCCCGGCCCAGAAATAATCTTTTATTAAAGGGTACTGCTCCTTGGGGAGCAGGGCTAACTCATGGGCCATGTGCTCAGAGTCAGCAGTGCATGGGTTCTTGGCAACTGTATATATACTCACCTGTAATTACATCCAAATTCGGGGGCAGGTTAATGCAAATTGCAGGGTGAGTTATTCATAAGTTTCTAGGAAAGGCGTGGTGAGTTCCAGGTCATTTTCATGAAAAGAGATGGTAACTTCCAGATTGTTGCCATGGCATTTGCAAACTGTCCTGGTGCTGGTGGGAGCGTCTTATGCTAATGAGCAGTGACAGTGACTAGAGGTTGCCTTCTTCACTACTTGCTGGTTCCTGCTGGTTTTTTACTTCATCCTGTCAGGATGGGGAAATAAGTCCTGCTGGTCTTCTACCTCAGTTAGATGCTGGTGGCCCAGACAGACTGTGATTTGCCCACAGATAATGAAAGTTCCCTGAATTTAGATTCTTAGCCCCTAGTACAGAAAAGTGATATGCAGGTTTGTCCTCACAATGAACACTGGAGAATGCTAGGGATATGATATGGGTGCTGAGAGGCAGCGTCTGCGGGACATTCTGTTGCCACAGCTTGGACATGCAGGAGAACACCAAGGCTGCTGTGGGACCCTCTAACAAAAATGGAGGGACCCAGCCCTCCCAGAGATGCTGGCCACACATGCAGAGCAGCTCTTGCCTCCAAATGAGCTCCTGTCTGTGTGGAAGGTTCAATTCCTCACAGAGCCAAGCCACTTTATTCTTCCTTTAAGAACAGAAAAAGGGAAACTTGAAGCTCAAAAAGTAGGTTTTTATACAAATTTGCCACTATCCAATAAACAAAACTGCAGCTCACAGAAACCTCCTGACTGCTCCTCCCATCCCCAGAGAAGCTTCGAGCATTTCTCGGTATCCTTGAATTTCATGCCATTTTTCTAAACCAAATATTAAATGTCCCCCTTGAAGTGAGAGTAATAAATCACTAAGGAGAGAATTGGTAGCTCTTGTGAAAAACAAAAACTGAGGTAGAAATGAGAAGTGGACCCCTTCCTCCTGTTCTTGCTCCCACCCTGCGCACAGCGCATAGGATGTGGCTGCCCTTCAGAGGCCGCTGCTCCCCCCGACTCTGAGACTGCGCGTGTTCTGTTGCTAATGTTATTGCTGTCAGTGTTGTGATGTTTGTGTTGCTTGATTTTGTGTTCTTGATGTTTTGCTCTCCCTGGAACAGGTATGGGTGTTTTAGTTTGCTATTTTATAGCTCAGAATCATTTTGACGTAAATCAATAATGACAGCAATGTTTCCAAAATGAAAATAAACAGGTCTGTTGTTTGAAACAACCAGGTAGTTGCTTCGACTTTATTGTTCTATCAAGGCTCTTTTTCTGTTCTTTTTTCTCTTTCTTTTCCTTTTCAAAACAACCTCCATTACAATACATGTGCATTGATTGTTGGTTGGCACAATCATATATTCTATGCTCTTCAATTTTCAAAAATACTGCTATTAAATAAATAAAAAGGCTTAGGAAAATATCTAGCTGCTTGTCAATCTATTAACCTTACAGTCCATGTCTAGTTATTTTCACCTATACAATTTGGAAATAGGCTTGCAATAAGTCACTTGGTGCAATTCTGAAGATAAAGGAGAACATCTGCTTTTTGTTTAGGGAGAAGACACATGTGTGCAATGAAGTGGAGGAGACATTCTCCTTAGCCTCACTTTAACAGAGTATAGGGAGGAATGGATTCAGCTGACATTTTGGGGATAGAAATAAAACCTTTATATAAGTGAAGTACAACTCTTTAAAAAATTGAAATGAGAAGCTTTATTTTCATGATTCATACTCCTTGTTTCATAAGCACTGATTTTTAGTAGCCCTACCTCTATTTGAGGTTTTGCCACCACGTGCGGGCTGCATTCCTATGGCCCAGCTACTGCATCACAGGCCTCTGCTTTCTGGTTAGAATTTTACCCAGAGTGGCAATTTGACCCAGACATGCAAAAAATCAGAGTCCCTTCTCCCGATGTTTCAGCACTCTTTCACTACAGCCACAAACAAGATAACTGATAATGCCAGACAGAACCTCCACCCTTGACGAAAGCTGAGGAATTTAAACACATGTCCAGTATTTGGAGAATCAGCAATTGTGGCACTTAGCACAGTGCCCTCTGTGGTCTATGGAAGTCTGTGATCCTTATGCAGGAGATCATACGCACTGGGTGAACTGGCCCCGCAGGGAGGCAGTGTGAGTAGCTACCTACGGAATGCTGTTCAACACTGGCAAATACAATCTAAAAGGTCAACCAAAGTTTATTAAAATCACCAGCAATGCATAAAAGACATTGCGTGAAGAGATATTAACAGTTAGGAAGTAGTAGATTTTTGACATGGACAGATGACCACAGCATGGAATTGGCCTAGGGTGGGGCTTGGCCATGGGTCACTTTTCAAAGCTCCTGAGCAATGCTGGCACCCATTCATGGTTGTCCGCCACTGGGGCAGCAGTTTCGGCCATCTGGTAGGAACAGAGCACAAAGCTCCACCTATATCCCAGCTGCTGGCTAAGGAAAATGAAACTGTTCCAAGTCAGATTTTTTTTTTTCAAGCTCCTCTCTAGACAAAGGAGAAGATAATAAAATAAAAGAGTTAAAACTAGAATATGAGACATTTGGATTGGATATAAGAAGAAACTTGGGGGAAGAAGAGGTTAGGTATTAAAATGTATGACCTCAGGGATATTGTGTCATATCATTTTCTGGAGGGTTTCACAACAGGGATGAATTTCCATCTGTCTTCAAGGTGTTTCTAATGGAATGTCAAGATGATACTGGAGACTATAGCTCATTCTTTTAGACAGGGCTGAATTCTGCACTTATTCATTGAAAATAAATCAAGTTTTTCCCAAGTGTCCTATAATGTCCTAAAAAAGGGCACTAGGCTGGATGAAGGATTTGGGTGTACACATTGTGGCGGGTCCTGTTTGTAGAACTGTGACAGGCAGTAGAGTGTTTGGGGTAACTATGTATCCCCTAAAGCCAACTGCCTGGTTTCAGTTTTTCCACTTATTGATAGATAAACATACTCCTTAACAACCCTATCAGTTTACCTGTAATAGGGATAATGATGATGATGCTGGTGCTACCATCTTCATATAATTATTCTAATATTAGTTAATAGGCTATACTCCAAGAGTTCAATTAGTTCATATATGTAAACTACGTATACCACCCATGGAACATAGCAGATATTTGTATAAATATTTAATTTTTTTCATTAAAAGTGATTTTACGTTATCTGCATCAGAAGATTCATTCAATCCCAATTAATATTTTTACTTGCAAAATTAAAATATACACTCTTTTTTTCCTGTTCCTTAAGCTACAATAAAGTACAACACTTTCTAGGAAGGGCAAAATCTTAGTGCTGGAAGGAAATAATGAAATCTTCCAGAGGAACGGTTTTCAACTGTGGTTGCGTATTAGGGAGCTTTCAAATAATATTTATACCCAGACCCAAATACAAACAAGAGAATCAGGTGTGGAGGTTAGACACCAGTTTTTTTGTTTTTATTTTGTTTTCTTTTTCTGTTTTTGTTATTTACTCAACTTCATTTGTCATTCCAAAGTCTAACAAAGGATTCAAGCCATTGGTCTGGAACCATCTCTTCAAAATGCAGAAATTTCTCTAACCAACCTCTTCTTAATATTTCCATTGACACAGAATGGTATTTCCATTACCTCACATAAAACTGAATAGTCCTTTAAGTGTAATTCATGCTAAGCAAACAATTCAGACTGAACACATTCAATGTTTATTTTCAAATTTGAATTCATCACCTCCTTACGTTGTTGGCAAAAGTGATAAACAAATGATAAATGCCAAATATAATGAAATATTTCTGCAAATTCTGCAACTTTTTACAACCATCACAGTTAAGTGAAATAAAATATTTTCAAAAGCAAATTAAATTCTTTAGTAATAAATAACACAGTTATTATTACTTTGAATAAAATTACATAAAGATGGCATTTCGGTTTTGAAAGCTGTTTAGGAATCTATCTCCACATGATCAATTTCATTTATTTCTTTTTGAATTTATTTTATTTATCCATTACCAGTTGTGCAATAAACTATATAATCAAGAACCAGTGTCAGGCACTGGGCTATAAACCTTAATAAGGGCAAAACCAAAAGCTGGATTCAAAACTCAAAACTGTCAATTTCTTCAACGTGCCATACCTTTCTGTTTCCCCTAAACTATTAATTGTATTGGATATTTGCAGTTAAGCTGATTTTTAAATAGATTTGATATTGTTTGTAACAACTCAGAGCTATAATTCAGGTAAATTAAGGACTTGGTGGGGGAAGATTTTCTGTGGACGTTTTTTAAAAAATGAGTTCTTCTAGCTTATTTAAGATGTGATTTAACTCACCAGACTGTAGTGTGTATACAATTTCTGGAGACATTGATCAAGTAAGCCAGGACCTGCCTGCAACCAAGGCTATGTGTGCTGTGATCATTCTCTAAGTATCAGTGGGGGTTGCACATAGGCTGGTTTAGAGGACACAAATGAGATAAGAACAGGATGCCTAAAGCCTGGATGCCACTTAATTCAATGAGGACAGATCGTCTGAGTCAGTTTGGTTTGGAGGAAGGGCAGAAGTTGACTGTTCTTCGGAAGGACATCCGGAAGGGCGGTCACCAGGGAAACTGCAAATCACAATAACACTGCCACGGGTGCTGTTAAAGATGGTTACTGCAGCCTCCTCAGAAAAGCACTATTACATTTTAATCTCTTTATGGCGAATTATCAGCGGACCAAGGGTCATGAGCACCAGGTAGTAACAGCCCTCATTAATGGATGTTTAATCACTGCTATTTCTCCAGAGCCTTTAGAGTGCAGATTTTAGATCTGGTCTTATTTCTTCTAGATACTATCATTAACACATATCTTAGAAAACTTTTTGTATCCCAGATTTCCTTTGTTCATTTTATTTGCAACGGAACTGGCAGAGACCCATGGAGCCAGAATTAACGCAATGAAACACAATTAATACAAGTGACAAAGTGTTCATAATGATGATGTTGAATGGGAAGAAACCATCAACGTAGTTTTAAAACATTTCCAGGAGGGATAGCATTAGGAGATATACCTAATGCTAAATGACGAGTTAATGGGTGCAGCACACCAACATGGCACATGTATACCTATGTAACAAATCTGCACGTTGTGCACAGGTACCCTAAAACTTAAAGTATAATAATAATAAAATTTTAAAAAAAATTTCCAATGAACTTTTCCCCTCGAAATGCTAAAGTAAATCTTGACAGAGTGTTTTTTTTTATTGTAAACTCAATTTCTCAGATTTCTTTTTGTTCCATGTATAAAATCCAATTTTTGTGGTTCTTTTTCCTCAATGATACACAAACAAGCGTTAGTAATACTTATTTAGATTTATACAATGCCATTCTTTGCCATAACGCATTCTGATATTATCCACACCGCAGCTCTGCACTGGAGGAAAAGGCATTCTAAAGCAAGAGACTTTGGTCCTATTCTTGTGTTTTGTTTTGTTTTTCTCTTTTTTAAATTAATCTGACCTTGGGAAAGACCCCTAAGCTTTGTCCTCAGTTTCTTTTTATCTTTAATCTGTAGTAAAAGGAATTTGAATAGGTTATATATACAGCTTCTTCTAGAACTGAAATGCTGTAGTTTTCTTTTAGAGTGCATTCAGATGGGAGCAAAGGCCGTTAGTAACTCGCTCAAGCTCATACATTTAAACAGCAGTACACAAGGACTTCAGTCCCTGAATCATATTCCAAGGTGTTCCCACTAGGCTAGATTGCTTATTACTGAGAATGTGAAAATCAGAACTTGGTTTACTTCATCATGATTTTATTTTATTCTTGGACTAAAGAAATCTACTTAGTCTCATTGCTATATGATATTGAAACATTTTAAAACTAATTTCAAATGTTTTACATAAATAATGAACACTAGGCTTTGTTATTTGAGTGTGAAGATCAGGGGAGAAGGACGTCCACTCCGACCCACTGCCACCCACACCTCCCCGAGTCTACTCTATCTTGGGTTGGCGCTGTTTTACAAGAACATGGATTTCATTCCTGCTAAAGGAGTGGGACCGACGATTCTTGATTGTCCAAGGGCAAAGAGAAAAGATGACCTATTTAATTATCTTAATGGGCTTGGCGCGGTGGCACGCGCCTGTATTCCCAGTGCTTTGAGAGGCCAAGCCAGGTGGATCACGAGGTCAGGAGTTCGAGACCACCCTGGCTAACACGGTGAAACCCCGTCTCTACTAAAAATACAAAAAATTAGCCAATCGTGGTGGCAGGCGCCTGTAGTCCTAGTTACTCAGGAGGCTGAGCAGAGATCGCGCCACTGCACTCCAGCCTGGGCGAAAGAGCAAGACTCCGTCTCAAAAAAAAAAAAAAAAAAAAAAGATGACCTATTTAATTATCTTAATGGAATTTAGTTATAATTATAAAGTTTTTCAAAGTTTTGTTGTTTGTTTCTTTTGTATTTAGACTAACCCAAACTCTAAGAATTTCTTAAACAGGAGTACTTGAAGCTTCAAAGAGGATCCTTTGAAGAAGAGCTAATAACTAGAGTGTTGTCCTGTCTTCCACAAGAAGGAGTCTGGTGGGGAGGTGCAGATCTGGTTCTTCTCTTTGTCACACTACTCAATTTTTCTCATAGAGCAGGGAGGTAAAATATCGCTTTCCACTGGACAATGTTAACCAGGAAATGGGGTCATTGCACTGAAATAACAAAGGGGCCAGTTGCTTGATCTTCATGGTTTGCTAACACTTTACTGTGTTTCTTGTCTTCATGTAATAAACTCACCAGGGAAAGGTCTCTCTCTTCAGGAGTATTCTACTTTCTCCAGCTTCATTAGAAAAGTTTAGTTGGAGGAAAGAGGTAGTCAGCCCTGATACTTTCTTTAATTTAATGTTACCAGAGAGCCCTATGCTTTGAGAGCTATCAGGAATCCATTGATAAAACTAGCAACATATTTGATTCCCATTTGCCTCCTTGGTTGTTTCCCAATGTGTTCAGATAAAGAAGAAAGATGTCATTAGCTCCTCCAAATTTCTAACAGAAGCCAACACAATCAAGAACCAAATTCTACAGCTAATAACTATGAAGGGCAACAATATTTTCTGTTAAAGTTTGCTAGAAAGTGGATGTAACAATTCCAGATGTAGAAGGCTGTTCAGGGACTTAAACTGCAGTCCCTTTCTAATCTACTATAATTAGATGTTAATGTATTCACACCTTATCAATTGGTTGGAGACAATTATACTTGGAAGCATCACATGCCTCTCTCTCAAATAATTATTCTAATTTGTTTTGCTCACTTTGGGTAGTAATATAGCATAAGGTGAAGAGCCAGTGCTCCAGCAGGTCAGTGAATATTGCTTTACTACTCAGTACACATTTGTAGATCATAAACACGGTTCGTTAGTTTCTCAAAGACGAGAAAGTTTTCTTGCAGCAGACACTGCTGAAAGCAATAAAAATGATATAATCATTCTTGAAGAACATGTAACATTTACAGTCGTAATAAATTTTCCATGCACATGTGCACTTCTAACAAATGTTGTAGAGACTCAAAGTTGAGAGACACTTTTGAACCACTTAAAGCCACATGTCAAATCTTTCTTTAACTGTGATAAATCCTGTTCTTTCACCTGAAAAGGTGACATTTCATGGCAAATAAGTCTGAGAAATCACCTGGAACAAGAAAAAATTTTCCTGTTTTGTAAGCTATTTCCTATAATAACCAGAAAATTAGGGACAAAAAAAGCTAGCTCACAGCACAGTTGCTCTGAGCTTTGTTAATCACAATCAGGAAACTATACCTTTGTTTGAGAAGCCAATCAAGGACTCAGGTTCTCCTCTGCATGAATTCATCTCAATGTCCTGGCAAATTGGAGTGGCTGCCTGTATTGTTGTGAGCCCCAAGTTGCTGGCATTTCTGCATCATTAGAGAAGCAGAGGACAAACATGGATGCTGACCATTGGTATTTATGTACTTCCCTATCTTCTTCCTTGTAGCCTGGCCACAAGCAGTATGATCACCTCCACTCACATAGACACCTGTGACGTCACCAAAGCAACAGGAATGGGGCTTGGCCAAGCTTCTTTGCAGGCATGTCTCACCCCTTCCACAATTCTCCATCAGGGCCTGCTGCCCTGGGAAGTCAGCTTCTCTGCTGATTTTACCTTTCGTGGTTATTCTTGATATTTATTTTAATAAAATACCACAATGATAGAGATGCCAGAAGGAAAAGGTCCCAGTGGCATAATTTATCTCTGGCAGTTCAATGGAGACAATTAAATGAAACTTGTGAAATGTAAAAGGCAGCTTCTAAAACTGGGAAACGAGCCACTTTTCAAAACCTCATGTCATCAAGTGCATGTTTAGATTTAGGTCGCTCTGCAAATATCAGTCCCTTGCACGGAAGAGCACCGCCTTGCAGTGCTGGGTGAGGTCAGCTCGGGGACTGCATGACTGCTTAAAAAAAAAACAAACCTATTCTGTTCTCTTCATGTCTATTGGACTTTCAGGCACGACGGTAGAAATCCTAAATGGGCAGTTGAAATCCAGACCATTTAAAGCACAAAGACACAAACACACACACACACACATACATTAAAACAAAAAGTCTGGATTAAAAGGAGAGAATCTGCCATTTTTCATTAAGTGTACTAAGTATCTCCTCATACTTGTCATCTGTAAGAAGATGTAGTGAAACGAATACTGCACCTATAATCTGAGAATAGTTCTGGTACCACCACTTGCTATGCAACCTGGGTAAGTCCCCTAATGTCCCTGCCCTTTCTGTCTATAGATGGTGAGATAATACTTAATTTACTTCCCTCAAACAGTAGTTGTCAAGGTCAAATTAATAAATAGATCAAAAAGTATAATGCATTGAACACATAAAATGCTACCATTTAGTGTTGTCTTAAATTATGTTTTGAATATTTGTACTTTCTTTATTTACAACTTTTAAAATTTGCTTTTCCAAGTCCCAGAAGGAATAGGGAATACATTTAACAGTAACCGTCCTTAGCCCTGAAATTTAGAAGACTAGGTAATCATTGTACTTAATTAAATAAATTTGAAGGGAAAAAAGAGAACAGTTCAGCTATAGTTGTACTACTTTGACTGCTTTCTCGCCAACAAAGAAAGCCTTTAAATGACTATTCATTTGTTTAATCACTCAGTTAGTAAAAAAAAAATTAAGCCAGCCTTGTAGCTGAAATTATAAAATTGGATATCATTCAGTCTACAGTAGAAGATGGGCATACGAAAAAGTAGTCATATAACAGAAGAATGCACAAAATATAAGAACAGCAAGGGCAAAAACCAACTTCCACTGAGGGCAGGGAATGACAATCTTCAAGGGATGGAATCAGAATGTAAGAGGCATTTAACTGGATCTTGAAAGATAAGTAGGCTTTTTCTATGTGGACAAGAGCATGTTCATCACTATTGACACAATAAAAAATTCACTTTTAATATTAAACTAAAAGGTGAAATTATATGAGTAAATATGATAATTATCTCCCACAGTAGGGTAGGTCGTCCTGAAAGCAAATTAAACTGCTCCTATTCAAGCAGTCAAGCACCATAGGCAAGGCTTTCTAAATGGTCTGTTTGGATGAAAATCATCCCACTGGTATTAAGTAGAAACACAATGCAGTGGAAAAAGTGCCTAGGAGGCAGATTCCAAAGGAATTTAGAGGAAGAGAAAAGGAAGGAGAGGGAAGAGAGGGGTGGAGAGTAAAGGAGAGTAAAAGGGAGGTAGGGGGAGAGAAAGATTCTGGCTTTCTTATTTCATTTTTCTCGATTCCTTTAACCACTACATCCGCTCTATCCATGATGGGTGTACAAAATAAATTGATCTAATTAGTTGGTTTTAAGAATTTAAATATTCTCCTATCATGAGTGATTAACAAAATGTTTAAAATAATAATGTATTTATTAAATTGAGTTTGAAGCCCATGGAAAATTGAATGTAGCCAAGTCTTTGTGGATAAAAGTTGATGACCTAAATATCCCCCTGATGCTATTACTTGTTCCTTGGGTGACACTGATAAGTTCTGAACAATGAAAAGATCTCTCTTCCTGTGCTACCTTCTTAAAGAACTCAAAGATGAGATGCCAGGAAAGTGGGATTCTATCCTCTGTTTCACCTTGCTGATTTTCTACAGAGCTGACCTAAAAGTGAAGTGTCACATCTGCTCAAAGCTAGCAAATCTTCCCCAGGAAGCTTAGGGATTTCCTTCAGAAAAATAGTTTCATTCTAACTGTAATAGACTAACATGTAAAAAAGGGTTCTTGGGAAAACATTTCCCAAAGTTGATTCAAAACAGAAACTTCAAAGCAGAGTGGGGTTGGTTCCAGACTCTCTGAGTTAGGTAGGGGCACAGCCTCAAAAGGGGACCCAAGGTTAGCCTGCAAAGGTGCTCTCTTTCTGTCTCTGTTTTCTTCCTCTCTCCAACTGTCACTTCTAATGGCCTCAGTCCAATTCACTTTAGGCCTTTGAAGACATTTAGAACAGCTCAGATTTGGGGAAAAGTAATTCTTTACTCTTTTCTGTTCTTGGAATTCCAATAATAATGATTCTCAATCAGGCTTATGAATTTACAAGAAATGAAGCCATTGGGAACTGCAGAAAGCTATTGAACCAGTGTCTCTGGGCTTTGAACAAGCGTATATATTTTGGATTTTGCATTTGTGATTCTGATGTGTCCTCATGGTCAGTAATCACTTGTCATTTATTATTAATGCTAATAAGGGCCAAACTAACATTAATCTCTACTTCTATACCTAGAATCTCTTTGAACGGAAAGGGACATAGAGATGATTTAAAAGATCCTTAAGATGACCTCCAATCTTAACAACGATATAAGTCTGGGGCTATTGAAGGTAGAGCCACACTTACCTTAGCCAAACATTTAAAAATGTTTTAGGTTAAACATTTAAATGTGCCAGGAAAGAATATTTATGATGCCTAATATGCATAGAATGCCACAGAATTTAGACTCTACTTATTTAAGGATGACTGCTGGTGATCATAATTAAAAAGAAAAATAAATTAGCCACAGAAGGTATCTCTTGGATCCACAGTTTATGGTTGAAAGGTAAGTATATTAGAAGCAAAATTCCCACCATTATGCAATATCCCCATGCAGCAAACAGGCACATGTACCTCTTGGATCTAAAATAAATATATGTGTAAATAATCACATTTTTAAATGTGTATTGTACTTTCAAACTTGTAACTTTTTTTTACATTTTTGTGTTTTTATGCACATTAGAGATTGTCTTGTATGAAAGAGCCTTCCTTTTTTTTTTTTTTTTTTTTGAGATGGAGTCTTGTTCTGTGGCCCAGATTGATGTATGGTGGCCTGATCTCAGCTCACTGCATCCTCCACCTCCCAGGTTCCAGCGATTCTCCTGCCTCAACCTCCTGGGTGGCTAGGATTACAGGCACATGCCACCATGCCCAGCTAATTTTTGTATTTGTAGTAGAGATGGGGTTTCACCATGTTGGCCAGGCTGGTCTTGCACTCCTGACCTCAGGTGATCCTCCCGCCTTGGCCTCCCAAAGTGCTAGGATTACAGGCATGAGCCACTGCGCCCGGCCTTCCTTTCAAAGACTTAAATTAACTTAAATTTAATATTATATTTTACAGATGAGAAATACAGTGACTATTGTGCTTTCCGAACTTCCTTTCTTTCTCAAAGGAAGCTAGTTGCCACTAAAATCTCATCTCTTCATTTCTTCAGCATCATGGCTGCCAAGCCAGAGCAAATTTCCCAGACTCCCTTAGTTTGGGATTTGGCTATGTGACTATGAATAGGAGTGATATGCACATTTCTAAGCCCAGGTTTTCAGTCATTGGTTGAACACATTCTCGTCCTGTGAAAGTGACCCAGCTTCCACTATATGTAGACAACAACACTATCTGATATGGTTTGGCTGTGTCCCGACCCAAATCTCATCTTGAATTGTAGATTCCATAATTTCCACATGTTGAGGGAAGGAGCCGGTGGGAGATAATTGAATCGTGGGGGTGGTTTTCCCCATACTGTTCTCATGGTAGCAGATAAGTTTCACGAGACCTGATGGTTTTATAAGGGGTTTCCCCTTCTGCTTGGCTCTCATTCTGTCTTGTCTGCTGCCATGTAAGATGTGACTTTTGCCTTCCACCATGATTGTGAGGCTCCCAGCCATGTGGAACCATTAAACGTCTTTTTCTTTATAAATTACCCAGTCTCGGGTATGTCTTTATCAGCAGCATGAAAATGAACTAATACACTACCATAAAGAACATGGCAAAGTGGTGACTTGAGACATGGATCCCTGAAAGACTGTAATCAACAGTTCTCCATTGATCTGGGCAAATCTCACTGACACTTGTACATGAGAGAGAAATAAAATGGTATAATTTTTCTTTTAAACCCCTCAATTAGATCTATTTTTAGAAAATGTTTTATATCAGCGTTTGATATAAAGGGGATCCTCTAAAATCCCTCAAATATTTCGGCTCCTTCAACCAGGAACTGAGATTCTTAAAACATATCTAATGGTTTTTTGTAAACAGGATTTAAAAAAAGACTTGACACACACTTAAAAAAAAGCCCCAAAACCCAAACATATATATGTGTATGTGTGTGTATATATATATACACACACACACATTATATATATATATATGTATGTATATACATGCCTAAAAAGAATGTATGCAACAATTATTAAAATGAAACTTACTTAAGGTCACAGTCAATTGCTTCAGAACTAAACAGAAGCCTTTGTGCTTTTAATATTTTATTTTTTAATTTTCTGTAGAGATAGGGTCTCACTAAGTTGCCCAGGGTGATCTTGAACTCTTGGCTCAAATGACTCTGCCACCTCGGCCTCCCAAAGTGCTGGGACTATAGGCCTGAACCACCATGCCCATCTCAATTATTTTTGAGATATCCTCAACCCAAATCTCACTTTTTTAACCTGAGAGAAACAAAAACTTCAATTTTAGCTTTGGTCATACAATTTTATTCTCTACGTCTCTAAGACATTTTGTTTGGAATATTCTTCCTGTTGTTATTAATTAGTATCAACTAGCTAGTACTACCAGACAATTGCCCTACTTAGGTTTTCATAGCAGACACAACATCTTGGTTTGTCAAATGTATTACAATTTCAGAGAAAAGAAAACAAGCTACCCCAATTACATTTTGCCATTTGTCTGACACTTTCATTATCCTTGATGCAATTCCTATCACATGCTGTCTTGTTGTAAAAGCCATTTCTGTCAAATTAATTTAGGGAGGACTGGTGGAAAATGAAATTAAAAAAAAAAGCCAAAAAAAAAAAACAAAACCAAACCCTTCTTCATCTACTTCTACCACCTGGTGAATCAGCAGAGAAATATAATTTTATTATATTTCAAATTAAATCAGATTCTGGGCTTACTGTTTCTGACATAATCCAATGTAAAATCGAAGAGCTGCATCCATCCCTGACCATTTAGGAGCATGCTCGATTCATGGAAAATCAATTCCAGCTCACAGCCATGTGGCTCTTTATGATGACCCATTAGTATTTTTTTAATTTTTGTAAATCTAGTGACTTATTTATTTAGAAGCCATAAAAAAGAATACCTCTCCAGTTTAATGAAATCCTTATCTAGAAAGTGATCTGGGCTCTAGTCACATTCCTACCCTTATTAGGAAATCCATAGTTTCCCCTTAGTGCATATTAGGAAATCCATAGTTTCCCCTTAGTGCATAGCCAAAGAAAGAGAACAGAATATAAAAGCTTCTGAAGCACCTCTGTCTCCATTGCTTTTAATTTTGATTCTCTTCTTTCATTTGTAAATAAAGCTATAGAAATAGAACAATGAAATGGCAACTACCAGAGAGGATTAAAAAAGGAGCAGCCAGCCGGGCGTGGTGGCTCAGGCCTGTAATCCCAGCACTTTGGCGGACCGAGACTGGCGGATCACGAGGTCAAGAGATCAAGACCATCCTGGCTAACACGGTGAAACCCCATCTCTACTAAAAAATACAAAAAATGAGCCGGGCATGGTGGCGGGCGCCTGTAGTCCCAGCTACTTGGGAGGCTGAGGCAGGAGAATGGCGTGAACCTGGGAGGCGGAGCTTGCAGTGAGCCGAGATCGTGCCACGGCACCACTGCACTCCAGCCTGGGCGACAGAGCGAGACTCTGTCTCAAAAAAAAAAAAAAAAAAAAGAACAACCAAAACTATCTATGTGAACACATTTTACAGTCTAGGCTAGGGTACTAAGGTACGGGGTTAACTCTTGATTTTCAGTCCTCAGAGTTTGCCACTGCTGAAAGGTCCTACTGAAGCTGACAAGCCTGAGAAGCAGATAAATGTAATCAGGAAAGTAATAGATGAGAGACAGCACAGTGCATAAATGAGTTTTGGATGAGGGTATCAGAAATGGAGCTATTAACATTGAAGCAAAAAAGAGCAAAACGTGGAAGAAAAAAAGGTCATGAAGTCAAAGTGAGAAGAAATAAATACATTTTGGATAAATATTTATTTAAGGGCTTTATATTTTTTGGTCAATTTCAGTTGCATGAAAAACATGTTGGCTGGGCGCGGTGGCCCATGCCTGTAATCCCAGCACTTTGGGAGGCCGAGGTGGGTGGATCACTTGAGGTCAGGAGTTCAAGATCAGCCTGGCGAACATATAGTGAAACCCCGTCTCTACTAAAAATCCAAAAAAAAAAAATTAGCCAGGCGTGGTGGTGGACACCTGTAGTCCCAGCTACTCAGGAGGCTGAGGCAAGAGAGTCACTTGAACCCAGGAGGTAGAGGTTGCAGTGAGCCAAGATCGAGCCATTGCACTCCAGCCTAGGTGAAAGAGCGAGAGTCTGTCTCAAAAAAAAAAAAAAAAAAAAGAAAGAAAAGAAAAGGAAACATGTTAAACTTGATAAACACCTGAATATACAACTGGATCTTTCTGTATTTCCTTGGTTAAAAATGATTTTTGTCAGGGAAAAACCAGATGTAATTTACTAATCAGTTAAATAATTCTGATAACTCAGAAGTTTGGTTCATCTTTCTCGTACAGTATTGATACCTTTATTGAGATATATTTGTCATCATAAAATGCGTCTATTTAAAATGTTCACTGTGTTTAGCATATTCACAGTTGAGCAGCCATCACCACAATCTGAGTTTAGAACGTTTTCAACAAGGCAAAAAGCAGCTTCCTATGAATAGCAGCCCCTCCCTGTCTCCCACTGTTCATTTCTACCTGCTCTAAGCAACAGCTAATCTGCTTTCAGTTGCTATGAATTTTCCTATTCAGGACCTTTTGCATAAATTGAATCACACAGTATGTGGTCTTTAATGACTGGTTTTTATCACTTAGCTAATGTTTTCAAGGTTCATCCATGTTTTAGCATGTATCAGTACCTCACTAATTCTTTTTTTAAAATTTCTGAATAATATTTCACTGTTTGGATACACCATATTTTGCTAGCTACTCATCAGTTGATGGGCTTCTAAGCTATTTCTACCTTTTGACTATTGTAAATAAGTATGCTGTGAACATGTGTGTACAAGTCTTATGTGGACATATATTTTCATTTATCTTGGGTATATAACAAGAAGTAGAATTTCTGGGTCACATGGTAAATCTATGTTTAGCATCTTGAGAAACTCCAAACTACTTTCTAAAATTTTTACACCATTTTAAGTTCTCACCAGCAATGATTTGCCACATTCTTGCCAATACTTGGTAAGTCTTTTAAATTTTATCCATCCTAGTGGGTGCAAAACGCTATCTCATTATTGGTTTAATTTGTATTTCTCTGAAGACTAATGATATTGAGCATACTTTCATGTGTTTAATGAACACATGAAATATATATTGTGTATATTCTTTGGGGAACTAACTATTCAAATTCTTTATCTGTTTTTAAACTGGCTTGTCTTTTTATTGCTGAATTTTAAGGATTTTTAAAATATATTCTGGATATAATTGCCTTATTAGATATATAATTTACAAATAGTTTTTCCCATTCTGTGAGTTATTTTTTCTTTCTTGATGGTGGTATACTTTGACACAAGAAAGTTGTTTTTTTGTTTTGTTTTGTTTTGTTTTGATTTTTTGAGATGGAGTCTCCCTCTGTTACCCGGGCTGGAGTGCAGTGGTGTGATCCTGGCTCACTGCAACCTCTGCCTCCTGGGTTCGAGCAATTCTCTGCCTCAGCCTCCTGAGTAGCTGGGATTACAGGCACTCGCCATCACGCCGGGCTAATTTTTTTGTGTTTTTAGTAGAGACAGGGTTTCACCATCTTGGCCAGGCTGGTCTTAAACTCCTGACCTCGTGATTCACCCACCTCGGCCTCCCAAAGTGCTGGGATTACAGGCGTGAGCCACTGCGCCCAGCCCGACACAAAAAAGTTTTTGATTTTATGAAGTAAAATTTATCTAACTTTTCTTATATCACTTGTGCTTTTGTTGTCATACTAACTAAGCCATTCCCTAATCTAAGGTCAGAAAACTTATTCCTATATTTTCTTCTCAGAGTTTTATAGTTTTAGCTCTTGCATTTAGGCCTATGACTCATTTCTGGTTAATTTTTGTGTATGGAGTGAGATGGAGATTCAACTTTATTGAAGCCTTTTGGATATAGAGGTGTCTGAGAATATTTGTTGAAGAAGATATTCTTTTTTCATTGACATGTCTTGGTATTTTTGTTAAAGTCAATTAATCATAAATAATTTCTGGACTCTCAATTCCATTCCACTGATCTATATGTCTATTTTAATGCCTGTGCCACACTTTCTCAATAAGTGTAGTTTTACAGTAGGTTTTGAAATGAGGAAGTGTGACTCCTCCCTTTGATCTTCTTTTTCAGATTGTTTGGCTATTCTGGATATGTTGCATTTTCATATGAATTTTATGATCAGCTTGTTGACTTCTATAAGAAAAGGTAGGATTTTCATAGAACTTAGATTGCATTTCGTTTGTGGATCAATGTATAAGTTTGGGTTCTCCAGAGAAACAGAATCAATAGGAAATATAAAATTACTATAAGAAATTGGCTCATACAATTATGGAGACTAGAAGTTCAAGCTCTTTAGTCAGCAATCTTGAGACCTAGGAGTGGTGATGGTGTAACTTAAAACAACTGATTAAGGATTAATACTAACTTAATTGTAGTAGAATGCAAAGCGTTGCTCCAATACATCTCAGTTTTCTGCTTCCTCCTTTGCACAATTATTGTTATATAGAATATATATATATATTTATTTATTTATTTATTTGAGATGGAGTTTCACTCTGTCACCCAGGCTGGAGTGCAGTGGCGCGATCTTGGCTCACTGCAGCCTCTGTTTCCCAGGTTCAAGCAATTCTGTCTCAGCCTCCTGAGTAGCTGGGACTATAGGCACATGCCACCACACCCAGCTAATTTTTGTATTTGTAGTACAGATAGGGTTTCACCATATTGATCAGGCTGGTCTTGAACTCCTGACATCATCAGATGATCCACCCACCTCAGCGTCCCAAAGTGCTGGGATGAGCCAAGACATGAGCCACCATGCCTGGTCTTAGATTATACTTTTAAACATTATAAATATATAAACACAGGTTTTTAATTTTTTTTAACTTTTATTTTACATTTGAGGGTATATGTGAAGGTTTGTTAAGCAGGTAAACATGAATTATGGGGGTTTGTTGTATATATTATTTCATTACCCAGGTATTAAGCCCAGTACCCAATAGCTATATTTTCTACTCCTCTGCCTCTTCCCACCCTCTCCTCTCAAATAAACCCCAGTGTCTGTTGCTTTCTTCTTTGTGTTCATAAGTTATTATTTAGCTCCCACTTATAAGTGAGAACATGTAGTAGTTTGTTTTCTGTTCCTCCATTAGTTTGCTAAGGATGATAGCCTTCAGCTCCACCCATGTTCTTGCAAAAGACATGTTCTCATTCTTTTTTATGGTTGCATAATATTCCATAGTGTATATGTACCACATTTTCTTAATCCAATCTGTCACTGATGGGCATTTAGGTTGATTCTACATCCTTTGCTATTGTGAATAGATAAACACAGTTTTTAATTATTGCTTTATACAGTTGCCTTTTAAAACATGGGATAGGAAAAGTGTTATAAACATAATAAATATATTTATATTGTCTTTTATAATGCCCATGTAGTTAATTTTATTGGTCCTCTGTGTATTTTTGTGTGGATTCAAGTTACCATCTAGTGTCCTTTTCTTTCAGTCTGAAGGAAATCCCTTTACTATTTCTTGTAGTCTGCTAGTGATGAATTCTCAGTTTTTATCTTTCTGAAAATATTTTAATTTCTCCCTCAATTTTGAAGAGAGTTTAGCTAGATGTAGAAATCTTGGTTGACAGTGCTTTTCTTTTAGTACTTTGAAGATGTCATTCCACTGTCTTCTACTCTCCATGGTTTCTAGTAAGTTAGTCATTAATCTTATTGAGGATACTATGTCCGTGATAAGTCCTTTTTCTCTTGCTAATCTCAAGATTTTATCTTTTTCTTGATTTTTATTAATTTGATTGTGTTATGTCTAGCTATGGGTCTTTCTGAGTTTACTCTACTTAAAGCTTGTTGAGTGTCGTTTTTTTTCTTCAGATGGAGTCTTGCTCTGTCACCCAGGCTGGAGTATAATGGCATCATCTTGGCTCACTGCAATCTCCGCCTCCTGGGTTCAAGCGATTCTCCTGACTCAGCCTCCTGAGTAGCTGAGATTACAGGCACGTGCCACCACGCCCGGCTACTTTTTTGTATTTTTAGTAGAAACAGGGTTTCACCATGCTGGTCAGGCTGGTCTCAAACTCCTGACCTTGTGATCTGCCCGCCTCTGCCTCCCAAAGTGCTGGGATTACAGACGTGAGCCACCGCGCCCAGCCTATTGATCCTGTTTAAAGTGTTGATTCATATTTTTCATTAAATTTGAAAAGCATTTGGCATATTTCTGTAATATTTTTCTGCCCTTTTATATTTCAATTTTATTTTTCTGGGGTTTTCATGTATATGTTGGAACATGTGATGGTTTCTGACAAATGTCTGAGGATTTATTCATTTTTTCATCATTCTTTTTCTCTCCCATTCTTTTTTCATCTTTGCATACTGGATAATACCTATTGATCTGTCTTCAAGTTCACTGATTCTTTCTCCTCCCAGCTCAAATCTGTTGTTCAGTGCCTCTAATTAATACTTCATTGCAGTTATTATACTTCTGGATTCCAGAGGTTTTTAAAGAATAATTTTGTCTCTATATTGATGTTGTCTATTTGGACAGGCATCATTGTCCTACTTTCCTTCAGTTCTTTAAACATATTTTACTTATAATTGCTGATTTAAAATCTTTGTTTTCTAGGAAGACAATCTGAGCATCCTCATGGATATTTTCTGTTGGCTCTCTTTTTTCCTATGAATGCGCCATGTTTTTCTCTTTCTCATGTCTTTTTTTGTTGAAAACTGGACATTTTAGATGTATTGTTGCAATGCTGGTATCAGATTCTCCTGTTCCCATAGGTTTGTTGTAGCTGATTTGTTGTTTTTGCTATTGTTTTTCTTGTTTCTGTTTATTCATTTAGTGACTTCCCTGGACTAATTCTGTAGATTTTGTATTCTCAGCAGTGTATGGCTTTTGAGTTGAGTTCTCTAGTCATTTTTTTTTTCTTAAGTTCTTGTTTTTATTTTTAAGTTTGGCTTCCTAGGGGTCACACTGAAATCAATATGTGGTCAGCCAATAATAGATCAGATTTTTTAAAAAAATGCCCTGCCTTTTTATCTCTACCCTTTGCAAGAGGAATCTGTATGAGAAGGCAAGCCATCACACTACAGGCAATTTATGAAACAGCCTTCGCTCTCACTTCCTGCTTGTACATGGCCTCAAAGTCAGCCAGAGGTGAATGACTGGTGCCTTCTCCTTTCCCAGTTTTTTTTTTTCTGGATTTTCCCACTACTTTTTAAACACCCAGAAATATGTGGAAGCTTTTCAGAGTTTCCCATGGTTGTCTAGTTTTCCTGGATTTTCTTTTAAATTCCCAGCCAGCTTGTTGTTTGCCTCAACTGAAATCACAGCCTTTCATCTAAGCAGCTGAGATGCTGCTGGGAAGGAGCTGAGCTGAGTCAAATCACATCACCATTATGCTCAGAGAATAAAGATTTCCCAGGAAGCTGCAAACATGGACAAAATATTGACTGTGTTCTGGAAGTGGTACCTTTACAAAAGATCTAAAAGTGGTCAGCTCTCTCTTGCCTTCATCATTGCTGGCTTTTGTCTACCATGCCACTGAGCTGGAACAGGAAGAACATGTGAATATCTCCAAGTTAAAACTTCACAGAATTCCTTCCATGTAACCCAAATTTAATACTTTTGCTTGGATACATAGTTTTCAGGTTGCTATATGCTTTGGTCAACTGTCGAGTTTTGAGTTGATTGACTTCAATATTTTTGCCTGTACAGTTATGCATTGCTGAATGACAGGAATATATTCTGATAAATATGTAGTTAGGCAATTTTGTCATTGTGAGAATATAGAGTGCACTTATACTAACCTAGATGGTATAGCCTACTACACACCTAGGCTATATGGTATAGTCTATTGCTCCTAAGCTGCAATGCTGTACAGCATGTTACTGTACTGAATACTGTAGGCAATTGTAACACAATGGTAAGCGTTTGTGTATCTAAACACATCTAAATGTAAAAAGAAACAATAAAATCATGGTATTAGAATCTTATAAGACCACTCTCCTATGTGCAGTTTGTTGTTGACCAAAAAATGACTGTATTTTTGTTGTTTTAGAGGGAGAGCAAGTTTGCCATGGTTCTTACTGCCATTACAGAAATTGATCCTTTCTCATACAATTTGCTTTGGCATTTCATTTAATTAATCATTGCTATGTTTTAAATTTTCAGCAGATATACAAGGTATAGCACATTTATAACTTGTTGCTGAACTAGAATCTCAGGGCATAAAACTGCATACAAGGCTACAAGTCTATGCCTTCTCCAGGGATAAGAGTCTAAAACCTATAACCTCTAGATCTGATATATTCACCCTTATGAAGAATCTCTCAGTGATAAAAATATAGGCAGAGGGATAGTAAAAGATGAGTTTCATGAACACTTTGGTGATTGATTGGATCACCAGTCTTCAACTTCCACCCAGATGGTTCCATTTAACTAGTGGTGTGTAACAAACTATCCCCAAAGATAGTGACATAAAATAACAACCATTTTATTAATGTCACAATTTTGTGGGTCAGAAATTCAGCCAGGGCTCAAATGAGCTATACTTCTGCACCACATGGGATAACTAACTCAGTGCTGTTTTGCTGGTGGCCAGTCTGCTACCCATCTGATCCGGGCCACAGTGGCATTATTCACATGCTTGCTGCCTGTGTCAGGTGAGTGGAATGATAGGCTGCCCTGGATCACTCTGTCTTCCTCTCCCTGAAGTCTCAGGATCTCTCCTTATGATCTCTTCTGCAGCATAGTCAGACCTCTTATTTCATGGCTCAGGGCTTCCCTAGAGGGCAAGGCAGAAAGTGATCATCAATTTAAATCAGCCTCAGAATTGGAATAGCATAATTTCCATTGACTCTATTGGTTAAAGCAGTCACAGGAAAGCCCAGGGTAAAGGGAAGATGAAATAGACACTACTTCTAGAAAGGAAGAATGTCGAAGAATGTGGTGACATCTTTGATCTGCCACACAGCCTATCTTTGGTTTGAAAAATGAGATGTAAAGAACTTAGCAATTCTCTGGGCTTGGGACTGAGAACGTCCCTGTGAATCATTAAGGGACTTTGTGGCATCCTTAATAAGCCTGAGAATTTGGTTTCTCCAGTCAAATATTTTTCTGATGCATTGGGCGTGACAATGGCACCAACCTTCTGAGAATTACTAAAGCCTCAGTAACAGTGAGACAAGACCTGCACTTTTCAAAGGTATAAAGAGAAGTAGCCACCTAGCATTGGAAGACATTTCCGAATATGATGTTTTTCAAACTCCCTTTTGAGAATCAGGTACAGTCATTGCTGACACATAGTGTTCTCGTGAATGCTAGTTCTCCTTTCCTGCTGGACCACCTAGCAGCAAACTCTCCCTTGCTCAGCTTCTAGGATAACAAAGCCTTTAGGAGGAATGCAGCTTTACTTGCTTAGTCCTACTTTGCTGGATTTTCTTAATGTTTCATATTTTTGTTCACGAATCTGCCTGGTCATGCTGTGCCCTTTGTCTTGATTGGTAAAAGCTTTGTTCATAATAGAACTCTCAGCTTTTTCCTTTCCTGATCATGGGGAGTCTTATGAGGAATATATTCATATAGTCCTAATCCTCAAAATCTAAAAAGGCTCTAATACTTCTCTTCAACTGAGCAACTCCAGCAGGGCACAGACTGAAACAAAAATAGAAGCTTATTTATTGATTGTCTTGTCAGCAGAGCAGATATTCACCTGACAGCTTTAACTTTTTGATTCCTAACAAAAAGGCTGTTTACAACCCCCTTCTTGGACAGTACAGTTAATTTCCCAAAGGGTAGCTTTGTGTGTGGCGGGAGGGAAGTAGATCTCTGAAACAGGGGAAGTAAATTAATACCTTACCCACCACTGAACCTTTCATCTTTCCACAGTGACTAATCCTCTCAAGGGTGTAATACTGGTAGAATTTGTGCTAGAACAGAAACAAAAATATCACAAGTGTAATATTGAATAGTAGAGTCTCCTTGATATTGAAACTCTGCTCTGTTGCAGGCACTGTAGTCTTTACTGGAGACATAATGGAAAACAAATTCAATATGGCTTCTAAATCATGTAGTTGACATTGTAATAAGAAGGAAAAAAACCCCATATAATTAAAATAATGTGTATAGTATTATAAAATGTTATGTTTCAAAGTAAAGAAAATTGAATTTGTAAGAGTGAATGAAGAGAATTCAATCTAGATTGGGTACAAAAAGTCTTCTTGAGAGAGTGACCACAGGGGTGTAGAAAATGATACCCCAAAGTGGGGTACTTTGGCAGGCTGCACACTTTGAGCCGAAGGAAATTAAAAGACCTTAGAAGCAGGCTCAGAACCAAGGACTTTCTGACCTTCTCCTCTTTCTCTCCCCAAGTGCACAATGGAGCTCTCCCTGAAGTTTCTCATCTGAAGCTCCTACAGAAGGAACATGATTGCATTGGATCCACTCCCTGAGATTCCATGACCCAGGGGCTATTCAATTCACATTACAGAAAGAAAGACTGAAGAATGTATCACACTTAGACAGACTTTGTCACAAGCTATTTTCTGCTCTTTTGTTCATTCATCTTCTAGAGAGAATCATTTACAAACTCCTGTCTGTTCTTTGGGCCCATTCGGTGCCCCTGAAAATCATTTACTACCTCTCAAAATTGCCTACCTCCCCCCACTGCCCTCTGCTTCTAAAGAACATATGTAAACCTCAACCATCTGGCCCTTCTTTGAGTCTCATATTTTACATGGCTCCCATGCACATTTGCACATACATTTGTTAGCCTTTTCTTCTGTTACTCTATTGTCAGTTTATTTCAGCAGATTCAAACCTTTAGAGGGGGAGGGAAAAATTCCTGTCACCCTTACATGATATTTGATATGAAATCTGAAGAAAGAGTAGGAGGTGATCAAATTAAAAAAAAGAGCATTCTGGACAGAGGAAGTGATCTGGAAGAAAAATGTCACAATTGAGATACTGAAAGGAGACCCATATTGCTCAGGTACAGAGAGCCAAGGTAAGATAGAGTTGGAAAGGGTATACAC
Source organism: Homo sapiens (assembly GCF_000001405.40). NCBI lineage: Eukaryota > Metazoa > Chordata > Mammalia > Primates > Hominidae > Homo > Homo sapiens. The sequence goes on from NC_000008.11 coordinate 40,230,114, forward strand.
CAAGTCATGAACAGCTTGTAGGCCATGGTAAGTATTTTCATCTTTATTATACATGAACTTCCACTTAAGCAACTTATACTTAAGAATGGTATAATTATAACTACATAACTATGGTATCCTATAACTATATAACTATATAATAATGGTATAATTATAACTACCTAACTATGGTATCTTATAACTACAATTTAGGGGAAAAAATCATCTAGCTGAAATGTGAAAGATAGAGATAATTTGTGCCAAATTGGCCTTGAGAAATCAAATTGTAGATTTTTTTCCCCAAAGGTATGGATGAGTAAAAAAAATCAGTAGAAGCTGCTAATCAGTTGAATATATGGGATATGATAAAAAGGGATGTTAAAAATGGCAGCCAAAAAATTAAGAGTGACTAAATTCATTCAAAATTAACTGGATTGGATATTGCTGGGGTATGGGGAAAAGGGATGAGAGTGTTAAGTGACTGCAAGATTTCTATCTTTGGCAGAGGAAAAGTAGGATTGGGTTTTTCTTGAGTGGGGTTGATGTCAGGTGGGTGTGACAAAAATCACAGGAAGGCAAGAGAATTTATGATATTGGCAAAAGTGTTTTTACAATGTTGAAATATGAAATCTAAACTAGATAAGGATAGAAGTGAAGAAGACAGAGGAGTAAGGGTTTAGAACAATTTTAAAATAGCAATAAACTAGATTTCCTGATGGTGTTGACACAAGGGAATAGCTTACTAAACAAGCTAGATGGAGGGAAGGTTTTGGTCAAAGAGCACAAACCTTGAATTCATGATTTATGAAGCTTGTGCTTGCCTATTTTCTTGTTTGACCAAAGTGAGTTATATGGAACACTGAAGAAAGACCAGGAGTGTGGAGATTTGGTGTTTGGGGTTTATGGGAGCTGGTTTCTTTCATAGACAGTGATCCTCATAAAGGAAGTAAGAGAGGAGAGCTGACCCCATGACCCTGACTCATAAATACTATCAACCTGAAATAATCAGAAAGATAAGAATCCAGCTCTAGAAAGTTTATTCGAGCACAAAGTTTAAGGATGACCACCTGGGAAATACAGACTCCAACAGGATGAGTTCAGAGCTGTGAAGAAGAAAAGTTCAGATTTTACTTACATAGGTATAAACAAAGGAGTGTGGCAGAATTACAACATTTTCCATACAAGGCTGGTCTACATGTTAACAGTCATTTAATTGGTTACAGCTTGTTCCTTTCTGAAAAATGTATATGTAACATTTCTTGAGCAATATGATAGTTTATTGTGCTATCTGTTCTGAGTTGGTGTGAGAGAAGAAATAAGAAAGTTAATCTATAATAAGAGTCAACAATTAAGAGGGAAAGGTTCTTATTTCTGGTGCCACTTAGTCTTTTATGACATTTTACAAAACAATCTAGGTAAGGAAAAAGTTAATTTATCATCAGAGAAACAAAGATTGTAGCTGCCTGTTACATGACTCAGGTCCCACAATCACATTTTCTTTAAGACTCAAATAATTTCAGGTTCCAACAGCTTTAATTTGAATTACTTATTTCACAGTATAAACATCAAAATCATAGGGACCTTTTTACAAACTACACATACCCCATATGCCCCAACTGCACCCCCTGACCAAGCTCCAAGTATGCATAGGTTGCTTCCAGATACCCTTTCCCCAAATTCTCCATTGAAAATCATTGTTTTCATTGAATTACTCTTACTGAAAGTGGTAAGTTTTATCCCTTGATAATGTTGAGGAGGACAGAAAAGGTTGAGAACCTCTGTACTACATCAAACTGCCAAAGAGAAAAGAGAATGAAAAGTGTATATATTTGGACACATTCACCAGCTTTTCTACCTTTGTATCTCCCACACATGGCACAGTGCCTTGCACAGTGGAAGACTAGAATATGCCACCCCAAAATATCTTCTTTGGCATAAGGATTATTTTAAGCTGATTATTTTGGGAAAGAGCAAAGACAGGAGAAATTCTGAAAACAGAGTAGAAGTTCCCTTTTGCAAGAATAATTTCCATCTGTAAAGGAAATCTTCATTTGTAAGTGTGTCTCCCTCTCTGTACAAGGAAGAGAAGCGTGACTCTAAATCATAAAAGAATCTTATCAATGGAAAAGGAACTTAAATCTACATAATATACTTTACCCTTATCTACTGAGCTTTTCTTGGTTACTTCCCATAATTGGTCTCTCACACACTTTTGTTTTTGTTTCAACTGAAGATGGTATTTAAGCCTGAATTCTAAGCCAATTTTTGAGATTTACTCATTTTTCTGGGTATCTTCCATGTGTATATGGGGTATCATGTAATACATGTCTGCATGCTTTTCTTTTATTAATCTGTCTTTTGTTACTGGGAGTTCCTGCTAAGAATTCAGGAAGAGGAGAGGGAAAATTATTTTTTCCTCCTCTACACATATAATAAATGCTCAATAAACATTCTTAAAATTAAATTCCAGATTATATTGATAACAGAGCTGGCAATAAAGATCTTTCCTCCTTTCCACCACTACCCTTTGTTTTTCCAATGTTAGCATTCAAAAAAATTGAACTAAAAAAACATAATTCTGAGTCCTTCTGAGATCACCTTTGCAAAGAAAATGATAGCAAGAGAAGTCTGACATGGCTGACTCCATCTTGCTTCTAGCCTCACAGGCTGGCTGTCATTGCTCATTCCTGGGCATAGGCCAACCTAGACATGGGAGGAATTTAGTTCATAGTTTAACTTGCAAGCAAAAATGATAATAATCCTTCCCTAAAATTAAACCCTGTCTTGGTCAGGGACTGAAAACTAACAAAAGGCCACAAGGTAAGGATTGTGAGAGGGGTCTGAACTCTGCTAAAATGTAGGTGTAGTTTCTGTAATCCCTTACTGCATGGGAGTCCTGTGGCCAGAGGTCACAAGAATTGTGACTTCCTCAATTGCTCCTATAGATAACATCACTATTGTAGAACTTAAGATTGGTCTCTTGAGATGTTTCTTAGACTTTTGCATCCTGGCAACTGTTCCCACCTTGACTCATGATTCATGATTCAACTGGTTCTGTGGCCCCACCTCAAGGTGGACTCAGTGTACATAGACCATTTTCCACACCCCTATGATTGCATTCCTAACCAATCAGCATCATCCATTCTTTAGTCCTCTGCCTACCAAACTATTCTTGAAAAACCCTAACCTCCAAGCCTTTGGGGAGGCTGATTTGAGTGATAACTCCCGTCTTCCCACTCAACAGCCTCACATTAATAAAACACTTTATTGCAACAGCACAGTCTCAGTGAATTGATTTTGTATTTGCAGTGGGTAGGAAGAATCTGTCCTGAATTTGTCTGAATTACACATTCAATAATGCTTCAGTTCTTTTCCATGCCTGGCTAATTCACTCTTCTACAAGAACTCTGGGTCATCCTTCAATTCTCTGGAAAATCCAATTTTGATCAGTTTCCTCTCAAACCATGCCTTCAAGAACTCAGCCTCAGCTTCGAGATTACACATTTCCTTTCTTGCTTCTAGAAAAAGTCTGATGCCCTCAAGCACCTGCTCTTTCTCAGTTGCAGTGAAACTCTGATGAACCTAAATTACATAAGGTTGGAATTGCCTGATAGAATTTATTAAAATCTTTTGGAGATATTTTTATATAAAATGGAAAGTGAAGACACAGAGACAGAATGGGAGAAACAGAGAGAGTGGAAGAAAGAAGAAGGGAAGGAAGGGAGGAAAGGAGGGAGAAAGAAAGGAAAGAAGAAGATGAAATAATGGTATAAGCCTGAAGTCATGTAGAGCCAGTAGAGATGGACATTTTTGAAGATTTAAAAGTATAACCTGAAGATTAGGTCCCCAAATTAGATAAACATGAGCAATAAATAAAGGTGAAATAACATGATCCAACCAAGGTGAAATAACATACCCAAGATCATGCAGAGAAAAACTATATTTTGATTTCCCCAGCTTTCCCTGCCTTATTCCAGGTTACATTGGAAGCTTTGTCAGTGGACTAGCCATGCTTTATTATTCCTGCCACAACTCCATCATAGTACTCAGGATATAGTAGTTAATAAATGAGCTTATCTGGAAAAAAAACAACGAGGCATATCAATCTTGGAATGGGTCCTGATGTGGGGGAATTTCTGATATAGGAAATTGAGCTGGATATTTAGTAATTGTAAGCAATGGTTTATTTATCTCAAAATTTTCAGGAAAGTTTCAGCCTCAAACAAGAGGTTTTAATTTGTATAAATAAAATTTAAAGAGCTTAGGTGAACCCTGTGAAGAAGGTACCATTATGTTCTTCATTCTACAGTTAGGGAAAGTGGGACACAGAATAAGTAAGTAACTTGCCCAGGGCTCATATCTAGTAAATAGTGAAACAAGGATTTGAATCTCATCATCTGGGCTTCTGCAGAGATTATGTTCTTAACCAGTACACTGTAATACCTCACACTCAAACATGTTCTGTAGACTTCAGTCCACTTGAAGCTAAGTATATCTCTTTAAATACCTTGTTTGATATTGAAATGAAACAGGATGCTGAATTGGAATTAGGATTTCATCACCATCAACATTTAAATGTGGTGAGATATTGTTGAAGCTTTACATACATTATCTCATTTAATCCTTGAAATTGCCCTTTGATTTTTTCTTATATTTTTATAATATCCTTACTCTGCAAACACAGCTAGTAGCTGGTAGATGCAAACTCAGGCAATCTGATACCGAAGTATGTATTCTTAACTAATGAAATACACCATTTCTCTGGAAAAACTGCCAGATAATTGTAATGGGTCTTGCTAAACATAGAAATGTACCAAACAGTGTGTCATAGGGATGGTTCTGATTTCTATGTCATAATGTTGTTGCTTGGGTCACCTGAATAAAGATTGCTTTTCAGGGAGAAGCAATGCTTAGCTGCAGAAAGAATTAGGCTTATAATAAATTTATATGCTTCACCAGTTAAAATGTTATCAAAATAGGATTCTTGTGTCCTTGGGATATGGAGAGGAGAAAGGTACTAACTATGATGCTGTGACCATATGTCAATATTCAACAGCATTCAGTAAATTAATGATCCTTAAAAAGAAAAATGATACTAAACAGAGGAGGGTGGTGAACAGGAGAGATAACTCATGACCCTACAATCACAGCTCTGTGCCTGTGTATGTACCAAAAAATATGAAGAAAGATGCACTGTGATTGATGCTTATGAGAGAAATACAATCTTGAAAATTCTCAGACACTGCATCTTCTGCATCTACCTTCTTCTTTCCATGCTCAGTAGAAGTTCTTTGATGTTCTGTGTCCTGGACTACAATGAATCACACAGAGAAGGAAAACAATCTATCATATTCTGTTGGCAGCCAGTAAAGGATGATCTGTTGAGAGGTTGAATTTCCCAAGATCCTGTATAAAATCAATCTCGTAGAAATGTTTCATTGATCATATTTAGTACCAGTTGGAAATTACAAACTATCTCATTGGTAGAAGCTTTGCCTGTGATCATACAAACTGAAGATCTTTAATTTGCTTTTTCCAAGAGACTCAGGAGTCTCATAAAGGCAGCATCAGAAATTCTGCAGAAGCTCTAGGGTTTGATCTCAACTTGTGGCAATAGATGTAATTACTGAGTAGAGGAAGAAGATATAGATTTTAAAAAGAAAAATGATAATGGGGGCTTGGAAGAATTTTATGAAATGATTATGAGAGTTCTATCAACTCTGTCTGCCAAAATTCTAATATTCAGGCAGAACTAAAGAGTTTCTAGAAATCCTGTAGGTTTTCTTAGCTTTCCTTTGGATGATTTGACACCTGCATAAACTCTGTTGTGTTAAAATATCAATCAAAGCTGTGATTTCTGCAGCACCGCAGTGAGAGAGGCAGAGTTCTAGCTGCTACATGCTAAATCATCTGATTCTGTATTTGTTCTTTTACTGTAAGAAATTGTAGCAGAGACTGAGTAGCTGTTCACCCAACCCACTTATTCCGCTTCCTGCACAAATAGCAAGCCTTCATTCCTCAACCTGTCTTGCAGTTTTCCATGAACAGGTGATTGAGTTCTAGCCAAAGACTGACTTTATTTTAGGTAGCGTGGTTTTCTTTCATATTGTTATTGTTGAACTCCAATTCCATTTTTATTTTTTTAATTAAAAAAGAGCTATTACTTTTATAAAAACATACATGTATTTTTATTTTATTTATTATAAATAGTTTATCTGTGAAAAAAGTTAAAAAGAATAAAAAAAACTCAGAAATAACTATTGCCAACATTTGGGGAATATAGTCTCAACATTTCTCTGTAAAGAGAGAGATAAAAAGAAAGAAAGAAAGAGAAAGAAAGGAAGAAAGGGAAAGAAAGAAAAAAAGAAAGAAAGAAAAGAAAGAGACTTTCTTTTACCCTTGCTATCTCTGATCTCTCTAGCATTCAGTATAATCTCCAGTCTTCTCTGTTACCTAGGAGGCTAGATCACTGTTCTAAGGATTTGGGGCCAGTTGATTTACCAATGCTTTCAACTCTCTTACCTAATTAATTAATTAATTATAGAGATGGGGTCTTGCTATATTGCCCAGGCAGGTCTTGAACTCCTGGCCTTAAGTAATCCTCTTGACTTGGCCTCTGCAGTAGCTGGGACTATAGGTGCACACCATCATACCTACCTCTTTTACCTTTTTTAATTGTTGCTATTTGTCTTCCAATATGTGCTATATACTCCCTTCTTTTTTCAATTTCCTCTTACAGCGGAGGAGAATTTAGGGTTCTTATACTATTTCTTTCCCATATTCTTACTTCTCTTCTCTCCTAACATTTATATCACAATTTCCATCTAAACCCCAATTCAGTTTTTACCATATAGCAATGAAAATATTATGTTATTTACTACTAACCCAACTAATGAATTATGATTATGCTTTATTTTTTGTATTTTTATTATTTTTCTTGGAGTAAATAACTCTCTCATATGTTTCATATATATGTATTTCATACATATGTGTACATATATATGGAGATGTGTTGGAGAAAATTTTGTAATACATATACATATTTTGTATACATTTATATATGAAATTATGTAATATGTATACATATAACAAAATTTTCTCCAACACATCTGTAAATTTCTCACAATAGCATTTCTTTTTTTTTTTTCTTTTTTTTTTTTTTCTTTTTTTTTTTTTTTGAGACAAGGTTTCACTCCCATCAGCCAGGCTGGAGTGCAGTGGGTGCAATCTTGGCTTACTGCAACCTCTGCCTCCTGGGCTCAAGTGATTCTCCTGCTTTGGCCTCCCAAGTAGCTGGGACCACAGGTGCCTGCCAGCGCACCCGGCTTATTTTTGTATTTTTTTGTAGAGACGGAGTTTCACTAGGTTGCCCAGGCTGGTCTCAAACTCCTGAGCTCAAGTGATCTGCCCACCTTTGGCTCCCAAAGTGCTGGGATTATAGGCGTGAGCCACCCTGCCTTGTCCCCTCACAATACTATTTCTGTGTAATTGAATACATCAGGTGGTCTGGTGTATATATACACCAGAAGAACCTATGAATCAAGCAAAGATGTTCATTAAACTTCTTGCTGTAAGGGAGAACACTACCTTGACAGAGCTGTAATAATATCTCAGAAAACATAGTGGAGAATTTTTATAAGGCTTTGGAATTTGAGCTCAAATAATGTATAGTTGGGAATTTGCTGGGGTTGGGCAATGTTAGTGAAAAAATAGGTTAGAACAAGGAGACATGCTCTTGAAGTGAGTCTTTGTAAGTATATTGTTGTTTGATAAGTGAGTGGCTTGCATTTTTTTTTATTGAAGAGCTGTTTGCCAAAATGAAAAATTATTTGCACAGACAAATTGGTTTTCGGAAATTTCCTAAAGTTAACAGTGACATTATTTATTAGTTTCCTATCTTATTTTCCTGCATAAAAAGAAGAATGTTATTTTGACAGAGAGTATCTCAGTTCTTAGTTCTGCTAATTAAGCTATGTGGAAACAGATTGGCTCAATTTTTCCTCTCTTTCTCTCCCTCCACCTTCCTTTCTTTCTCTCCCTCCTCCCTCTTCTCTCTTCCTTCCTTTCTTCTTTCATTTTCCTCTTTTTTTCTCCCCTACTCCCTGACTCCTAATGACAGTTCCATCCTAGATCCCTCCTTTCTCCGCTCCCCATCTGGATTGATTGCTTTCTATGCTTGCAGCATAGTGGACATTCTGGGAATTTTCTTACTACGCTTTCTGCTGTTGGATTCTTGGTTTCCTGGGGTTTACATTTGAATCACTATGGTGAAGCACATCTTGTAGCAACTTCCTGAGGGGAAAAAATACATAGAAGCTTCATTTCTTTTTCTCTCTTTCTTCTCCCTTCTCTCCCTTTCTTCCTCCCACTCTCCCTCCATCCCATCCTTCATTCCTTCCTCCCTCATTCCTTCTCTCCCTCCCTTCCTTCCTGATCTTAAATGCCAGAAAATGAGGTCCTGGTCTTTCCTTTGATGGGATCATCTTTATTACTGTATATATCTTGTTACTTGTTATTGGTCTATTTAGGTTTTGGGTTTCTTCATGGTTCAATCTTAGTAGGTTGTATATGTCTAAGAATTTACCCTTTTTTCTGAGTTTCTAAATTTATTGGCATACAGTTTGTCATAACAGTCTCTAGCAATCTTTTGAATTTCTGTGGTATCAGTTGTAATATCTTCTTTTCATCTCTGATTGTATTTACTTGGATCTTCTCTCTCTTATTAGTCTGGTTAAAAGCTTATTGATTTTGTTCATCTTTTTTTTTAAAACAACATCTTTGTGTTGCATTGATTTTTTTTTAGTCTTAATCTCATTTATTTCTTCTCTGATCTTTATTATTTCTTTTCTTCTACTAATATTGGGTTTGGTTTGCTTTTCCTTTTCTAATTCTTTAAGATTCATCATTAGGTTGTTTATTTCCAGTTTTTCTACTTTCTTGATGTAGGTATTTATTACTGTAAACCTCCTCTTAGTACTGCTTTTGTTGTATCCCATAGATTTTGGTATGTTGTGTTCCCAATTTTGTTTTCGGATATTGTAAAATTTTCTTTTTAATTTGTTCACTGACTCAGTGGTCATTCAGGAGCATTTTACTTAATTTCCATGTTTGTATAGTTTCCAAGATTCCTTTTATTATTGATTTCTAGTTTATTTTCTATTATGGCTAGAAAAGATACTTGATATGATTTCAATTTTTTAAATATTTTGAGATTTGTTTCGTGGCCTAATATATGGTTTATCTTTGAGAATGTTCCATGTGCTGGAAGAAATGTTCTGTAAATGCCTTTTAGGTCCTTTTGGTCTATAGTATACAGACTAAGTCTGACGTTTCTTTGTTGATTTTCTGTTCAGATGATCTGTCCAATGCTAAAAGTGGGATGTTGAAGTCCCTGGCTATTATTGTATGGGGGAGTCTCTCTCTCTCAAATAGGATGAGCTCTAATAATATTTTTATATGTCTGGGTGCTCAAGCATTGGGTATAAATATATTTACAATATATTCATGAATTGTAACCTTTATTATTATGTTATATAATGACATTCTTTGTCTCTTGACAGTTTTTGACTTAAAATCTATTTTATCTAAATATAAGAATAATACTTTTGATCTTTATGGATTTTCATTTCCATGGAATTTTTTTTTCATTTTGAGTCTATGTATGTCTTTATAGGTGAAGTGACTGTTTTTGTAGGCAGCATGTAGTTAGGTCTTGTTTTTTTAAAAATCCATTCATCCACTCTATATTTTTTGATTGGAGAATTTAGTCCATTTATATTTATTTTTATTATCGATAAGTAAGGACTAACTACCACCATTTTGTTATTTGTTTTCTGGTTGTTTTGTTGGTCCACTCTTCCTTTTTTCCTAACTTCCTTTGTATAAAAGTGGTTTACTTTGACAGCATGTTTTAATTTCTTGTTTTTCATTTTTTGTGTATCTACTATAGGTTTCCATTTTGAAGTTACCATGAGGTTTGCAAATAACATAACCAATTACTTTGAGGACAACTAACACTCATCACAAAGTGTAGTTTAAAAAAAAAAACAAGCAAAGAGAAAACTAACACTTCTATACTTCATCAACATCTCCCCTAAATTTGGACTTTTCATTGTATTTATATCTTTTTACATTGTCCATCTCTTAAAAATTGTGTTATTTATTGTTTTGGACAGGTTTGTCTTTTAGTCTTCCTACTAAAGAGATGAGTGGTTTATAGACTGCAATTACAGTGTTAGAGTATTCTGTATTTGTCTGTATACTTACTTTTTTACCAGTGAGATTTATGCCTTCAGATAATTTCTTGTTCCTTATTACCATCCCTTTTTTTCAGGTTGAAGAATTCCCCTTAGTATTTATTGTAAGACAAGTCTGATGTTGATAAAACTTCTCAGTTTTTGTTTGTCTAGGAATGCTTTTATTTCTCCATCACATTTGCTGGATATAATAGTCTAGGTTAGATGTGTTTTTATTTTTTTTCTTCAGTACTTTGAATATATCATCTCACTCCCTCCTGGCCTGTAAGATTTCCATGGGGGAATCTAATGCCAGATATATCAGAGCTCCTTTATGTATTATTCGCTTCTTTTCTCTTGCTGCTTTTAGATTCCTTTATTTTTCCTTGATCTTTGAGAGTTTGATTATTACATGCCTTGAGGTTGAATCTTCTTAGTGTTCTTTGAATTTCCTGTACCTTAGCATTCCTATATTTTTCTAGCTTTGGAAAGTTCTCTGTTATTATTCCTTTGAATAAATTTTCTAACCTGATCACTCTGTTAACATCTACTTCCAGGCCAAAAGCTCTTAGATTTACCGTTTTGGAGCTATTTTCTAGATCTTGTAGGTGTGCTTCATTTTTAAAATCATTTTTTCTCTTCTGACTGTGCATTTTTATATAATCAAGCTCACCAATTATTTTTTGGCATGAACAACTGAGCATTTTTCAGTTTGTCAATTGAATTTTCTGCTCGAACTTTAAAAAAAAAATTTAATCTGTTTGTTAAATTTCTCTGACAGAATTCTGAATTCCCTCTAAGTGTTATCTTAAAGTTTGTGGAGACTTATCAAAACCACTATTTTGAATTTCCTGTCTGAAAGGTCATATAGCTTCATCATTCCAGAATTGGTCCTTGGTATGTTATTCAGTCTGTTTGGTGAGGTCATGCTTTTCTGCACGTACTTGATGTTTGCAGACATTTATCAATGTCTAGGAATTGAAGAGTTAGTATTTATTTTAATCTTCATAGTCTGTGCTTGTTTGTATTCATCCTTCTTAAGAGGACTTTCCAAGAATTTAAAGATGATTGAGTGGTGTGACCAAAGCTTGCTGTCACTGCAGCTGTTTCAGCACTAAGAGGTGCCCTAAGACTGAAAGCCTTTCCTTTAAGATCTAGAAACAGACAGGGATGCTCACTTTTAGCACTTCTATTCAACATAGTACTGGAAGTCCTAACCAGAGCAATTAAACCAGAAAAATAAATAAATATTTAGAAAAACTTAAAGACTCTATTAAAAAAACTCTTGGAAGTGATCAACAAATTCAGTAAAGTTTCAGGACATAAAATCGACATACAAAAATTAGTAGGATGTATATATGCCAAGAGCAAACAATCTGAAAAAGAAATTTAAAAAGTAATCCTATTTATAGCAGCTACAAATAAAATAAAATACCTAGAAATAACCTTAACCAAAGAAGTGAAAGTTATCTACCATGAAAATTATAAAACATTACTAAAAGATATTGAAGAGGACGTCAAAACATGGGGAAGATATTCTATATTCACAGACAGAATCAACATTGTTAAAATGTCCATATTACGCAAAGCAATCTACAGATTCAATGCAATCCCTATTAAAATGTCAATGACATTCTTCACTGAAATAGAAAAAATAATCCTAAAATTTATGTAGAAACTCAAGATACAAAGACTAAGGATAGCTAATGACTATCCTGAACAAAAAGAACAAAGCTAGAGGCCTCACACTGCCTTATTTCAAATTATACTACAAAGCTTTAGTAACCAAAACAGTGTGATACTGGCATAAAAACAGACAAAGATACCAGTTAAAATACAAAGCATAGAAATAAATGCATGCATTTACAGTCAACTTATTTTTGACAAAGGCACCAAGAATATACACCGAGAAAAGAAAAGTCTTTTCAATAAATGGTGCTGGTAAAACTAGATATCCATATGAAGAAGAATGATATTAGACTATCATCATACACAAAAACTAAATCAAAATGGATTACAGATTTAGATGCCCTTTATTTCTTTCTCTTGTCTGATTGCTCTGGCTAGACTTCCAGCTGAAGAGGAGTTCTATGTTGAGGAAGAGTTGTGAGAGTGGGCATCCTTGTCTTGTTTCAGTAAAGAGGAAGTCAAATTGTCACTGTTTCCTGACGATATGATTGTTTACCTCAAAAACCCTAAAGACTCCTCCAGAAATCTCCTAGAACTGATAAAATAATTCAGCAAAATTTCCAGATATAAGACTAATGTACACAAATGTACAGCTCTCCTATACACCAACAGCGACCAAATGGAGAATCAAATAAAGAACTCAACCCCTTTTACAATAGGTGCAAAAATAGTAAAATACTTAGGAATATACCTAACCGAGGAGGCAAAAGACCTCTGCAAGGAAAACTGAAACACTGCTGAAAGAAATCATAGACAATACAAACAAATGGAAACACATCCCATGCTCATGGATGGGTAGAATCAACATTGTCAAAATGACCATACTGCCAAAAGCAACCTACAAATTCAATGCAATCCCCATCAAAATACCACCATCATTCTTCACAGAATTAGAAAAAAAATTCTAAAATTCATATGGAACTAAAAAAGAGTCTGCATAGACAAAGCAAGACTAAGCAAAAAACAAAACAACAACAACAAAAAACAAATCTGCAGGCATCACACTAACTGATTTCAAACTATACTGTAAGGCCATAGTCGCCAAAACAGCATGGTATTGGTATAAAAATAGGCACATAGATCAATGGAACAGAATAGAAAACCCAGAAATAAACCCAGATACTTACAGTCAACCAATCTTCAACAAAGCAAACAAAAACATAAAGTGGGGAAAGGACACCTTTTTCAACAAATGGTGCTGGGATAATTGGCAAGTCACATGTAGGAGAATGAAACTGGGTCCTCATCTCTCACCTTATACAAAAATCAACTCAAGATGGATTAAGGGCTTAAATCTAAGACCTGGAACTGTAAACATTCTAGAAGATAACATTGGAAAAACCCTTCTAGATATTGGCTTAGGCAAGGATTTCATGACCAAGAACCCAAAGCAAATGCAATAAAAACAAAGATAAATAACTGGGACCTAATTAAACTAAAGAGCTTTTGCACAGCAAAAGTAAACAGCAGAGTAAACAGACAATCCACAGAGTGTGAGAAAATGTTCACAATCTATGCATTTGTCAAAGGACTAATATCCAGAATCTAAAACAAACTCACAATTCAGCAAGAAAAAAACAAACAATCCCATTAAAAAATGGGCTAAGGACATGAATAGATAATTCTCAAAAGAAGATATACAAATGGCCAACAAACACATGAAAAAATCCTCAACATAACTAATGATCAGGGAAATGCAAATGAAAACCAAAATGCAAAAAACCACCTTACTCCTGCAAGAATGGCCATAATAAAAAAAATTAAAAAACGGTCAATGTTGGCGTGAATGTGGTGATCAGGGAACACTTCTACACTGTTGGTGGGAATATAAACTAGTACAGCTACTATGAAAAACAGTTTCCTTGAAGAACTAAAAATAGAACTACCATTTGATCCATCAATTTCACTACTGGGTATCTACCAAGAGGAAAAGAAGTCATTATACAAAAAAGATACTTGCACGTGCATGTTTATAGCAATACAATTCGCAATTGCAAAATCATGGAACCAACCCAAATGCCTATCAATTAACGAGTGGATAAAGAAACTGTTGTGTGTGTGTGTGTGTGTGTGTGTGTGTATATATATATAAAATATATATGGAATATATATATGGAATATATATGTATATGGAATATATCTATGGAATATATATGTATATGGAATATATCTATGGAATATATATGTATATGGAATATATATATGGAATATATGTATGGAATATATATCTGTGTGCGGAATATATATATGTGTGGAATATATATATGTGTGTGGAATATACACACACACACACACACACACACACACACACACAGTGGACTACTACTCAGCCATAAAAAGGAATGATTTAATGGCATTTGCAGTGACCTGGTTGAGATTGGAGACTATTATTCTAAGTGAAGTAACTCAAGAATGGAAAACCAAACATTGTATGTTCTCAGTGATATGTGGGAGCTAAACTATGAGGACACAAAGACATAAGAATGATACAATGGACTTAGGGGACTTGGGGGGAAGGATGGAGGGGCGCGAGGGATAAAAGACTACAAATAGGGTTCAGTGTATACTGCTCAGGTGATGGGTGCACCAAAATCTCATAAATCATCACTAAAGAAATTACTCATGTAACCAAACACAACCTGTACCCGAATAACCTATGGAAAAATTAAAAATTAAAAAAAAGAGAGAGCTTGAATTTCATAACAAAATAAAATGGATTACAGACTGAAATCTAAGATGTCAAACCATTAAACTACTAACAGAAAACATTGAATAAAATTTTCAGGTCATTGGTATGGGCAAAGATTTACCGAGACAAATCCCAAAAACAGAGGCAACCAAAGCAAAATAGACAAATGGGATCACATAAAGCCAAAAAGCTTCCATGCAGTAAAGGAAACAATCAACAAAATGAAGAGAAAAACCACAGAATGGGGAGAAAATATTTGCAAACTACCCATGTGAAAAGGTATTAATAACTAGAATATATAAGGAGCTGAAGCAACTCAATAGGGAAAAAACAAATAATTGTATTCAAAAGTGGGCAAAAGATCAAAATAGACTTTTCTCAAAAGAAGGAATACAAATGGCCAACAGGTGTATAAAAATTACTCAATATCACTAATTATTACAGAAATGCAAATTAGGCTACAATGAAATATTTTTACCAAAGTTGCAATGTGTTTTATCCAAAAGACAGGCAAGGATGTGGAGGAGAAAGGAGAACCCTCCTACATGTTACATTGGTGGGAATGTAAATTAGTACAACGACCATAGATGATAGTATGTAGATCTAGCAAAAAACTAACAATTGAACTACCATACGATCCAGCAATCCCACTGCTGAGAATATATCCAAAGGAAAAGAAACCAGTATATCAAAGTGATACCTGCTCTTTCATGTTTACTGCAGCACTATTCACAATAGCCATGATACAGAATCAAGTGTTTATCAGCATCTAAATAGATGAAAAAATATAGTACATATACACAATGGAATATTATTCAGCCATTGAAACATAGAAATCCTGTACTATGCAACAACATGGATGGAACTGAAGGCCATTATGTGAAGTGAATAAGCCATGCACAGAAAGACAAATATTGTGTGTTCTCACTGATATGTGGGAGCTAAAAAAAAAAAAATTGAGCCCATGGAGACAGAGAGTAGAAAGATGGTAATCAGAAGCTAGAAAAGCTGGTGTGGAGGGGAGAATACAGAGGGATGTCTAATGGGTGCAAAAATGTAGTTAGATAGAAGAAATAAGATCTAGTGTTTGGTAGCACAATAGGGCTACAATACTTAACAGTAATATATATTTCAAAATACCTAAAAGAGTAGAATTGGGATCTTCTTAACACAAAGAAATGATAAATGCTTGAGATGATGGATACCCCATTTACCATGATGTGAATATTACATATTGTATGCTTGTATAAAAATTTCACAAGTACCTCTTAAATATGTAAAACTATTATGTATCCATAATAATTAAAAATTTTAAAAATTTAAAAATAATGAAATAGTTGCCTGAAAATGTTTGTATTCCACCCTGGTGTTTGATTTCTAGATGAATGGCATGTAATTATAAAATAAAACCATATCTTTCAAAATTATCAAGACAATATACTATTATCCTGTAGACTCCAGTACTGCTTTTGAAAATTATAATGTTTTCTGTCTTATCTCTTTATAATGATGAGCCTCAGAATTGGCTTCTTTTCAATCAATAAACTGAGCAACTAAATGACCGTTTAGATTCTAATCCTTCAGTTCTTAGAAATATTCCTGCATTAGAATTGCTTGAACCCATCAGGTGGAGGTTGCAGTGGGCCGAGATTGTGCCACTGCACTCCAGGCTGGCAACAGAGCGTCACTCTGTCTCAAAAAAAAAAAAAAAAAAAAAAGAAAGAAAGAAAAGAAATATTCCTGCTTGCATAACTTTTTCGTCTCCATTTTCTCTGTTCATTTTTGGAATGCTCACTTACCCAGTGGTTTGTGTTTTCTATTAATTATCACTTATTCTTTACTTTTAAATTTTACTTTTCATTCTTGCCTTTTGATCATTTTATCAGAAATTTCTTTTACAAGCACTTCCTATTTACCAAATAATGGTTGACATCACTAGTATCCTGTTGTCTCCAGTCCTGTTCTCTTTCTCTGTGGATTAATAATCTTTTTATTGCTTTACTGAAATTTTAGTAGGGATTCAAGGAATGAGTACAACATATTTTCAATTTGACACTATAACCAGACATTTTTATAGCTTTTTGGTGTAAAATTTTATGTTTTTGTTTTTTCTGTCTTTTTTTAAAAGATTATCAGATAATCATTAGAACAAAAGTTTTTCTATTATATTTATTTTTATCTCTTTTTCTTCAACTTTTATTTTAAGTTCCAGGGTACATGTGCAGGATGTGCAGGTTTGTTACATAGGTAAATATTTATTTTTAAAAGAAATAATTTGGGGTGTCTCTGTTAGCTCTATTGTTTTTCTGTTTTCTGATTCCTAATTTATTACCTCTGAGTTTAATCTTCCTGATTTTCTTAGCATATAAAAATTAACTTAAAGTTTAGAATTGATTATATAGTTATTTTTCCAGCTAGTCTCATTTATTAGAGACATATTTAAAATTTTGAAGGTTCAGCTAAACATAGTGCTAATAATTTATGTATAGTTTCTTCATTGTAATGATTTTCTTAAAAGTTTGTGATTGAAGTTGACTTCCTCTTTGACAAAAGAGTTAATTAGGACAATATTTTTAATTTTCCAAAGCTGAAAAATATTCTTTTGACATTTTATGTTAACTTCTACTTTGATGATAATATGTTTTACACAATTTCATTTAATTGAATGAGGTCTTTTCTTTTATCTTATGGTCAATAAACAATATTGATTAGCTGACTTCATATCTACCACCCTTCCCTTAGTCCACTTCAGTTGTGGGAGATATGTTTCCAAAGTGGCAATCTGTTGTGTTTTCTGGTAGATTTTTCTTTCCTTACAAACCCATTGATTACTCTCCACCCCTTTTTTGCCTTGAACACAGATGGTCCAATGAGAGCAATATCAGACATACTAAAACCCTGAAGGAAAGGCCGAGAAACTAATAGAATAAATCTACTGTGATTTCGAGCTTTTAAATGAGCTGTACATCAATTACATTTTTCATCTGTACTTCTTGCTATGTTTGAAAACAAAAACAAAACAAAACACAGCCTCTTTGTGCCTCTCTGGGCACATTCTAAGTTACCTGAAATAGTTTCTTACTAATACAAACCTAATATATGATCACTCTTTGTATGTGTTCTATGGGCACTTTTTGAGGGGTTATTATCTGTAGTATTGAAAGTACTAACATAACATTTTATTAAATAAATATTATATAAAGAATATATCCTATGCAAAGAAATTAGCATATTTCTTATTTCTCTTAAGCTACTAACTTCCCAATTTTTCTCCATACACTGTGGCACTAGTTATTATTATTGTTGACTATTATATGTAAATAAATATATATCATATGTAAATAAGTATATTTTATATTTGCCTTCCATATTGCAGCATTATTTTTTACAAATTATAATTAATGCTAACCACTGGTTTTTTTGTCATGGATTTCCCATTCATGACATTTTAAGTTTGATTAATCACTTATTTAGTAAAAGTATGTCTGAAACTTTTGTTTTGCAAGAATAATAGCTGGTCTAGCAGTAACAACATAAGGATAATTTAGAAGTTAAAATAGAATCTTTGTTTCTCCCATAAGCTTAGACAATGAGGTGAACTGGCCTGGGCCTTTGAATCATTAGCCAAAGATGCAAAGACACAATGTGAGAAATTTCTGGTAACTAAGAAAACAGTAACTCACTGTTTCTGTAGGTCATGGAAGAAGCATAACTGGCAGTGGTTTCCAGAGCCTACAGCTGCTGGTAGTCTTGGTATAAACTATTGTGCCCACTATTGTTGTCTAAACTGTTTTCTGCCTGTTTCACAATCCGTTTGTCTTAGTCTGTTTTGTGCTGCTACCAGAGAATGCTTGAAACGGGGTAATTTATAATGAACATAAATTTATTGGCTAATCATTTTGGAGGTTGAGAGGTCCAATATCGAGGGGCCAGCATCTTGCAAGTACCTTCTTGCTGTATCATCCCATGGCAGAAGGGCAAAGAGAAGGCAAGAAAGAGCAAGAGATCAGACTCACAGCCCCAAGCCATTTTCTTTTTTATTTTATTTTATTTTATTATTATTATACTTTAAGTTTTAGGGTACATGTGCACAACGTGCAGGTTTGTTACATATGTATACATGTGCCATGTTGGTGTGTTGAACCCATTAACTCATCATTTAGCATTAGGTATATCTCCTAATGCTATCCCTCCCCCCTCCCCCCACCCCACAACAGTCCCCAGTGTGTGATGTTCCCCTTCCTGTGTCCATGTGTTCTCATTGTTCAATTGCCACCTATGAGTGAGAACATGTGGTGTTTGGTTTTTAAATGATGAGTTCATGTCCTTTGTAGGGACATGGATGAAGCTGGAAACCATCATTCTCAGCAAACTATCGCAAGGACAAAAAGCCCCAAGCCATTTTTTAATGAGCATTAATCAATTCATGAAGGTGGAGCCCTCGTGACCTAAACGCCTGCCATTAGGGCCCATCTCCCTCTTGGCAACACTATTGCATTTGAGATTAAGTTCCCACCACATGCTCTTTGGGGGATACCTTTAAACCATAACACATTTCATCAGTATTCCTAGTGATTCTATGAGTTACCTAATATCCTAGTAATTTTATGTTTTGCTTATATCAGTCATAGTTGGTTTCTGTTTTTTAAAACCAAGACTGATGGGGTTAAACATTCAACATTAAGCTATTTTTCTGTTTCCCTTAGCCTCTCCATGAACCACAATTTTCACGTGCTGCTGTTCTGAGCTAAGAAATAAATATCTAACAAATGCATTCCCTAAAGGTTAGATAGCCAGTCCTCACCCTTGGAACCAGGATGTTCAAATAAGGTTTAAGGGTTTTTTTGTTTTTGTTTCTTTTTAAAAGGGCTCTTTTACATGCTTCCAACTGACATTTATTTTTGTTCAAAGACATTGCTGGAAATAAACCTTCAGTGAACTCCCTCAATTGTTTTTCCCATCAGCACTTTATCTAGGAATTTCCCAAAGATTCTGATCTCTCAGTAGAATCCTTCACTGGTTACCAACACTAATGTCAGTGTTTTCCCCTTCTATGCATTTGATTTCATTGACTCTTTACTGATGATCCAGAAAGTGAGCAGTTTATCTTCCCATACCATCAGATTTTACTATCCACCCATTTAAGTGTGCTGCATAAAGTACCGAGTAAAATAAAAGTATGTTCTAGCTGCATTTATGCCATGCTTATATATCATGTTAGCTCTTAGATGACTTCCTGACCAGCTCTTGGATGACTATCAGAAAAATAGAAAAAGTCACTCTATCTTTTTACCTACTGGGGGGAAAATGTTAAAGCGTGATGTCCCTATTGAAATGGATGCTGGTTTTTATCCTTAAATTTTAAGGGGATGTACATTATAATCCCTGAGAATCCAAACCACCTTCTGTAGTTTGACAGTTATAACAAACCAGTGTCTTGTCATTTGCCCAGTGCTTTCTTCTTTGCTCAGAATTTCACCTTGCTTGCCTCCACTCTGACCTTAAATCAGTCATACTCCTGAAATCTCACCCAAAGGACTTTATAGCCTAGGACCAGTAGGCAATGGAAACCATGCATTCGCTTCCCCTAACAAAATACCATTTTTGCATTATCTGTGTGGTATTCTCCTCTGCTGCAAACTTTTATTATAACTCAGTTTGTTTATACCATAACAGGTTTCTTTCTTTATGGAGAAGGATTTCCATATTCCCCAATTATTATACACTATCTAGGAGATAGAAAAGAATCCCCCGATCACCTTAGAGCATTTTTATTAATTCGGGATTTAAATTCTCATTTCACTATAAGCTCAAGCTCAGTGCTACCTTTTTTCTATTCATTTGCTCATTCAATTTGCATAAGCCATTGACTGACTCGTAAGCAAGCATGTGCTCTCTAGATTATCCTCTTTGATTTCTTACTGACCCTATTTCTGTTGTTAAACTCTCATTACTAAAAAACATTCACCTTTCTCTTTTTATGGCAACATTTTAAACAATAAATTTCAAGTTTTGCTTGCATGTCCACCTAAGAAAGAGAAAAAAATAAGAAAAGAAGGCAGAAAAAAAAAGAAAAGAGAAACATCGAAGGTCAGCGTTTCTGTAATCCTAGAAGCAAAGGTTTTCTTAAATTTTTACAAGACAATTTCATAGTTTGATGGTAATTCAGGTAGCATATGTATAAAAATGCCAAAATGAATTTACTCTCAAAAGATTTTAATCACAGATTCTGACAGTATTTTTAAAAATATTTACAAATGATAGTCCTGCATTTTTAAAAATAATTGTCTTTACGAGCAATGCTTTTCTTATTTTTCTTACCCCATAATTCACATTTTTGCTAAGCAATTCACATAATTTTTTATAATGTATTTTAGATACATTTTTTACTGCCACTCTGATTTATGAGAAGAGGCAATTTGTAAAACAATCTTAAAATGTTCTAATGATTAAATAAATCACCTTAAATAAGTTGCTTAGACAAAATTATCTTGCTTGAGACTGAAATCATTTCTGTCCCAGGAAAGGGTTATCACTACTAATGGGTTCATCAGGTTGTCATTGATAGACAATGCTCTCTTTGCAGTCTGTTTATAGAGGAACACACTGGACGTAATTTATTTTCCCAGGAAAGATTCCTGGTGATGAAAACCAATACGGAAACGCTACAGTTGTCAGAAAGTGGGAGTAGAAGTGTAGATCAGGTGGCATCAGGGATGTGAGGCCTCCACTTGACCCCATTTCTATGCAGCCTTCACCACTATCCTCAAAGTGGCACTCTGAGGGACCTACTTCTTCCTCTGCCCAGGTATCATCACTCAACAGTGACAGTGCTGAACTTTACCTGAGTTCCACTCTCCTGGAAAACTGCGAAGCTTAAAAAAAAAAAAAACACCTTCATCATCGGTGTTTCTGAGAACAACTTACTGCAAAGAGGCTTAAGACTCATAATTTTCTGTCTTGTTTACTTATGACAAGGCCGGACACAGACCCTCCAAATTTCTAACTCTTGGTCTCATCAATGATTAGCTGAACCGGTTGCCATCATAAATCAACAGGTACAAAATGCTGGTTACCTAAACTTCTCCCAAGCTCCTCAGCTGTGGCTCACCCTCAGCCTGAGCTGGTGCACACCAGAAAATAGGCTGGCCTCAGGTAAATCACTGTCTGATCTACCAGCTGATCATGCTACATAGTCATTTAGCTGTTTCCAGCCTTGTTTACTCCGCTTTCTAAAGAAAAACCCATTTCCCCAGCCTTTGAGTCCTGGTAGATTTCATGTCATGGCATTATTCCTATTGCGATAGTTCTCTCCCTGTTTCAAGTCTCTTCCCCACTCCCCTTGCAATACTTTTTTTGGTTAAATCTCTCCTTACTAAGCCTGTATTTTTTTTTTATTTGACCCCATGGGTTGTGATGGGGTTCAGAACACACTTCCCCAAAATATGGCACTGGTAGGATGAATATTTTAAGCTGAAGGAATTTGAGAATGGTCAGGTGCACGAAGGACTCTCTGACTTTCCTGTAACCCCTGAAGCAGGTCATAAGACCCTCCTGGGTGAGGGGTTTCTGAAGGGAATCTGCATGAACACGCTTTGCTAAATTCCCCCAGTTCACTACTCTTAGCTCACACCCCTTTGTCCTACCACACTTTTCTATGACTTTCCACCCTACACCCAACCTAGTATAAAAACACTCAGGTTTGGCCTGGCGCAGTGGCTCACGCCTGTAATCTCAGCACCTTGGGAGACCGAGGTAGGCAGATCACCTAAGGTCAGGAGTTCAAGACCAGCCTGCCCAACATGGCAAAACCCCGTCTCTACTAAAAATACAAAAATTAGCCAAGCATGTTGGTGGGTGCCTATAGTCCCAGCTACTCGGGAGGCAGAGGCAGGAGAATCACTTGAACCCAGGAGGAAGAAGTTGCAGTAAGCCAAGATCACGCCATTGCACTCCAGCCTGGGCGACAAGAGCAAAACTCCGTCTCAGAAAAAAGAAAAAAAAAAAAACAAAAACCCACCCACTCAGGTTTAATCATATCTTCAGGTCTTCATTTCCTTAAAAAGGTTTTCATTTTCTAAGAACTTAATACATTTTTATGCTTTTGTCTTTTTCATCTGTCTTTTGTCAGTTGAATTTACAAGGGCCGCAGCTGGAAAACCTAGGAGTATAGAGGAGAAAAGCTGTTTTTTCCTCCTCTACAACTGTAAAACTCCACTATGAACAAAGCTAAAATGTAATGGAAACAATATGGTTCCTCTGGCTGCTATTTTCCAACACAACTGGGGTTGGGGTGCGGTTAGAAAAGGTGAGGATGCAAGTATAGGGCTAGGTAGGAAAAAGATGAAAACCTCAGCTTGGAAGTCAGGAGCTAGAGGTTAGTTCTGCACATTCCCAGTTTTCTCCCTTTCCATTTATCATGGAAGCCGCCAATGAAACATGTACCAGCTGACCTGGAGATTCCGCCAATCCTTGCTGAGATCCTGGAAGCTCCAGCCAGCCGGCCACAGGACCCAGAACTGGCTCCAGCAATATTTAAAGTGGAACAGATGACAACCACCGGGTGGCGCCAAACACTGCCCGGACAAGGACAGATTTGTGCAACAGTCATGGACCCTTGGTACTGCAGCTTTTAAGCTGACCTGGCTCATACATTGGTTTCATTAGCTACTCAATGATGCTAGACTGCATGTTAATTTTTGGACCTTACTCGTGTTACAGCCTTAGTGAATTGTATTTATTAAGTACCTTCTGAATGGCAATTCAAATAAACATCAAATAATCGTCAGAGAGTTTATATTATCGGGGATTAAGATATGAACCTCTAAAAAGATATGAGAAAAAAGATATGGCAAAATGGTGTATTTTGGGTCCCTTCACTGAAATTTTTTTTTTAACATTTTAAAAAATTCTTATGGGTACATAATAGGTATATATATTTATGGGTTACATGTGATGTTTTGATACAGGCATACAATGTATAATAATCAAATTAGGGTAACTGGGGTATCCATCACCTAAAGTCTTCATTATTTCTTTGTTTTAGGGACATTCTAATTTTACTTTTTCAGTTCTTTTAAAATATACAATAAATTACTGTTGACTATAGTCACCTTGTTTTGCTATCAAATACCAGATCTTATTCATTCTAACTATACCTGACTGAAATTTGTAGCTGAAATTTTTGGAAATGTTGACAGGTAGAAGATGGAAGGGGTGAAATCTATTTAAAAGTGAGAAACAATGCTCTTTGCTCTAGAAGTGGAGACTAACTCTTCTTCGGGAGTTCCTTTCAGGAAAATTATTTGGATGATACTTTTAGTTATGCAAGTGTAATGTAAAAAGACTGCAGGGATGAAGATGTGGGAGAAACTGGCTCAAAGTAGTTAAATTACTGTGAATAACAATATAGAGTTTGCTTTTGTTGCAGCAAAAGTTGCATATTTAGATGAGTAATTTTATTAAAGCAGTATTTCTCAAACTTTTCAACAGATCCTCTCTGAGCGATGAATTTTACAGTTTACATTGTGACCAAGTACACAAACACACACCTGTTTCACAATTTCCCTTATCACACACAGGTCTTGGATAATTTTTATTTATTTTTTTTAATGTCTAAAAAATGCTTACGGTTATTCATTATACTGACTTCAAGAATACCACTGGATTGCAAGCTACCATTTAAAAAATGTATTGGAGAAATGTTTTCATTTCTAGTGCAGATTTAGAGTGCATTTTATTCCCCATCTTTATGGTAACAAAGACTCCCTTCTTGACCAACCCCTAAACAAGCTTCTTTAAGCGCCGCACCCCAACTACTTTTTTTTTTTTTTTTTTTTTTGACTAGGACCTATCTGAGCCTTGCTCTTAAGAGCCTGGTTTTAGCAAGAATCTTGCTAAGTCAGTTGGCCAGAACCTTCATCCTCAATATTTGATAACCTGGGCCTGCCTTCAGCAAGAATCCTGCCAAATAGATTTAGCGAGAATCTCTTATTCCTGACTTTCCATTCACTGACCCCTCACCCTAATCCTTGACTATAAATTCCCACTTTTCACATTATATTAAGAATTGAGCCCAGTTTTAAACAGAGGTCTCTTTTCCCCTATTACAATAGTCCCTGGTTAAATTGCTTTTTTTTTTTTTTTTATAACATTTTAACCACTATCCCCCTCTGATGTTCTTTGACAGAGAAAGTGTGGGTATTCTTGTTCAAGCAGTTTCTGGTGGGAGATCCAGAAATGACTCACAAACTGCAGGAAGGATGTGTTAGGAAAATGTTCACCTCCCACTGCTTGACACGCCACAAAACGGGTACTCATCTAGATTCATGACATTCAACCTGAAACATGCCCTGATGTTATTAGAAGTAATTCAAAACATCATGATAGTTGACTGGCTTCTTCTGATGAAACAGTGCCTCTGGCATATATAGGAAATCCCTGATAATGTGAGAATTACTGAGAAGGCATAGATCCCAGGACAGAAATGATGACCGGGAGGGAGGTACCGACTTTGAAGAATGCAGAAATGCTGTGAGAACTTCATAGAGAGTTAGAGTTGTGAAGGTTTGCTAAAATCACCGACACGAGGCAGATTGACTAATTGGAGAAAAAACACATCCAAATTTACTTCATGTGTGTATGTTACTGGCGGTGAATCTGTGGGGTCTGTGAATGTTTATGGGTGTGCAACCTCAATTCTTGCCTCCACAGAAGAAACAATTCAACGGAGGGGCAGAAGGCAGAAGGAGAGACCAAGGCAAGTACTAGAGCCGGAATGAAAGTTTATTAAGGAGCTCTGGAGCAGAAACAAAAGGAAGGAAGGTACACCTGGAAGAAGGCCAAGTGGGTGACTTGAAAGACAAGTGCATGGTTTGACGTTTTGACTTGTGGTTTTATACATTGGCACATTTCCGTGGTCTTGCATTCCTTCTCCCCTGATTCTTCCCTTGGGGTGGGCTGCCTGCATGCCCAATGGCCTAATAGCACTTGGGAGGGGAGCGTGAACAGTATGTTTACTGGCATTGTACGCATGCTCACCCGAGGTGTTCTTCACTCACCAGCTGAATGTCCCTGGGAGGTCATATACCAGTGAAACTCCACCATTTTGCCTCTTAGCGCACATCCTTGAGCCCACTCTCCCAACTCCTGAGATCTTATCAGGAAGCTGCTGATCACCAGTTTCAGGTGTTTTCTATCTATAGGGGCACTGCCTTTCCCTGGCACCAATTATTATCTTATAGAGCCAGTTAACAGCTGCATGGCCATCACCTGATTGTTGCCTGACCTCCTGGTTGTGGGGAGGGGGCCCTCTCCTGCCCTGCTCATATCTGACTAGCTACCTACTGTAACAAATACTGGGGAGCCTTCAGAATGGAGACCCAACTTCCCAGTGAGGTTCAGAAGCTTACATACCATCTCGAGGTTACAGAAAGAATGGGGGCTTGCATCCAGGTAAAACAGGTTGTGGGAGGGGAGGAAGAGGAATTCCTATTAAGGGGCAATGAATAATTACTAGGTAGAATGATTGGGTCAGGAAACAGAAATTAACTTATAAATAGTACTGTTTGGAGTTTAAATGATCCCTGGAGACAATCATTATCTTGAAAAAGGATCTATTTAGGTGTGGTCACATCTTGGTCTTCTTTTCTGTGATGGAGAATGCAATAACCAGAAGGAAAGGAGAACAACTGTTCTTGGTAAGTCAGTCTTATTTTTATGTAGAGAAAAAGTCTCTTCCACTTGTGCTTTTGACCTCTATGGGTTTCTAATTTAAAATACTCATTATACCAGGCAGACATATTTTGGGGTGAAATATTCTGATTCCCTTCAGGATGAAGTGACCTCTGGCATGTAGAGACAGTGAGGTGAAATGTAAGAGTCCCTGAGAGTCTGAATCTGGGGTCTCAGAGAGTGGCTTTTCCAAGAAGCATTTTTAGTTCATTCCTTGTTACATTTTCCTTCTTATATTAGTGAAATTTCCATAAATTCTTTTCAGAACTTGCAACCCAGTTTACTTAATGCAGTGCAAAATTATCCTAAAGGTCTCTTGCATGCTTTGGATGGAGCAGGAGAGCCTAGAACAGTGCCTGGGCAACTGAGGCCAGAGAGACTGCAAGAGTGGTGGATACCAACATAGGCTGGCAGTACCTGCTAGTTTTACAGTCTCACCAGTGCACCACAATGTAGCAGTCTCTCATTGTAAGGTATTACCCAGAGTTCTTTGTCTCACACCCAAGAGAATTAAGGATCATAGCCACAAAGGGTGAGGTTGGAGCAAAAGCTTAATAATCGAAAGAAGAATGCTCTCTGCCACAGAGAGGGGGCTAGGAAGAGGGTTGCCATTTTTACAGTTGAATGCAAGGCTTTTATAAGAAACTGATGAAGGCTGCACATCTCATTTGCATAAGGCACAAATTTCAGGTAGATCCACCCCATCTTCCTAATGCACATGTGGGCCTTAGCTTGAGTTACTCCATGATGCTTTGTTCCTCTTCCTGCACATGTGTCAGGGGATGAAATTTTCCATTGAGGGCATGTCTGAATAAGTTACCTATGTAGCCTTTCTTATCAGTGTGGTTGTGGGCATGTCTTAGACAAGGCCCCTGTGCAAGTTCCCTTATCTGTGCCTGCAGGCTGTTCTTTTATTTGAAAGAAGTTGACTGAGGACCCACCCTAACTGCCTGCCTGACTGGTTTCTTCCTTCTTCCTCTTTCACTGGGGCAGTCATCTAGGAAAGGCCAGCCCACTGGCTTCAGGACAGTGTCATGGTAGCTTTATGAGAAGCTGAAGGAAAAGACATATGGGCCCTTTCCTCAGTGCACAGCAAGCTCTGGGACTTAAATGGGTTTCTGTACTGAAAGGCAGGGGATTCAAGTCACTGTAATTTGTACAGTAAATTTAATGTTACTGTGTAACTGCCCAAAGGGTTCTCCTTGCCTACTGCCTAGAGAGAGCTGATTTATTAAGAGAGGAACATTCCAATAGAGAAAGAGTTTAATTCGCACAACTGGCTGTATAGGAGACTGGAGTTTTATTGTTACTTAAATCAGTCTCCCCCAAAACTCAGGGATCAGGGATTTTAAGACTAATTTGGTGGGTAGGGAACTAGTGAATTGGGAGTGCTGATTGGGTCAGAGATGAAATAATAAGGTGTCGAAGCTGTTCTTTTGCACTGAGTCAGTTCCTGGGTGGGGGCCATAAGACCAGATGAGCTAGTTTATCTATCTTGGTGGTGTCAGCTGATCCATTGAGTACAGGGTCTGCAAAATATCTGAAGCACTGATCTTAGGTTTTACAATAGTGATGTTATCCCCAGGAGTAATTTGGTGAGGTCCAGAATCTTGCAGCCTCTAGCTGCATGACTCCTAAACCATAATTTCTAGTCTCATGGCTAATTTGTTAGTTCTGCAAGGGCAGTCTAGTCCTCAGGCAGGAAAGGGGTTTGTTTTGGGAAAGAGCTGCTATTGTCTTTGTCTCCAAGTTAAACTATAAACTTAGTTCTTCTCAAAGTTAGTTTGGTCTATGTCCAGGAGTGAACAAGGACAGCTTCGAGGTTAGAAACAAGATGGAGTGGGTTAGGTCGATCTCTTTCACTGTCATAATTTTCTCAGTTATATTTTTTGCAAAGGCAGTTTCAACTGCATTTGCACTTAGAAGCTGGTGAAAAAGCCTGGGCTCTGTGGTTCTCATGTCTTGGTGCCAAATAAATAGTGTGTTCAGAATTTAAAAGTGCATGATGGGGTCAGCTTACTTGTTTGGATTTGGAATCAGACTATACCACATGTCCTTCAACAGAGGAGCACAGGGAAAAACTGCTTTGCCAATGGACTCATGTTCTACACAATACAAGAGGCAGAGTTATAAGGTGAAGACAAACGTGACTGTGGAAGTTCAGCAATGCAGGCCACCCACACTTTTCAGAACATTTACTACTATCACTGTTATCGTAGCTCCGCTTCAGTGATGCAGGTCAAAAACAGAAGAACCAATAATATGAAATCTCTTGTGTTTTAGCTTCTGGTACTGAGCTTTGAAAATAAAACCAGGGTGGGTGCAGTAACTCACGCCTGTAATCCCAGCACTTTCATAGCCTGAGGCGGGCGGATCATGAGGTCTGGAGATTGAGACCATCCTGGCTAACATGGTGAAACCCCGCCTCTACTAAAAATACAAAAAAAATTAGCCAGGCATGGTGGCGGGCACCTGTAGTCCCAGCTACTCGGGAGGCTGAGGCAGGAGAATGGCGTGAACCCGGGAGGTGGAGCTTGCAGTGAGCTGAGATCGCGCCACTGCACTCCACACTGGGGGACAGAGCAAGACTCCATCTCAAAAAAAAAAAAAAAAAAAAGTCCGGGCACGGGGGCTCATGCCTGTAATCCCAGCACTTTGGGAGGCCAAGGTGGGTGGATCTCAAGGTCTGGAGTTCAGGACCAGCCTGGCCAAGATGGTGAAACCCCATCTCTACTAAAAATATGAAAATTAGCCAGGTGTGGTGGTGGGTGCCTGTAATTTCAGCTGCTCGGGAAACTGAGGCAGATAATTGCTTGATCCCAGGAGGTGGAGGTTGCAGTGAGCCAAGATTGCACCACTGCATTCCAGCCTGGGCAACAGAGTGAGATTCCTCTCAAAAAAAAAAAAAAAAAAAAAAAAAAAAAAAGAAAGTAAAACCAAATCCCTAATAGGTAAGTTTCCAATTTAAGTATTTGCAGTCTCAATTCACAACAGATTACTAATTGAGCCCAGGGGGGAAAAGTCAAGGCTCATTTCTACTAAAATTAAATATAAAGTTAGGGGGAAAATACTAAAAGCTTAATTAAAGATTTTTCAAACTCTCTAGTGATGTGGTCTGGATTATGGGGACCAACTCTCCCACTGAGAACAACAAAATGATAGATTAAAAATTGTGTGATGTCTTAAAAGTATTGAAGATGTGTCAGGTAGAAAAGAATCATCTGGATAAAATCAAGAGAAAGAAAGAACCTGATGAACTAAGGGAGGACAAGTTCATTTTTGTTGTGAGAACGTTTTTCCACCTAAAAACACTTGACCTTTCCTCTAGATGGTCTCATGGCTTACGGGGAAGGAACCCAAAACCGAGAAATACCATAGTTATGGAATCTAAGAGATAACCTTTACACAGTGAGATGGTGCCCCAAAGAGCCATCCTCTCAAAGTAAACATACGCTAAAAAGAAACCCATTTCCACTCTCAAATCCCACGGGATTTCTAGGAAAGTCGTCTTCATTCTAAGTAATGATTGGAAAGGGATACTGTCACTTGGAAGTTGTAAAGAAAGTTGTAAAGAAAGCTGAAACTTTTGTGGATTTGGAGCCAAATTGATATCACCTGACTGGCCAAAAAACTCTTTTAAGATCATAAATTTAATGTAAAATGTTTGAGAAGAAATAGTTATCTTAGGCATCCTGTGTAGATGCCACAGTGTCTTAGACCTCAAAGAACACTCATGTTTCTCAAAGATGACATAACAAAGCACATAAGGAAGCGGAAAACCCTGAGCAAGCAGCATCAAAAGCAAAAGCAAATCGACGAACATCTATCAACACTTCTTACAGGAGAATCATCAGATACAGTTTATGAAACATAGATCATAAAAATAGATGATACTATGTACAGAGAAAAAATGACAAACTTGTAGTATCTGTCCAGAAGAGGAAACTATAAAAAGTAATCTAGCATACCAAAAAAGTGCCAAATAGAAATTCTGAAAATAAAGACTAGATTACAATCTTTGAAATTCAATAACTTAATAGATAGATTTAAAAGCAAATAAGACACAGTGAAGAGAAAATAAATGAACTGGAAAATAAGTCATAGGAAATTGAATAGAAAGCAGCATACAGAAATGAAAAGATGGAAACATAGAAGAGAACTTAAGAGATAAGTAAGAGAAAAAGAGCAAATATAATACGTATCTAACTGGAGTTCCTGAAGGAAAGTAGAGAGAAGGGCAGAGTCAATGTATGAAGATGATGGCTAAGAAATTTCCAGACACAATGAAAAGCATTCAAGAATCCCACTGAATCTCTAGCAAATAATTTTTAAAACATTTTCTATCTGAAGACATTCTACTAAAAGTGTAGAATGCCAAAGATCGAGATAATTTCTTCATTATAGAAAAAAGAAAAGAAAAAAGAGATATAAAGTGCAACAGTTAGATGTATCATTGATTTCTTAGCAGCAACAATAAAAATCAGGAGATAATAAAACAATATCTTCAACTTGCTGAAAGAAAAGTACTGCTAATCTCAAAATTCTATGTCCAGAGACCCAACCAATTTGAAAGTTAATTTTATATTCAAATGCTCTTAATGAACTTTTTTGAGATCAATCAGGGGAAAGAAAGGAAGTACAAATAACCAATTTTAGACATGAAAGATCCTATAGAGCAGAAGTCAGTGTATTAGTCTGTTCTTCCATTGCTATAAAGAAATACCTGAGACTGGGGTAATTTATAAAGAAAAGAGGTTTAATTGGCTCACAGTTCTACAGGCTGTACAGGAAGCATGGCAGCATCTGCTCAGCCTCTGGGAAGGCCTCAGGAAACTTACAATCATGGCTGAAGGTGAACCAGGAACAGATACTTCACATGGTGGGTGCAGGAGCAAGAGAAAGAGCTATGGGGAGGTGCTACACACTTTTACACAACCAGATCTCATGAGAACTCACTCACTATCACAGTAAGGGGGTGGTACTAAGGCATTCATGTGAAATCCGCCTCCATGATCCATTTACCTCCCACCAGGCACCACCTCCAACATTAGGGATTACAATCCAACGTGAGATTTGGTGGGAACACAGATCCAAACCATGTCAATCAGGAAACTACAGCTTGCATACTTGTTAACTGTTTTTGTGAATATTTATTTGAACATAACCACATCCATTCACTTATATATTGTCTATGCTGTTTTCACAACAATAGCAGAAATGATTGTGACAGAGAACACAAGGCCTTCAAGCCTAAATATTTAATACCTTGTCCTTGCTGAGAAATGAGTAAACTTTGTGTATTATAATACATCTCACAAAGAAGAGGTTGTGTGAAAAAACCAAGACCCCAAATAATACATAGGAGCACAATTCCATGATACAAATGTCAAAAGTAGACCAAACTACACAACACTGTATAAAGCTGCACATTGAAAACTACAAAGAAAATAGCTCCCAGAAGAGTGGATTACATTTAGGGTAAGGAAGGATGTTATGTTTAGGAAAAGACTTGTGGGCTATTGTTTGTTAAGGTGTCTTTTGATGATAGCAATGTTTCATGTCTTGATGTAGGTGGTGGCTATAAGTATGTTTGCTTTATGATTATTACAGTATTATGGGTACATGTATGCTTTCTGTACTATTATGGAATTTTGTCCCCCTCAAACCCATATGTTCAAGAACTAACCCCCAATGTATTTGGATATAGGGCCTTTAACGAGGTAATTAAGGTTGAATGACATCATAAAGGGGAATCCCTCATCCAATATGACTGTTGTCCTAATACAAAGAGGAAGAGTCACCAGGGATACATGTGCACAGAGAAAAGGCCATGTGAGAAGGCAGCCATCTATAAGCCACGGAGAGAGGCCTTAGGAGAAATCGATTTAGCTGGCACCTTGATCTTGGACTTCCTTTCTCTCTAACTGTGAGAAAATAAATTTCTGTTTTTTAAACCACCCAGTCTGTGACATTTTGTTATGGCAACCCTAGCAAACTACTGCAGGCACATTATTGTTTATATGTTAAATTTCATAATTTTTAAAATGGGGATTTCCTATAAATTTTATACATGTCACAAAAAGAGAGAGCTGTGTAAGGTCATTTTCTAAATAGCGTTTTTCTTTTTTTTTTAATTATACTTTAAGTTTTAGGGTACATGTGCACAACGTGCAGGTTTGTTACATATGTATACATGTGCCATGTTGGTGTGCTGCACCCATTAACTCGTCATTTAACATTAGGTATATCTCCTAATGCTATCCCTTCCTCCTCCCCAAACCCCACAACGGGCCCCGGTGTGTGATTTTCCCCTTCCTGTGTCCATATGTTCTCATTGTTCAATTCCCACTTATGAGTGAGAACATGCGGTGTTTGGTTTTTTGTCCTTAAGATAGTTTGCTGAGAATAATGGTTTCCTTAAAAAACGATGAGTTCATGTCCTTTGTAGGGACACGGATGAAGCTGGAAACCATCTAAATAGTGTTTTTCTAAATAGAGGCATATTTACCCTTACATTTTGAGATCCTTTGCTTGCATGGCCCTAGGAGATGTCCTAGGAGATGTCTTTACATGGTCACTTTTTTTTTTTTTTTTTTGAGATGGAGTCTTTCTCTGTTGCTAGGCTGGAGTACAGTGGCACGATCTCGGCTCACTGCAACCTCTGCCTCCCGGGTTCAAATGATTTCCCTGCCTCAGCCTCCCAAGTAGCTGGGACTGCAGGCACTCACCACCATGCCCAGCTAATTTTTTGTATTTTAGTAGAGATGGGGTTTCACAATGTTGGCCAGGATGGTCTCAATCTCCTGACCTCGTGATCTGCCTGCCTCAGCCTCCCAAAGTGCTGGGATTACAGGTATGAGCCACTGCGCCTGGCTGGTCACATGTTTTTGTAAAACTTGCAAACCTAATGTAACCATAATCTATTAAGATTGACCTACTTCACACCTTCCCTCGTGTCGCTGGGCTGTGTTGGAGTGGCTATAGCATTTGAGGAAACTGACAAGGGACAGCTCTGTGGGGGTTATATTTACTTCGGGTTTAGTGGGACACATTTTTTTTTGGTTCCCAGTCACTTGGGGGTATAATTAAGTTATTGTTAGCCATATAGAGCCATAGCTGATATCATGATACAAATGTTGGTATCATTGTATAAAAGTGCTCACAGAGAGAGAAGTGAAAGAGAAACAAGTGTGAAATGTTTGAACTGCAAGCTATTCTGGGGGAATTTTTTTCTAATTGTTACCTACATAAAATTGTAAGTGGTGGATTCTGTTATCACAGCACCTAGAAAAAAACAAGAAGTTGTCTCATATCAAGAATGTATTCATAAGAAACATACAATTATAAAAGCATCACACTTTTTTCTTTTTGATAAAAATTGTGCAAAATAGAATGTATCAGAATTCTTATTTGTAAGGCTTAAACCGCTAGCAGTAATACAAACAGCAACTACATTTGTAAGAGCTTGTATATGAAAAAATCTTGGTAGAAGACTTCCAAATTTGGCCACCATTCTAATAATTTATGAGATGCAACCAACACTGAGTTTTGAAGCAAAAAGAAACTTTTCTTAACTATCAATAATGAAAAGTATTTTGTCAATGATGCTAACATAAAAACTGATTATCTTTCTGTTTTCTATATAGAGAATGCTATTTAAAAAAATCTTAGTCATATGGAAAGGCAATGAAATAATATGTAGCAAAAATGCAGAAAAGTCATTAATTACATAGTGTGTCAGGCCATTATTAGTTGTTATTTTTTCTGAATTATATAATTTTTTAACATTACATAGATTTGTAATTTGTTGAGATTTTTTTCTCATTCTAAATAGACGCTGTTATACCAAATTTGGCATCCATAATTTTGTTTGTTTGTTTGTTTGAGATGGAGTCTCTCTCTGTCTCCCAGACTGGAGTGCAGTGGTGCAATCTCTGCTCACTGCAAGCTCCACCTCCCGGATTCACGCCATTCTCCTGCCTCAGCCTCCCGAGTAGCTGGGACTACAGGCACCCGCCACCACACTCGGCTAGTTTTTGTATTTTTAGTAGAGACGGGGTTTCACGGTGTTAACCAGGATGGTCTCGATCTCCTGACCTCGTGATCCACTCGCCTTGGCCTCCCAAAGTGCTGGGATTACAGGCATGAGCCACTGTGCCCGGCCCCATAATGTTGTTTTTTTAAAGAGTGTCCCCAATATTGTATAAGCTTCAGGTCCCATAAAACCTGGACCTGCCTTAATCTAAATAATCAGATATTTGACTGATGAATTTTCCTTTCTTCTCTGATAGTTCTATCTTTCCTGTGATAAGATACAATTTTCCTGTCTCCATGTTCTCATATTTTTACACAGTAATCCTATTTGTGAAATTACCATTACTTATTGATTAGCCTTACACTGGTTAATGTTACCCTTCATGTGGAAAGAACTATTTCCTGCTCATTTAGTTTCAAAGATGTGAACTTCAGTTATGTGTCCCACAGCAAAGTAATCCTAAAATCTTAGTAATTTCAGCCTTGTAAGCCTTTGACTTCACACTCTTGTATTTTAATGGCTTTGATGTCTTCTTACTATTCTCTAGCAGAATAATTTCCTGTGTCTCAGATGTCTTTACTGCTACTTTAGTTCACTTGCAACTTCAGTCTAATCATTTTGAACACTCTTTTAGCTTTTATTTCCATCTGTTTTCATCTTCTTTCCAAATATTTTATTTTCCTAATAAACTACATATTTAATGAACTCAATTCCAAGATTCTAGTTAAAAGCTCAGAGGTCAAAACAGGTTAAAAAACCAGTCTCAATTTAGACTTGTCAGTCAAACACCACTTAATATACTTTCCTCTGCATGCTTGAAATAGTTTCATGGAAGGGAAACGAATTTTACAAGCTACTAGGTTTTTTCATTTGAGAGTAGCAGAAAGTCTTCAACATCATTTAGGAATGAAATTAATCTACCATATACAGATGTTAAATCAAACCATCAAAAACTTGGCATTTGCATTCTTTTATTGTTTTCTAAGTACTTTGTGCCCAGTGCTGTGTTAGATGCTATAGTAGATATTAAAGAGATGATAAGATAGTATTTCCTTTCCAGAGATTATGGCCCAATTAGGATATGCAGTATGCACATATGGAGGCTGGGCGCTGTGGCGCTCACCTGTAATCCCAGCACTTTGGGAGGCAGAAGTGGGAGGATTGCTTGAGGCCAGGAGTTTAAGACCAGCCTGGGCAACATAGGGAGACCTTGTCCCTACAAAAAAAAAAAAAAAAAAAATTTAGCCAGGTATGGTGTGCATGCCCATAATCCCAGCTACTGGTGAGGCTAAGGCAGGGGAATTGCTTGAGCCCAGGAGTTTGAGGCTATAGTGAGCTATGATCGAGCCACTGCATTTCAGCGTGGGTGACAGAGTGAGACCCTGTCTCTAAAAATAAAAACTAAACAACCAAATTAAAAAAAAAAACAAATGAAGTAACTAAAAATGATATAATCTAATGTCAAAGCAAGCAGGAAGAAGACAAGTTACTTATGGACTAGAGCCTTATGAAAAATAAATTTAGATTAATAAACAGTATTGGAAATTATTTCAGAAATAAATGAGCAAATAATACAATGTTTGATATCAAACTTAGCAATAGTATTGACAACTTATTCATCTTTCAAAGTCCAGCTTAAAATGCTGTTATACCCAGAAACTTTCCCAGTCTGCCTAGTCAGAATGAATCACTTCACTCTCTGCAGTTTCTTAGCCCTCTGTATTGCTCTTGAAGCACTTGCCAAACTCACATATACACAATTCACCATAACAGAGGACACACTTCTTTTAAATTAATTACAGAACTACTATATGGTGCTTGATTCATCTTTAAATCTTGATCCTATCCATGACCTTGCAGTGATAAACCAAATAATGGGTACACTCATATTGTGTAATAAACAGACTCTTTTAGTTGCAAGTGTCTGAAACCCAAAATAGAAGTGTAACCAAAAATTAAATGTGCTGGCTCATATAACTGAGAAGTCCAAGAGTGGGTTTGGCATTATATATGCCTTGATCAGCATGCTCAAACAATACAATTTGTGTTCTGTCTCTTCCCTCCCTCTTTTAAATATACCTTCCAGTGTATATTCTTCATTAAAATACATATGACTGATTGTTTTGATAGCTCATGAATCCTGTAGAAGTTTTATCTTTCACAGGTCCATAAATCATCTCAGGAATGGATTCTGATTGACTCAGCTGGGGTCATAGTTTTGGGAGAATGGGTGGGATATGATGATTGACCAGGTCTGGGTCCTTTTTCCCATTTGTAGCAAGGGGTAGAGTGAAGAGGATGGTTACTAGGGTTGAAAAAACCACATGGGTTAGGGAAAGGACAGCTGGGCTGACCAAAATAAAAGATATCTACTTTGTGTGAGTGTGTGTGTGTGTGTGTGTGTGTGTGTGTGAGAGAGAGAGAGAGAGAGAGAGAGAAAGAGAGACAGACAAAGTCTCACTCTGTTGCCCAAGCTGGACTGCACTGGCAGGGTCACAGCTCAGTGCAGACTTGACCTCCTGGGCTTAAGCCGTCTTCCCACCTCAGTCTCCCAAGTAGCTAGTACTACAGGTGTGTGGCACCACATCCGGCTAATTTTTTTTTAACAATTTTTTTGTAGAGATGAGGTCTCGCTATTTTGCCTAGACTGGTCTCAAAATCCCAGCTTCAAGTGATCCTTCCACCTTGGCTGCTAAAGTGCTGGGATTACAGGAGTAAACCAGCGTGCCTGGCTGATGTCTACTCTAGAACGGTAAAGGGAGCTAAATGATTTCCATCACAAATG
The DNA here is from genome assembly GCF_000001405.40 of Homo sapiens. Lineage (NCBI taxonomy): Eukaryota > Metazoa > Chordata > Mammalia > Primates > Hominidae > Homo > Homo sapiens. Next base: position 40,267,259 of record NC_000008.11, read on the forward strand.
AATAGTTGAGATGTCTACAATGCACGACAGGCATGCAATAGTCTCTTAATATTGGGAAGGACCTGTTGAAAATAAAGTGGTGAAACAATTACAACGGTTATAATGTGAACTATGAATTAGAATGGTGGAAATAGACATACCAAAATTATAATCCAAGTGTGAAGATTTGAACGACTAGATTGTCCAACAGCCAATGGAAATGGAGAGCTGTCCATGTGAAAAATGTAAAGAAAAGATAAGCAAGATTAAACGACCATGGCTTATGTAATAAAAAGGAAAGGATTTCACGCTGAATTTTTTGCCTTTGACAGATATTTAGAAAAAGGGGATATGAAAAAGTTGTTTTAAATAAAATATCTTATTTAATTAAAATGGATGATCAGATATCTTAAAATACATATCTTCTGAGCAGCATGGAAGGTGGAATTTAGCTTGAGTAAAAGATAAGAGATAAAATAATACAGGAGACATCGTTAGTATTAATTCAATATTTGAAGCCATTATATTTAATGAAAGCACTATCTGAAAAAGCCAAGGAGTATGAAACTAACAATTACTGTTGGATTTTTCCTGAGGGAGATCAATTTCAACAGGGAAGAAGAGAAAGATGCCCACTTGCAAGGGCTCAGGGCGCAGGAGAGACCGTGGAAGTTTATACTTCTTGGCTATGTTTGGCTCTAAACAAAAAAGTGATGAAGATAACATTTCTGTAAATGTCAGCAAAGTCACATTGAAATTATCTTTCAGTAAGAGGCAGTGATTAAAAAGACAGAAGATAAATATCATAACACGAATCCTTAATAGAAGGAAAGATTAAGAATCAGTGCCAAAAGGAAGGTTCATTTTTGCTTGATCTTGCAGGGGAAGATGACAGAGGTATACTGATTCTCCAAAGGAGATAAAGGAAAATGCTCTGTCTCACCATCTACTAATACTATCACTGTTGAGGGAAGACATTAGCTTAAAAGTGTTAGGACTGTGGAGAACTAAGGGGGAAATGTCCAAAATTTTTAGATGAAAGATACTATTTGATTCTTCTGAAGTTTTGAAGAGTACCCACAGGATGCAAGTGCTACTCTTAAATGTCCTAAATGGAGGTAAAAACAGAGGGCTTTTTTTTTTTTTTTAAACAATGGGGAAATCACTGAAGGATTTGCTTAGGATTTGGAGCTAGGCTCTCCTTGCCCGTGTGAACCCCTCCAATAATCTCTATGAAGAATATAGGGAAGGAGTATGATGATCGTTGCTGTCATATGACAGCTAGGTAGCAATTCATCGTATTTAGCTGATTAGGAGCCTAGTTTATTGAGTTTTAATTCCAGACCACCTCTAAGTAGTCATGTGACTTTAGAGAAGTTTCTTAACCTCCTCTGCCTCAGATTTTCCGGATGTAAAATGGTTAATAACAGTAACCTGTGTAGTAGAGTTGATGCTAAAATTAAATGAGTTACTACATGTGAAATGCTTACAAGAATACTAGGCTCATAGTAAGCATAAATGTTAACTATTATTTTTAGACATCTCTGCACTGGTATTTTAAAAAAGAAATTCATGGGTAACTACACTAAAGAGTAATCTAAGACATCATGAGATCTCAATGAATTGGGTTTTGAAAAATATGTGAATATTTTATAGTTTTTTTAAAAATTCCCATCGAGTCTTGTTTTTAAAACAAATGTATTTATTTTCATATTTAAATCACTTATTCAGTTACACAAAGATTTATTATGGAGTTCATTTAAAGAACAAACACCCCTAGTGTGTACCTTGAACACATGACTACAGAATGTTCATCTTAGTTCACTAATTTGCTCATTGTTAATTAATGCAATTATTCATGTATTGATTCAACTAATATTTATATCAAGCATCCACAGTTGCATAGCCATGTGCCTACTTTACAAAAACCAAATAAAGATAACTAATGACTGAGTTGTGAATAGAAATTTATGCAGCTTCATTGACTGTAAGAGAATTTTCTTTACAGTGTCATCCAAGACTGTATTTTTTCCAAATTGGAGAGGGTGATTTAACTTTTACCAATTTGAAGGAAATTCTGTTATGCAATGCAAGGCCATCCTGGAAGACTGCAAGCAAGAAAAAAAAGGTTCCTTTTACATATATCTTTTTCTTGTTTTTAAGTCTAGTTTATTGAATTATAACTTAGAACAGTAAAACTCACCTTTTTCTGTCTACAATTTTATACATTTTGATAAATGCATATACTAAGACCATGATCAAGATATAGAATTGCTATCACCCCAAAACTTCCACTGTGCACATTTGTGGCCAATCACCTACTTCTAGTCATATCCCATGGCAAACATTGACATGTTTTCAGCCCTTATTGTTTTATTTCTGTAATCACCCAACGACTTCTTCCTGCCCAGTGCACAGACCTAATCAATTCACTGAGATAACAGCACTGCAGTAAATAAAGAGTTTAATTGACACAAGGCTGGCCATGCCACACAGGAGTCGGAGTTATTACTCAAATCAATCTCCCTGAAAATTCAGAGGCTAGGGTTTTTCAAGGATAATTTGGTCAGCAGGAGGATAGGGGAATGGATGCTGGTTGGGGATGCAATCATAGGAGTATGGAAAACAGTCTTCCTGTACTGAGTTTGCCTCTAGGTGGAAGCCACAGCAAGGTGCTGGTCCAGAGGAACCATCTGGTCTTCAGAAATGCAGAATCCTGAGAAGACATCTCAAAAGGCCAGTCTTCAGTTCTACAATAGTGATGTTATTTACAGAAATAATTGGGGAAGTTGTAAAATCTTGTGACCTCTGAAATAATGGCTGGTAATCATTTAATTATGCCTACATCTTAAGAGAATTCAGGCCCCTCTCATCCTCCTAACCTAATGGACTTTCATTAGTTTTACTAGGTGGTTTAGTTTTGGGGAAAGGCTATTTTCATTTAAACTACAAACTAAATTTCTCTCAAAGTTAGCTTAGCACAAATCCAGGAATGACCAAGAGCAGTTTGGGGGTTAAAGGCGAGATGAGGGTTGGTTAGATCACATCTCTTTCATTGTCATAATCTTCTCACTGTTAGAAGTTTTGCAAAGGCGATTTCATTTCTGGAATGTCATATAAACGGAATCATAGCATATAGCTGTTTTATCCTAGATTGTTTTGCATAGCATTGTGTATTTGATATTTATCTATATTGAATTACTATTAGGTTGGTGCAAAAGTAGTTGCAGTTTTTGCCATTACTTATAATTACTTATATGTAATTACTTTTACACCAACCTATCAACAGTTCATTTTTTATGTATTTTTTACTAATATTTAATTCTGTAGCTGTATTTTAATTTATTATCCTCTAGTTAATGACAATTGAGATTATTTCCAATTTTGGCAATAAAGCTATTAGAAAAAAATATGCATAGTTTTTCTGTGAATACAGTTGCCCTTCATTTCCATGAGTTTTGAATTCATGGATTCACACAACCACAGACTGAAAATATAACAAAAAGTAAACAAAAAATAAAACAATTTAAAAATGCAAATAAAAAAGCAAAGTATAATGACAATGTACATAGCATTTACATTGTATTAGGTATTATAATCTAATCTAGGCAACCAGGCAATGGCAGTATTATAATCTAATCATCTGGGGAATCTAGAGATGATTTAAAGTATACAAAAGGATGTGTGTAGGTTATATTTAAACCTTAGACCATTTTCTATGAGGTACTTGAGTACCTGTGGATTTTGGCATCTGAGGGGGTCCTGAAACCAATTCTCCATCAATACCAAAGGATAACTACATATGTTTCTATTTCTCTTGAGTAAATCCTAGAAGTGAGATTTCTGGGTCATATGATAAGTAAATCTTTAACTCTATAAGAAATCTCCAAACTGTTTTCCAAAGTATCCATTCCGCATTTCCATTAGCAATGTATGAGAGTCACATATGTGGTGTATCTTTGCAGGCACTTTATAGTCAGTGTCTTTTAATTGAAACCATTCTAACAGGAGTTTAGTTGTAACATATTGTGGCTGTAATTTGCATTTCTCTATTGAATAATGATGTTCAGCATCTTTTCATGTGCTTATTTACCCATTTATCATTTTTGGGGAAGTGCTTATATAAATCTTTTGCTCATTTTTATTGGGTTATTTGTTTTCTTATTGCTGAGTTGTAAAATTTCTGAATGTATGTTATGGATACCAGTCCTTTATCAGACATCTGTTTTGCAAATATTTTTCCAGAGTCTGCAACCTTTTTATTTTCTTAACATTATCCTTCAAAGAGCAGACATTTTTAATTTTGATGAAGCCCAATTTATCTATTTTTTCTGTTGTAGTTTGTGCTTTCTTGTTTTATCTAAGAAATATTTGCCTCACTCAATGTTCCAAATAATTTTTGTTTTCTTCTAGAAATTTTATAAGTTCAGTCTTTACATATAGGTCTACAACCCATTTTGAGTTAATTTTTTAATGTAACGATGGATAAGGGTCAAGGATTACCATTGTGGATATGGATATTCAATTTTTCAAGAAGAAAAATCTTTCTCCTATGAATTGCCTTGGTATGCTTGTCAATTGACCATATTATGTGTGGGTGTATTTCTAGATTCTCTTCTTTTCTTTTGATCTATATATCTATTACCATGTAAATAACAAGTTGTCTTAATAACAGTGGCTTCAAAGTAAGTCAGGTAGTGTGATTTCTGTAACTTGGTTTTTTGTGTTTTAACTATTCCAGTTCCATGAGATTTCCATGTAAATTTCAGAATCAGCATATTGATTTCTGTAAAATAAAAGCCTGCTGGAATTTTAGGATTTCATTGAATCTGTAGGTAAATTAAGGGAGAATTGACATAATAACAATATCGAGTCTTCCAATTTTTTAAAAATGTAAATCATCTAGGAAAGGGTTTGAGCATTCTAATGCAGGGGTTCCCAGCTCCCGGAACACAGACCAGTACTGGTCCTAACGGAACTGGGCTGCACAGCAGGTGAGCTGTGGGCAAGTGAGCGTTACTGTCTCCAGTTCAGATCAGCAATGGCATTAGATTATCACAGGAGTACAAACCCTGTGGTGAACTGTGCATGCGAGGGATCTAGGTTGTGTGGTCTTTATGAGAATCTAACTAATACCTGATGATCTGAGGTACAGCAGTTTCATCCCAAAACCATCCCTCCCCACCCACCCTGTGGAAAAAATTGTCTTCCATAAAACCAGTCCCTGGTGCCAAAAAAGTTGGGGACTGCTGTTCTAATACATGAGCACAGTATGCTTCTTTATTTCTTAGGCATTTTGTGTTTCTCTCATCAGTGCTGTATAGTTTTTAATAAATCTTGTACATACTTTGTTAGATTTATCCCTATCTCCCATTGTGGTGCTATTGTAAATAATACTTTAAAATTTTCAATTTCTAATTGTTTACTGCAAATATATAGAAAGGTCATTGATTTCTGTATATTGCCCTTGTGTTCTGCAACTTCACTAAAGTCAATTATTAGTTCCAGCAGCTTTATTGGAGATTTCTTGTCTTTGTGATTTCTTTACAGAGACAATTAGGTCGTCTGTGAATAAAGACTATTTCATTTATCTTTTTCAATTATATATGCATTTTAAAAAATTTATTATATATCTTCTATACTATGTTGAAAGGAATGATGAGAATGACATTCTTACCTCATTTCTGATTTCAGGGGAAAGCATTCCATCTGTTACCATTATGTATGGAATGTGTTTATAGATTTTTCATACATACCCTTTATAAGGTTGAGAGTGTTCCCTTTAATTCCTACTTTGGTTAGGGTTTTTTCATGTTTTGTTTTGCTTTTTAAACCATGAATAAATGTTAAATTTTGTCAAATGTCTTTTGTGCCTCAACTGAGATGATCATATGGTTTTTTTCTCCATTAGTCTATTAATACGGTGAATTAAACTTACTGATTTTCATATTGACCCAATCTTGCTTTCCTATGATAAACCGCATTGTATCAGGTTCTATTATTATTTGAATGTATTTCTTAATTTAATTTGCTTTTTTGTTTTTTGAGACGGGGTCTCACCCTGTTGCCCAGGCTTCAGTGCAGTGGCACAATCTTGACTCACTGCAACTTCTGCCTCCGAGGCTCAAGCAATTATCCCAGCCTCCCAAGTAGCTGGGATTACAGTGCATACCACCATGCCTGACTAATTTTTGTATTTTTTTCTTTTGTAGAGATAGGGGTTCATTGTGTTTCCCAGACAGGTCTTGAACTCCTGGGCTCAAGTGATCCACCCACCTCTGTCTCCCAAAGTGCTAGGATTACAGGTGTGAGCCACTGTGCCCAGCCTAATTTGCAAATTTTTAAAAAGAATTTTTGCATCAGTGTTTATGAGGGATATTGGTTTATAGCATTGTCAAGTAGATACATAGTAAAAATCACAAACGTATTTTTAAATCGTATTGTAATAACATAAAAACAAAAATAGCCAAATTAATTTTAATAATGTAATTTATTTAATATAAATATTACCAATAGTTATAATATCATATCAATGTAAAATATTTATGAAACATTTTGTCTTTCTTTCATACTAAGGCTTTGAAACGTGGTGTTTATTTTATAATCACAGCACATCTGAAGTGGGGCTAGCAACATTTCAAGTGCAGAATGGGTACATATTGCTGTTGGCTGCAATATTGCACAATGCAGGTGTGAGGTCTTCTTTTCTTGACAATTTTTGTCTCATCTTGGTACCAGGGTAATGTTGGCCTCATAAATGAGTTGGAAAGCACTTCCTCCTTTTATATTTTTCTGGAAGAATGTTTGCAGAATTGGTCTTATTTCACCTTTAAATGAAGTTTGCCTGTTAATATCTGGGCCTGAAGTTTTCTTTGTTGAAAGATGTTTATGAATTCAATTTATTTAATAAATATAGAACTTTTCCAGCCATCCAATTATTTTCTATTGAGCTTTGGTAGGAATTCAAGGAGTTTTTCCATTTTATCTATGTGTCAAATTTATTGACAAATAGCTGTTCATAATGTTCCCATAATATCCTTTTAATGTCTGTAGAATTTACAGTAATGTCCTTTCTTTTATTTATGATATTGATACTTTCTCTTTTTCTTTTCTGATATTGGTAATTTCTTCTCTTCTTTTTTGTAATTAACTCTATTTTTAGAGCAGTTTTAAGTTCACAGCAAAATTTCGAGGAAGGTACGGAGATATCCCATATACACCCTGCCCCCACACATGCATAACTTACCCCTATTATCAATATTTCCCATTAGAGTGGTACATTTGCTACAATTAATGAATCTGCACTGACACATCATTATCACTCAAAGACCATAATTTGCATTGGGGTTCACTATTAGTGTTATATATTGGGTTATTTGGACAAAAATATAATGACATATATCCTCTATTATAGTATCATACAGAGTTGTTTTGCTGCTCAAAAAATCCTCTGTGCTCTGTCCATTCATCCCTTGCTCTGAACACCTGGCAATCACTGATCTTTTCATGCTCTTCATAGTCCTGACTTTTCCCAAATGCCATATAGGTAAATCAGACAGTATGTCACCTTTACAGACTGGCTTCTTTCACTTACTAATAAACATTTAAGTGTCCTTCAGCCTTTTCATGACTTGATAGCTCATTTCTTTTTAGTGCTAAGTGTTCCATTGTCCGGATGTACCACAGCTTACTTACCACTCACCTATTAAAGGATATCTTGGTTACTTCCAAGTTTTGCAATTCTGAATAAAGCTACTATAAGCATCTGCACAAAGGTTTTTGCAAAGACATAAATTTCCCACTCATTGGGGTTAAAATACCAGGAAGCATGAGTGGTAGTAAGAGTAAACTTAGTTTGGTAAGAACCATTTTTCAAAGTGTCTATACCATTTTGTATTCCCAACATCAATGATGAGAGTTCCTGTTCCTCCACATCCTTACTAGCATTTGGTGTTGTCAGTGTTCTGAATTTTGGCCATTCTAATAGGTATGCAGTGGTATTTTACGTTGTTTTAATTTGCATTTCCCTGATGACATACTGTGTGGAGCATATTTTCAAATGCTTAATTGCGATATGTGAATCTTTCTTTTTTCTTTCTTTTTTTTTTTTTTTGAGACAGAGTCTCACTCTGTCACCCAGGCTGGAGTGCAATGGCGTGATCTTGGCTCACTGCAAGCTCTGCCTTCCAGCTTCAAGTGATTCTCCTGCCTCAACCTCCTGAGTAGCTGGGATTACAGGTGTGTGCCACTACACCTGTCTAATTTTTATATTTTTTAGTAGAGACAGGGTTCGCCATGTTGGCCAAGCTGGTCTTGAACTCCAAACTTCAAGTGATCCACCTGCCTTGGCCTCCCAAAGTGCTGGGATTACAGGTGTGAGCCACCATGCCCAGCTCTTATATGTATCTTCTTTGAGATGTCTGTTAAGTTCCTTGGCCCATTTTTTAGTTGGGTTGTTTTGTCTTGTCTTTACTTTTTTTTTTTTTTTGAGACAGAGTCTCTGTTGACCAGGATGGAGTACAGTGGTGCAATGAAGGCTCGTTGCAGCTGTGACCTCCCAGGCTGAAGTGATCCTCTCACCTCTGTCTTCTGAGTAGCTGGGACCACAGGCGTGTGCCACCACACCCAGTAATTTTGTTGTTGTTGTATATTTTTGTAGAGATAGGATTTTACTGTGTTGCCCAGGCTGGTCTCAAACTCCTGGGCTCAAGCAATCTGCCTGACTCAGCCTCCCAAAGTGCTGGCATTACAGTCATGAGCCACTGCACCTGGCCAGCTCGTATTTTCAGTCTCTTGTCAGTGTCTTTTGCAGAGCAGGAATTTTTATTTTAATGAAGTCCAGTTTATCAATTTTTTCTTTCATAGATCATGGTTTTTGTGTCATATCTAAAGAGTCATTATAAAACCCAACACCATCTAGATTTTCTTCTAGGTTATCTTCTGGGAGTTTTATAGTTTTGCATTTTACATGTAGGTCTGTGACTCATTTTGAGCTAATTTTTGTGAAGGGTTTAAGGTCAGCATCTAGAATCATTTTTTTTAAACATGTGGATGTACAGTTACTCTAGCACCGTTCACTGAAAAGACATTGTTTCTACGTTGTATTGCTGTTGTTCTTTGGTTAAATATCAGTTGACTATATTTATGTTAATTTATTCTTCAGATATCTATTCTTTTTCATTGATCTATTTGTCTATTCTTTCACCAATACCACACTGTCCTAATTACTATAGCTTTATAATAAGTCTTGATATCAGGTAGTGTCACTCTTCCAACTTTGCTCTTCTCTGTAAATATTGTGTTGGTTGTTCTGGGGCTTTTATTTTTCTACATAAACTTTAGAATCAGTTCATCCTGATTCTACTGATATCCACAAAATAACCTACTGATGTTTTGATTGAAATTGCACTGAATCTACATATACATTTAAGAACAACTAAAATCTTGACAATATTAAATTTCCATATCTTTGGCTTTTTTATGATCTTAGTGGGCAAGCTTCTAGTTTCTCATCATTAAATATTATGTGAGCTGCAGGTTTATAATTGATATTCTTCAATAAGTTGAAAGTTTTCCTCTATTTTGAGTTTGCTGAGAGTTTTTATCATGAATGGATTCCTAATTTTGTCAAATGCTTTTTCTGTGTCTGTGGATATGATTATGTAATTTTTCTTGTTTAACCTGTTAAATAATAGATTCTATAATTGGTTTTCAAATTTTTAACCAGCCTTTCATACCTGAGGTCCTAAGTCCCACCTAGTTATGGTATATAGTTATTTTTATACATTGTTGGTTTTGATTTACTAATATTTTATTGAGGATTTTTGCATCTAGGTTCTAGAGAGATATTGATTGTACTCTTCTTTTTCTTATAATATCTTTGGTTTTGGTATAGGATATTGCTGGCCTTCTAGTATAAGTTAGGAAGTCTTTCCTCTGCTTCTGTTTCTGAAAGACATTGCAGAGAGTTGGCATTATTCCTTCTTTAAATGTTTTATAGAATTCCCCAGCAAACTCTTCTAGGCCTGGTGTCTTCTGTTTTCAAAGGTTATTAGATACTAATTCATTTTCTTTAATGGATATAGGACTATTCAGATTATCTACTTCTTCTTGTATGAGTTTTGACAGATTACGTATTTAAGGAATTTGTTCATGTCACCCACATTATTAAATGTGTAGGCACAGAGTTGTTCATAATATTCCTTATTATTCTTTTAATGTCCCTGGAATCTGTACTAATGTAACCCCTTTCATTGTGATATTAGTAATTGTCACCTCTTTTTTACTTAGCCTAATTAGAAGCGTATTGATTTTATTGATCTTTTCAAAGAACCATCTTTTGGTTTTGTTGATTTTTCTCTATTGATCTACTGTTTTCAGTTTCACTGATTTCCACTGTAATTTTTATTATTTATTTTCTTCTGTTTATTTTAGAATTAACTTGCGGGGTTTTTTTTTAATGTTTTCCTAAGGCAGAAGCTTAGAAAATTGATTTGAGATCTTTTTTCTTTTCTAATACATGCATTCAATACTAGACATTTCCCTCTAGGCACTGCTTTTACTGCATCCCACAAATTTTGATAAATTGTGCTTTTAATTAATTAAAAATAGTTTATAATTTCTTTTGAGATTTCTTCTTTGATCCATGTTTTATTTATAGGTGTGTTCCTTAATCTTAAAATATTTGGGGATTTTACAGCTATATGTTTGTTATTGATTTCTTATTTAATTTCATTGTTGCATGAGCAGATATTGTATAATTTCCATTCTTTTAAATTTGTTGTGTTTTATGATCCAACTGTGGTATGTCCTGACAAATGTTTCATGTGAGCCTGAGAATAATGTATATTCTGCTGTTGCTGGAAGAAGTAGACTACTACAGATGTCCACTGTATCCAGTTGATTGATGGTGGTGTTGAGTTCAACTCTGTTCTTACTGATTTTCTGCCTGCTGGGTCTGTCCATTTGTGATGAGAGACTTGAAGTCTCTGGCTGTAATAACGCATTCATCTATTTCTCCTTCCACTCCTATGAGTTTTTGCTTCATGTGTTTTGATTCCGTGTTGTTAGACAGGCACACACATTAACGATCGTTATGTCTTCTTGGAGAATTGACCCTTTATCATTATGTAATGACCCTCTTTATCCCTACAACTTTACTCGCTTTGAAGTCAGCTATATCTAAAATTAATATAACTACTTCTACTTTCTTTCAATTAATGTTAGCATGATATATCTTTCTCCATATATTTACCTTTAATCTGTAGGTCTTTATGTGTAAAGTGGGTTTTTTGTAGACAACATATAGTTGTATTTTGATCTGCTCTGATAATTTCTATCTTTGAATTCCTGCATTTAGACCATTGACACTCAAAGTTCTTGATATAGGTGGATTAATATCTACCACATTTATTACTGTTTTGTATTTTGTTGACCTTTTTTGCTTATCTTTTTCCCACTCATCCACTCTTTTTCTGCCTTCTGTGATTTTACATTGTGTATTTTATATGATTTTATATGATTTCATTTTCACTCTTTTACACTTCTTTTTTTCACTTTTTTTTAGTGATTGTCCTAGAGTTTCCAATGTACATTACAACTAATCCAAGTTAACTTTTAAGTAATACTTTGCCATTTCACAAGTAGTATGAATACTTTATAATCCTAATTCCCCCCTTCTGACCCTTGTGTCATTGCTAGCATTCATTGCAATATATATATTAAATTGAATTATATATATATATTATATATACACACACATACATATGAACATACGTAAGCATATGTAATTGAATACATTATCATCATTATGATTTTGAACAAATTATTATGTTAGATCTATAAAGAATAAGAAAAAAGTTTGTATTTTACCTTCACTTTTTTTTCTTCAATGCTTTTTCTTTCCTTATGTAGATCTGAATTTCTGACCTATATCATTGTCCTTCTGTCTCAAAAAAGTTCTTTTCACATATCCTGCAAGATACGTCTACTGGCAATAAAGTCCCTCAATTTTTGTTGTTGTTTGTTTGTTTGTTTAAGTCTTTATCTCTCTTTCACTTTTGAAGGATCATTTTATAGGGTACAGAACTGTACATTGGTGGATTTTTTTTTCTTTCAACACTTTATTTCCTTCCACTCTCTTCTTGTTTGCATGGATTTTGAGAAGCTAAATGTAATTATTATCTTTGCTCTAGTACAGGTAAGGTATTTCTTTTCTCTGGCTTCTTTCATAATTTTTTCTTTATCTTTGATTTTCTGTAGTTTGAATATGATATGCCTAGGTGTAGAGATTTCTTTTGTGTAATTTTAGGGGGGAATTTACCCTATTTTTGTTTTCTGAGTTTCCTCAATATGCGGTTTGGTATCCAAATTAATTTGGGGAAAATCTCTGTCATGATTGTCTAAACATATCTTCTGATCCATTCTCTCTTTTTTCTTCGGATACTCCCATACATAGATTTACACCTTTTGTAGTTGCCCCACCGTTCTTGGATATTCTGTCTTATTATTTCCAGTCTTTTGTTTTCTTTGCTTTTTAGTTTTGGAGGTTTCTATGGAAATGTCCTAAAACTCAGAGATTTTATTCTCAGCCATGTCCAGTCTACAAATAAGTCTATCAAATGCATTCTTCATTTCTGTGACAATGTTTCTGATCTCTAGCATTTCTTTTTGGTTCTTTCTTAGAATTTCATCTCTCTACTTGCATTGTCCATCATTTCCTATAGACTCTTTTCGATTAAAGTCACTAGTATATTTGCCATCGTTGTTTTAAATTCTGTCCGATCATTCCAGCATCTCTGTGATATCACAGTCTGCTTTTGATGCTTGTTTTGCCTCTTCAAACTGTGTTATTTGCCTTTTAGTATGCTATTTAACCTTTTCTTGAGAGCCCCAAATAAAAGGAACTTCTGTAGCTAGGCCTTTAGTAATGTGGTGGTGTGGTGTGTAGGAGAGGAAGCATCCAATAGTCCTATGATTGGGTCTCAGTCTTCTAATGAGCCTCAGTCAGACCGTGAACTCCACACATGCTTCTGCCTCCCCCTCCCGCCTCATTGTCTTAGCTGGAAGAGTCTGGACTTGGCCTTTTCCTTCCTCCAGCTCAGTAAGGCTTTGATAAAATCCCAGTGGGTGAGGTTCTGGTAAAATAGTTTCTCCTGAGGGCAGATTTTGCTAAGAAGACTATAATTCTTTGGGCTATTTCAAAATGGTTTATTTTCCCCTCTCCATGAAGGAAGCATAAGGGAATTTTTCTATGCCACTTATTATGACAACAGGCTGAACTCCTGAAGGTAAAACTCACAAGAGTGTGGAAACCCCCATATGACTGAATGATATGGTTTGAATGTTTGTCTCCTGAAAATCTCGTGTTAAAATGTGATCTCCAATGTTGGAGGTGGGGCCTGGTGGGAGGTGTCTGGGTCACGGGGGCAGATTCCTCATGAATGGCATGGTGCCCTCCCCATAGTAATGAGTCCATGTGAAAGCTGATTATTTAAAAAAGCCTGGGACTTTCCCCTTCTCTCTTTTGCTCCCTCTCTTACCTGCCACGTGACATGCTGGCTCCCCTTTTGCCTTCCGCCATCATTGTAAGCTTCGTTAAGACTCTCATTAGAAGCAGAGGCTGGCATCACACTTCTTGTACAGCCTGCAGAACCGCCAGCCAATTAAACCTTTTGCCTTTATAAATTACCCAGTCTCAGGTATTCCTTTATAGCAATGCAAAACTGCCTAAGACACTGAGCCTCCCTGGAGTTTTTAATTCTCGGAGTTGTTCCCAGAGAGCCTCTAGCAGTTCATCAATTACGGTTCAGGTTTTCCTACCCTGGTACCGGTTCCCACGGAGGGTTCTGCTTGTGAGCTTCTGACCCAGCAAGTCATAATTCTCTGTATTCACCTATCTGTCTCTCTAATTTTGGGGACAGCAGTTTACCTTGTGATATCACTTCTCTTGTAGATCTAAAAAAGTTGCTTTTTCAGTGTGTTCAGCTTTTTACTTATTGTTAGGATAGAGTGACAACTTCCAAGCTTCTCTGATGCTGTACCAGCAACCAGAAAACTTCTCCAGTTTTTGTTTTTGATCGTATACCCAAATGTTTATCGATCGTACTCCTCTTTTCAAGACCCAAATTTGGTTTCATTGGTTCCCTCGTATTGTTTTTCTGTTCTCAATTTTATTGGTTTCTGCCATTATCCTTATCATTTCCTTTCTTCTGCTTGCTTTGTTCTTAATTTGAACCTTTCTCCTTTCCCACCTTCCAGTTTCTTATGGTAGGTGCTTTAATTGTTGATTTCAAAGCTTCCTTCCTTTCTGACAGAATTGTGGAAAGCTTTAAGTTTCCCTCAAAGCATGGCTTTAGTTGTATTCCACAGGTTTTTTTTTCCCATATATTTTTAAGTTCTTTTGTTAGGTTGGAACCACATAGAATTGGTATGTCTTCTCTGTGAATTGGCCTTTTTATCAATAAGCTGCTCATGAAATAAAATAAATTATATACTGACAATAAAACTGATTTACTTCAGGGACTATTTTTCATACATGACAGTGAATGAGTTTATTATTTATGAAAGCAATTTTTTTAAGTTGCTGAAATTTTAGTTTACTTATATTTACTTATATTTAGTTGTATATATTTAAAATATATAAATCTTGATTTTAACAGGTATAAATGTCAAAATTGAAACTTAGGAAACAGATATGGGAAATATACCAGTTATATTTTCAGTATACACCTTTGTGTCCCATAGCCCCTTGAGCATATCTCAATTATGAATTCTCTATTTGCTTATTTCTCTCTCTTTTTTTTTTTTTTTTGACGGAGTCTTGCTCTGTCGCCCAGGCTGGAGCGCGGTGGCGCGATCTCGGCTCACTGCAAGCTCCGCCTCCCGGGTTCACACCATTCTCCTGCCTCAGCCTCCCGAGTAGCTGGGATTACCCGCGCCTGCCACCACGCCCGGCTAATTTTTTGTATTTTTAGTAGAGATGGGGTTTCACCGTGTTAGCAAGGATGGTCTCGATCTCCTGACCTTGTGATCCGCCCGCCTCAGCCTCCCAAAGTGCTGGGATTACAGGCGTGAGCCATTGCGCCTGGCCTCTCTGTCTTCTTATACACATACTTGGGACAAAAACTGTGTCTTAATCTCTGATGCTCAGCCCAATAACTGATTCATAGAAGGTATTTAATAAAGTATAACTACATAAATGCATAATTAATTACTCAGGCTTTCCTCATTTTGCAGAAGACTTTATTTTAAATACTGAGCTCTCCTAAGACCTTTCTTTGAGTTTCATGTTATGATGTACCAGTCACCCCAGTCTGCTATTGTTTTAGCATTAAAAGTCTTGCCTCTCGGGTACAGTGGCTCATGCCTGTAATCCCAGACTTTGGGAGGCTGACGAGGGTGGATCACTTGAGGCCAGGAGTTTGAGACCAGCCTGGCCAATTCTGTCTCTATTAAAAATACAAAAATTAGTCAGGCGTTGTGGCGGGCACCTGTAGTCCCAGCTACTTAGGAGGCTGAAGCATGAGAATCGCTTGAACCCAGGAGGCAGAGGTTGCAGTGAGCTGAGTTGTGCCACTGCACTCCAGCCTGGGTGATAGAGTGAGACACACTGTCTCAAAAGAAAAAATTCTTGCCTCTCCGGAATGTAGCCCCTCAGTCCTGGGAAAACTGGGATGGTTAGTCACCTTATAGCTTCTCAAAGTGAATCTGAATGCTTAAAATGAGAACAAAATATTGTGACTTGAAATTATACTTTTAAAGTTGTAAGGCTGATGTCAGTTGGAATTAGTCAAATGAGTATAATTAAATCACGAAGTTCATTAACATGTTTTTTAAGCTGGGCACAGAGGTATTTTATAATGATTATACATTTCATTTTATTTTCCTGTGGAAATGTGTCCTTGCTTTGTAAAAAATAGCTTTTCAAGACTTGTTTTGGTTGACTCTTGATTCACAGGAGGTCGAGAAGGCAAAATTGAATTTTAAAATGCTGTTTCTCCTTGGCATTACACCCAACCAGATAAAAAGTAGAACACTGACTTAAGAAGCCAGCTGGGTGTCTGAATAATGCCACACAGCACATACTTGACAGAGTTACCTCCATTTTGTGTTAATCATTTCTAAGGAAAAAAAAAATAGGCTTAATTTCATTGGAGCAAACTGATAGAATAAAGTAACAGGTTTTTTTTTTTTTTTGACAGTGGTTATTCATAACCTCACTTTCCCTTCTATAAACCCCAATTTCAATACCTTCCTCTGTTTGTCAGCAAAGTGTTTTTCAATATTGCAACAGGATATTATGCAAATATAAATCACACTGGATTGGACTATTTCCTTAGCAGCAAAAGCAATGTTCTTGCTGGGATGATAAGTGTAAATGTCTCTAATTATCCTTTACTACACAGCAGTCTGAGGAAAAAATCAGGCTACAAATAGAAAAATGAGCTAGACTGTATATGTTGAAAAATAGATTGTTAATTTAATTCATAAAGAACAAAACAGTTAATTACTTTATAGGACAAACTTTCTTGGTCTTTTCTGATTTCAGATGTATATGTATGTGATATAATTATCTGTATCTTTCACATAGCTTACAGATTCCAACAAAATCATGATTCTTGCATAATTAAGAAACAATGCTGAGATAGAAAAGTCAGCCAGACACGGTGGCTCATGCCTATAATCCCAGTACTTTGGGAGGCCATGGCGGGTGGATCACCTGAAAGACTAGCCTGGCCAACATGGCGAAACCCTTTCTCTACTAAAAATACAAAAAATCAGCTGGGCGTGGTGGTGCATGCCTGTAGTCCCAGCTACTCAGGAGGCTGAGGCAGAAAAATTGCTTGAACCCGGGAAGCAGAGGTTGCAGTGAACCAAGATCATGCCACTGCACTCCAGCCTTGGAGACAAAGTGAGACTCAGTCTCAAAAAAAAAAAAAATAATAAATAAATAAAAAATAAGAAAAAGTCGTAAGTCAATACCATAGATGAGGCGCTGAGATGAACACCAATGCAGAATGACTGTAAATGTCATCTGTTTATTCTGCTTCTTTCTATTTTTAAATAAAAAGATGGAAGGTAAGATGTAATGCTTAGTTTCAAAATTTTAAAGAGATAATTGAAATGTACCTATTAGGTCCTTATATCTTCATGGATCTGTCAGTTTAAGGAAATGTTTTGGCAGTCAAGGCAAAATAAGGGATGCAGAAAACTATATGATGTGCTCATGTGTATTGTCCACTTCCACTGCAGTACGTATTTTGTTCTTTTTTCTAAGTACGAATAAGGAGATTTTGCTGACTTTTCAGAAGTAGCCAAAAACGTTTCCTTGTTCCTAAAATCATTAACAACAATAGCTAACATAGATCAAGTGCTTACTATATGCCAAGCTAACCATGTGTAGGAGGGACTTACTATTATTATACCAATTTTAGAAATTTAAACAACAAACAAAGAAACCCTCAGACTTCACTTAACTTGATTGTTCAGGGATTCACAGCTGGTAAATGGAAAAACCAGCTTTGAAGCTCCTGGTGCCTGAACAAAGCCCATGTGCTCTACCAAGTCCTCTCTACTAGGAAGGACTTCATATGCATCTATAGGAAGCTCTGTGTCCACATTTTATGCTGACACAGATCCTGAGACTGGTATAAGATTGGGATATTCTTTTCGTTTGTGAGCAGATTTATAATGTGTGTATTTTTCAAAAAAAGTCTTAACATTATCCCCAACTATCTCATATTAAATTATGGTGTCTCACACATGAGATAAATTTGTAACAGATTTCTCACTTATGCATAATTAACCAGCCTTTCACAAAATATTTATAGGTAGTTTAGTATAGAAAGAAAGACTTTAGGATCATTACCATCAGTAACTTAGATGGCTGTAGACAACCATTTGTCATTGACACCTAATACATCCTATCCTATAGATCATGAAATGTCCTACTTATTTTCTATCTAATCTCACTTGGTAACTGCACTGGTTCTTCCCACAACTTACTCTCTTACATGCACTGTTGCTTCTTATAGATTTATTTATAGGCACATAACATCCTTTCAGTCATTTCAGTTAAGTAGTCTCTATAAAAAATAAGTTGTGCTGAATTGCTTCAATAAACCTTAGCTACCTTGTGGTAGAGAGACCTTTTGGCTTCATAAGTTGGTCAAATTAATGACTTTAAAAAATCATATGAGTATGTGCTACATTCTAAGATTCTCTATAGTCTAAATTCTTTCTAGGATGATCGGAAGAAATCCAAGGTAGAATTGTACATCTGCAGGTAAGATTTGAGGTTTAGTCTGTAAATTATTTAATTTGTACCTCAGTGTTTTTGTTTTTTAACTCTTACTCTAAACAGTGTCTGTTTATTTGTTTTGGTTTTTTTCCCTTTTTAAAAAAATTTCTGGTTAAACCTGGAGTAAAATAAACATCCAAACAAACATCAGAGGTAGTGTGGGAGAGAAAAAAGTATAATAAATGCATTTAGTCTAATAGAAAGAAGAAAGTCAGACACAAAATAAGAAACGACTGAGCAAGGTTACATTGTATAGTTCCCTTTCTCCAATATGTAGCCACTAGCCAGATGTGGCTACTGAGCATTTGAATTATGGGTAATTTATTTATTTATTTTTAAATTTTATTTTTTGAGTTGAAGTCTTTCTCTGTCGCCCATGCTGGAGTGCAGTGGTGTGAACTTACTTCACTGAAACACCTGCCTCCCGGGTTCAAGTGATTCTCCTGCCTCAGCCTCCTGAGTAGCTGGGACTACAGGCGTGCGCCACTTTGCCTGGCTTATTTTTTGTATGTTTAGTAGAGACTGGGTTTCACCATGTTGGCCAGGCTGGTCTTGAACTCCCAACCTCAGGTGATCTGCCTGCCTCGACCTCCCAAAAAGCTCGGATTACTGGTGTGAGCCACCACGCCTGGCCGAATTATGGGTAATTTAAATTACTATGACATTGGGTTTTGAAGATTTATTATAGAAGAAAAAATGTTAATTATCTCATTAACAAATAACAGTAATTATTTACATTGATTTCACATCGAAAATATTTTGGATAATTTTGTTGAACATTTTTGAAGACTTCTTAAATATAAAACATTATAGCACATAGATGGCCAACATAATATTTCTGTTGAATGATGCTGATGTAAAGCAAGAGAAAAGAGATTTTTCAACCTTCATGATCAAAGAAAGCTTAACAGAGGAAATGCTGGAGAAGGACACTGTATAAGATGCCTGTGATACAGGAAGGAAAACCTCACTTCCGAGGACCCTTCACCGAATTGGAAAAACATACCCAAGTGAGTGTTTACATTTGGCTCTCTATCATGGTCCACCTTTGTTTTACAATAGTGATACAATTGATATTAAAGCTGAGCAAAGAGATTGGAAAAAGTAAAGGACAGAGGACAGAATCTTGGTAACAGCAATGATTTACATACTGTAACAGAGTATATATTTGTTCATAAGCCTTCATTCTCTCTCCAGGCTTGCCATGGTTTCCCAGGGGACACTGTATGCTTCCCTATTCCACTGACTTTAGGCTTGGCCATGTGACCAGCTTGACCAATGTGATGTGTACCAGTTCTGAGTGGCAGTTTTGAAAGACATGACCTATTTCTTTTTGCCCTTTTGTAGTCCTGTCATCCTGAGATGAACAGTTTCATCCTGCTCATCCTTAGATGAACAGATTCCAGATAATTGCGCTACTTCAGCTTAAATCTGGAATAATTGGATTCTGAATTGGATTGGACACATGGAACAGATATGAACCAAAGCCAACCCAGCCTCGTTGAGCCAGAGCCCACCTGCAGAATGTGAGCAGAAGAGAAATGTTTGAGAGATGCTCATTATGCAGCATTATTTCAACAAAACCTGACTAATACACATACACAATATGATTTATCTTCACAACAAGTTGATGAAGAAGGTACTGCTAGCCTCATTTCAAACAAGGAAAATGAGGTACAGAGAGATTAAAATACTCAAAGTCACACAGCTAATAAATGGTGGGAACCTGATTAGAACTCAAGAGATTCTGAGTCCAAATCTAGATAATATTGACCCTGAAATGAAACTGTAACTGCCCAGTGGGTTCACCTTGCTGGCTTCCTAGACAGAGCTGATTTCTCAAGACAGGGGCATTGCAATAGAGAAAACAGTAATTCACGCAGAGCTGGCTGTGTGGGAGACCAGAGTTTTATTTATTACTCAAAACAGTCTCCCTGAGCATTCTGGGATCAGAGTTTTTAAGAACAACTTGGTAGGTGGGGAAGCCAGTGAGCCAGGAGTGCTGACTGGTTAAGTAGGAGATGAAATAATGGTAAGTTGAAGCTGTCCTCTTGTGCTGAGTCAGTTCCTTAGTGGGGGCCACAAGATCATGAGCCAGTTTATAGATCTGGGTGGTGCCAGCTGATGCATCAAGTGCAGGGTCTGCACTGAGCTTAGGAGCAGTTTAGGGAGGATAAGAATCTTGTAGTCTCCAGCTGCGTAACTCCTAAACCATAATTTCTAATCTTGTGCCTAATTTATTAGTCCTACAAAAGCAGTCTAATCCCCAGGCAAGAAGAAGGTTTGTTTTGGGAAAGGGCTGTTATCATCTTTGTTTTAAACTGTGAACTAAGTTCCTCTCAAAGTTAGTTCAGCCTATGCCCAGGAATGAACAGGGACAATTTGGAGTTTAGAAGCAAGATGGAGCTGGTTAGGTCAGCTCAGTTATAATTATGTAATGGCAGTTTCAAAACTTACTTTTATTTTACACATAATGAACATAATTTTTATATTATACTGTAGAATATTTACTTGGGATTTGCATGTTTGCTTTGTTCTGAAAGTTATGGATTCTACTCAACCAAGGTATAAGTTTCTTGAAAGTTGGGTCCTAGCCTGATGCCACTTTGCATTCACTGCAGTATGGAGCTTAGCACTTATTTTGTGTGCTGTTGACTCGCAGAAAAGGTTTGAAGATTGACAGATTGATGCGATGACATTTTATCATATATTCACTATTCATATAACATAACAGACATCGTGATCGCCAAACAAATTAGTCTTTGTGTTTATGCTTAAGGGCTTAGTCTGAATAAGAATAGCTCTCCTCACCCTGGGCTCTTCCTCTCTCCTGTTTCCAGATCTGAGTAAAGAGATCTTAGTTGATGGCTTTGGTTCAGGACTCTTGGTTCATTCATGGCTTGTACTACCTGCTGTCCTCTGGAGGATCTGAGGGGCACTGTGTTTTGTGCTTTTGTGTAAGGAACAGCAAAAAGCATGCAAAGGCACAGCAACAGAGCTATATTTTAAAGAAATACAGATCCAGAATCCACTTATTTTAAAATTCTAAACAAATGAGCAGTAAATAATGTGATGAAAATGGGGCTTTCCTGCAACTAACACCATGGTTCCCTGTAGCCTTTGTCTCTAAGATATCAAACCTTTGAAGCAAAGAATTATTTCAGATGTTAGCACACTTTTTTTCCTCTTAAAATTATGGAATTCCCCATTCAAAAATTTGCCAAAATTGAAGAAACAGGTTAACTATCTATAGTTCAAAGAAAAATTATATTCTGGTAATTTTTTTCTTTATTATTTTTAAAATTATGGCAAACTGTGTAGTGATTATACCTTCACTGGTATTGTTTATTTCTCAAGCTACTACTCAGTGTCCTGCATTTCAGACTGAAGGATCTTTGTAGCATTTTTTATAGGGCAGGTCCATCAGCTACAAACACCCTGAGCTTTATTTATCTAGGAAAGACTAAATTCCTCCTTCCTCTTGGAAGGACAGTTTTACTGGATAAAGAATTCTTGATTGAAGTTTCTGTTGGTTTTTTTGTTTGTTTTGTTGTCCTTTCAGCACTTTTAGTATTCCATGTCTGTCCTTCATGATGAGAAATCAAACTGCTAATCTTAGTGAGCAGGTAATGTTTGCATTGACACACTTCAGACAGCCTGTCTTGTTAAAAATGTATTAAGGTGAAAATGAAGGAGACAGATAAAAGGAGTTACTGATAGAGAAACCAGGGTTTCATTGGATCATAGAATCTCTAGGCTAAAAGGAATGTGAAAGGTTATTTGTCCAACTGTAAACACATCAGACCAATCTGCTTCAACTGTTATGTAACAGAGTTGTGAGTTGTTTTTCAGTTGCCATGGACCCCTAGGTTGAAGACCACAGAAGCTAAGCATGCCCCAGTGAACCACGTATGCAACTCTGAGTAGAGCTTAAGTACTTGAACCAAGAAGCGGGGGCTGAATTAAGAAGCAGAGAACACATGGCAGGATCCAGAATTCAATCAGATTGAGCCCTGGTGTCACCCCATGGCAGGATACAGTCAGATCATGACTCCTAGCATCACCTCATTGCAAGATTCAATCAGATCACATCTCATTACCCTATGCTTATAAAACACAACCTAGTCCCAGCTCTGGGAGACAGATTTGAGCATTTCCTCCCATTTCCTTGTGAGTCGACTCACAGTAAGCTTTTCTCACTGCAAAAACCCAGTGCTTCAGTGTTTGGCTTTCCATTGTGCAGTCAAATGGATCCAGTTTGATTCAGTGACACAACCACTGTGACTAAAGGTATATGAACTTTCAAAATATACTCAAACGTTCTAGTGATATATTGAATAATTGTTAGGATTCAGGATGTAAATCTGAATTAGTTGTATATAAGGAAGATTGTACATTATCAGGATTTGATTACTTCTGCTTTGTAGGCTGCCAAATTTGTTTCAGGGCAACCAGTGAGAAAGTCTACAAAACCAGAAAATACCCATGGCATTCCTATCTTAACCAGAGCCATAGCAGACATCAGTAATCAACCACGGCATTTTCCCACAGAGCTCATATTTAGCTTTATAATCCTTCTCAAAACAGATTTTCCACCTTCCTACCACATCCCTAAGAGTTTATCTATAAAATGGAGAGTGACAATCTGTGGGCATTTGAGATCTCCCTACCACCCTCTCAGCCTCATATACACTTTTTCCCACTAGCAATGCAAGAGATCAGGTTGTGATGTTGGCTCTTAGATCCACCTGATTCGTCTCAAGCCTCCTTCCTTCCTTGTCGTGTATCTGCACTTACCAAAGAGCAAGGACTAATTCAGAATAGCACAGAAATCAATAGAGAAGTTGCCTATAATCATGTTTCTCATTATTTTCACATTTTATTAACCAATTTCTGTTTACCCTGAAAAATATGAGGGAAATATATGAAACAGGGAGGCAATGTTCAGATAATTGATCACAAGATATGATTTCTACATCAGATGCTCTTTCCTTTCCTGTTTATTTCCTTTTTATTTTGGTTGTGGGGTTGAATGTAATAGCTTTGTTTCAAGAGAGAGTTTTGGCAGTTTCTGTAGCTTCTGACACTGCTCATGTCTCCAGGCATCTATTTGCACTTTAGGAGGTGTCGTGGGAGACTGAGAGGTCTATTTTTTCCATATTTGGGCAACTAGATGGAGAGATAGCCCTAAGGAGAGAAACAGGTAAGCAGCAGAGATAGAGGAGAAGCTGCTAAATTTTATCTCCACCTAGCCAGCATCAAAGAGCTTAACCCTTTGACAACTTGTAGAGCACAAAGTATTTAACTGCATGGAGGATTCAGTACTCTCAGTATTTATAATTTCCAAGCAGAAATGTGGGGCAAGGTAGAGGCTATGATGAAGGCAGGATAGATAAAGAGTAGTTACACAGAAAATATTTTTCTTAAATTTGTACTCCACTTTTTTTTTCAATGGGATGCAAAAAGTACATGTGACTAAACACAGTATTGAATTTGTTTCTCTAAGATCCTAAACTT
The DNA here is from genome assembly GCF_000001405.40 of Homo sapiens. NCBI lineage: Eukaryota > Metazoa > Chordata > Mammalia > Primates > Hominidae > Homo > Homo sapiens. The sequence goes on from NC_000008.11 coordinate 40,291,056, forward strand.
TTCCAGAATAAATTTATATAGAGCAAATTTTTTTATCATAGCTATAGAAGGCATCTTAGAATTCATCTAAAGCAGTCCATTCAATTTTTCAGATAGGAGCCCAAGGCTTCCAATTAAATGATTTGCCTCAAATCACAGGGTTGTAGGCTGGCCTGAAACTGACTCCCAGATAGACTTTTCCAACTGTGACTTTTCATCTGAACAAGAGAAAATAAGACATAATATTTATGATTATTTACTCAAATCTCCCAAGGACAGTATATAGATATTACCACTGTAAAGAATAGGGGAGAAGTTAATTCATAATATTCAGTGATGCCTCAGGACCCTGGTTGAGAAAGCCTGTACTAGCACGTTATCACTATCTGGCTTCCACAAACTATTTGGGGACTGATTTATTACATGAAGGCCACAGCGAGTTTATAAGAGTTCTACAATTAAAGTGTAAAGCTTACTGATTTGGGCTGTTAGCAGATTTAGGGCTATGGAAACACAGCCTGTTTCATCTGTGACCTTGAGTTATGATTAATTTTAGATAAGCAGTGGATAATACATTTAAGGGAAATCACCTTTGAGCCACCTTGAAAAAGAAGCATAAATTTCACTTGTGTTCTAATTCGTTGTAATAATGGCTTTGCCATAAAATGTCTCCTAAATAGCTTGAGACTGAAAATGCTGGCTAATAAAAGCATATTGTGTGCTTATTAGAGAAGAGCAAAAATGCCACAAAATTGAACAGTTAACCTGCAAATAATTGTCAAGAACTTGCTTCCTAAAGGAATTTGCTCTTTCCCTGGGTGGTCATCCAAAACCAAAGGTGTATGGGAGCAGAAATCCCTTCCTCTTAGACCGTAGTGGTGATGCTTAAGGATCAGTCAGAGATAAACATAATCAGAAAAACACCCAGGAGCTGACTGACTGCAGGAGGCAGAATTCACTTGTGGTCGGGACCAGGCAGCAACTTAGATTCATCACTTTACGGACAAATGATGACTTATTTGTTATTTTTCTCGTAGTCTGTCCATGGATAATTAAATATTTGTAGGTGGAAGAAATAGTAGCACTCACTGAAAGGAATCCACCATCCTTTATGTATGATGCCACTATTACGGGAAGAGATGACCTTGATTTTTGATGCCCTCACCAATACAAGCTTTTAATTTAGAACTACTTGTTTTAACCCAAATGGCATGGCATGTTAGAAGGGCTCGGGTCCCCCATGAAGATATGCTATTGTGGAGTTTGATGGAACCTGAGTACATTTCAGGTCTAAGAATGCTGAGGCACTGGGCATTTCACTTGTCTGAAATGAGAAACTGAAACCAGGAATGAGGATCAAGGTCACAAAATTAGATCATAAGTCTGTGTAGTACAGTGGCTGTCACTCCTTTGCCAACCTCTGTAATAAAGGCTGAGAAAACCAACACATGGTGCCTTGCCCGCCCACTCTGCAGTGAGAGGTGAGCATGTCACACTGTTTTGATTAATGAAACAAAAAAAGAAAATGCTTAGAATTGGTTTTTGCTTTCCTAATTAGAAAATGTCAAAGGTGGCTGAATATGGCCCTTTCTTTTCTCACTGCCTTGAATGTGGAGGCAATGTTTTTGAAGAGGAAACAGACATCTATTATTCATGAAGGGAAGAACACAATGACAAAAGGCAATTTTCTTTTTTTTTTTTTTGGGACGGAGTCTCGCTCTGTCGCCCAGGCTGGAGTGCAGTGGCGCGATCTCGGCTCACTGCAAGCTCCGCCTCCCGGGTTCACGCCATTCTCCTGCCTCAGCCTCCCGAGTAGCTGGGACTACAGGCGCCCGCCACCACGCCCGGCTAATTTTTTGTATTTTTAGTAGAGGCGGGGTTTCACTGTGTTAGCCAGGATGGTCTCGATCTCCTGACCTCATGATCCGCCCGCCTCTGCCTCCCAAAGTGCTGGGATTACAGGCGTGAGCCACCGCACCCTGCCGACAAAAGGCAATTTTCAAAAGACAAAATAAGAAATCAAAGGAGAGTTTGAGCACTGGTCCCTAATAGAGTCACCGGTTAGGTAAACCAAAATGATCAACCACCTGCTTTAGGACTTTTTGTTAGGAGAGAAAAATGCATCCCAATTTGTTTGAGCCACTATAGTTAGCATATACTGTTATGTTCAGGCAATTGAAATCCTAGCTAATCCAGATAATTATGACAAAAACAGGAACCAGGAGCCAGTATCAGGAGGAATAAGGAAAGTCTGGTAACCGTAAATGGTGCATTGCTTTTGCTGTTTTCTCCTAATCCTATAGACTCGTACTTAAAATTTAACCAACTTGAGTATCTTTGCTCCCTTTTAGGAGCCTAACAGAAGAGAAGAGAATTATGTAAGCAGGTTGCAGTGGCTGCATCTTGCATGCTTTCTTTGGACTATAGCTAGTGTCTGAGCAAAGAAAAACATCCTCTTGCCTCTGTCCTCTCTTTGCCTTCTTCATAAGAGCCTCAGAAATCCTGTAAGAGTGGTTAAGTGAAGTGGGTAATCACACTGCTTTGTTTTACTTAGAGCCAAGAGGATCATTTATACCTCTTATCAGACCTTAAGAGCAGCTCTTTTGCTGAAAAGCTGGAGGCCTAGCAGGGAGGAAAATTATATAGAAATACATATAAACTATTTCCTGGGGATCACTGTGCAAAGTGTAGGATAAATGGAAAACATGTGACCTATGTAAAATTACCCTTCTGCTAGCCCCATCCCAGCAAGAAGCAGCTCACAAGAGAGACTGGCTCCCCACTAGGGACGTAAATGGGCTTTCCAGGTGATTCTGTGTCAGTCCTAAAGATTCTTGAGTAATCTGTTATAATGAAGCAAAATAAAAGCAGTTCATAATTTTTCATGCTCCAGTAAAAGAAATGCAAAAGCCCATTTTTTTTTTTTGAGATAGAGTTTTCCTCTGTTGCCCAGGCTAGAGTGCAGTGGTATGATCTCAGCTCACCACAACCTCCACCTCCTGGGTTCAATTGATTCTCCTGCCTCAGCCTCCCGAGTAGCCCAGACTCTAGGCTTGTTCTACCATGCCCAGCTAATTTTTGTATTTTTAGTAGAGATGGGGTTTTGCCATGTTGGCCAGGCTGGTCTTGAACTCCTGACCTCAGGTGATCCACCCTGTTCGGCCTCCCAAAGTGCTGGGATTACAGGCTTCAGACACTGCACTCAGTCCAAAAGTCCTATTTTTTAAAATCACAAATCTATGTCTTTAAAAGACCCTCTCTACCCACGCCCCTGCCACCACCCAAATCCAGGTACCCTTGTGGCTGAAATGTAATCTTTTGGTAACTCTCTTTTGTATTAGCCATTACCTTCCTCAAGACATCCTCTTTTAGTATCCAAAGACCCCTGGAGAAGTGAAAAGAGGGAAAGAGGAAGGAAAGAAGTTAATAACGTATGCAGGGCCCATAGTGAAACAAGTAGTGTAGTAAGAGCTTTATTAAACTGCGTACTGGTTGTGGTGCAGTGGGACAGATATGTGTGTATGTGTGTGTGGGTGGGGGTACACTGGGTGAGGAATGTGGGAGGGGAAGGATAGAAGAAGAGGGTCTGGCTGAGGTCATGTGGCAGGAGAGGTTGCAGTGTGAAGAGAGTCAGTAGGAAATGTGGAATGGGGGATACAGCAGGTATTGAGTGACAGAGGACGTTATTTATAGGACTCTATTGGGATGAGTAGATAAAGTCCCAGATCTGTAAGAAAAGAGACATTGACTGAGCATTAAAAAGGCTGAAAAAGAAAGAGAACAAAAACCGAGACAGTGTCAAAAACATGGACAAATGTTGGCATTTCCCTTTTACCTTGGGGGCAAGTCTTTATGAATTCCATGACTGGAGTCCAAAGGGCTCCCTCTGAATACCTCCAACACTTTTAAGGGAAACAGCAAACAAACAAACAAAATACATTAACATGCCTGGGAGCTCATCACTTTTGCTTGGCGGCAACCATCTTCACTCCCAAAGGGCCATGCTGTTGGGGATATTTAGCTAAGGAAACAAATCACCGTGGAATAGTTTCTGCTCCAGGAGAAACAGCGGTTATGAGCAGGATCAGTGTTAACTGTCAAAAGGCTTGAAAAATATCTTTTCTTAAATCCTACTCTGTGCTGACTTCACGGTATTCCCCTCCACCACCAAAAAAAGTTGAAAGAAGTGTTTTCACTAACACCCCACCAAGGAAACTAAAATTACAGTAGGCAAATAGCTGCAGAAGAAACACAAAAACACAAAGGATTTTAATGCAAAGCCCAAGTGTCTTCCATTGTTCCAAAGAAAACCATCAGAAATGCAAATATTAGGAGTTGTAGGGTTATAGGTCATAGCTGAGGTTAGTTAATCTTGGTAATAAAGAGGCGGTCACAAATCTTTTATTACCTCTGTGGAGCTTCAAGCCTTTTGTTTGTACTGTAGAGTCTGTCTTTGGAAATGGATCAACATGGGAAAAGGTAAGTCTTATGATACGGTTAGACTGCGTCCCCCACCCAAATCTCATCTTGAACTGTAACTCCCATAATTTCTATGTGTCATGGGAGAGCCTGATGGGTGGTAACTGAATCATGGGGGTGGGTCTTTCCTGTGCTGTTCTCGTGATAGTGAATAAGTCTCATGAGATCTGATGGTTTTATAATCGGGAGTTCCCTCACATATGCCCTCTTGCTGGCCCTCATGTAAGACGTGACTTTGTCCTCATTCACCTTCAGCCATGATTGTGAGGCTTCCCCAGCCATGTGGAACTGAGTCAATTAAACTTCTTTCTTTTATAAATTACCCAGTCTCAGGTATGTCTTTATTAGCAGCGTGAGAACAGACTAATACACCTTACTAAGTATTTTTCTAGTACTTATAAAACACCTTTTGTTTGTTTGTTTTTTCCTGCAACTCAGCTATGGAATTTACAAATCTTATCAGGGTAATGTTTAATTCTTTTCCTCTTAAGATAAAACATGAAACTATGTTTAGGAATCATGAACAAAATAATAATTATGAAGCATGAAATATTTGGATGACTTTGTTTTCGGCAGAGAATAGTATCTTTTAACTTTTAGGACTCTGAAAGACAGAAGAAAAAATGGAGACTTGCATATCTTCTAACATGTCTTTTTGCTCTTAGCTATTCATCCCCCAATCTTCTGGAGGCTGTATCCTATGTTATATGTTACAGAGAGAAAATAATCATGTAGAACAAATGTAATAACTTGAAATATAAAAGTGATTTATGATGAAGAAATTCTTTCATAGGAAACCATTCTCTCAGGAACTTTCCTGAAAGTCTCTGGGAATTTATGAAATGATTTTGCTGATGAAGCTTATTTTTAGCTGTACCCGATGGCAGTCTCCTTGCAAAAGAGATGGGGATTCTGTTTATGCTACAGAAATTGAAGTTCTGCACAGCAGTCAATAGAAAATAATGGATATCAGTTTCACAGCTGGAACTGCTGACTTGATCAGATTTTATAACTCTCTTCTCTGGGGGGTCTTTTTAATAAATCCATGGAGAGTGGTGTCATGTATTTAATGAGAAAGCTTCAGTGTTTTATTCTATACATAGAAATGAGTAACTAAAGGGAGCTTGACCACCTTACAGTAACTCACATTCCTAAATACATAAAAATTAATGAAAAAGAGACATGGGATGTTAGATCTTTATTTGATCTGGAAGGAGTTGTCTCTGTTTCTAGGACTTGAAGGGCACTCTGATTCCCATTTTTATCTGTCTTTTTTTTGTTGTTGTTGTTTTTGGAGATGGAGTTTCACTCTTGTTGCCCAGGCTGGAGTGCAATGGTGCAATCTCGGTTCACCACAACCTCCGCCTCCCAGGTTCAAGCGATTCTCCTGCCTCAGCCTCCCAAGTAGCTGGGGTTACAGGCATGTACCACCACACCCAGCTAATTTTATATTTTTGATAGAGATGGGGTTTCTCCATGTTGGTCAAGCTGGTCTCGAACTCCTGACCTCAGGTGATCCACCCACCTTGGCCTCCCAAAGTGCTGGGATTATGGGCATGAGCCACCACACCCAGCCTTTATCTGACTTTTTAAAAGCTTATATTGTTCATCTCTCTTCTCAGAAAGAAGTTAGCCAGATGTGTTGCTTTGGCCAAGGTGCATTCCCCTTTCACTTGCTCTTTGATTTGTCTTCTCCCTGACATCATTTGCATTGGGCAGGATCTGACTTAGGAAATCTCATCTAATTTTCTACCTTTACATCGGCAAATAATAAAAGCACCTACTTTCCAGACAAAATTGCCATAAGGATTAAATGGGATAATAAAAGGAAAGAATTTAGAGCAATGCCCAATGCATAGTATGTTCTTCAAAATGTTCACAACAAATCAGCAATCCAAGCCCTACTTGTTCTGCCCCATCTGATCAATTTGGAGAATGATGTTAGTAAAAGCAATCATTAAAGCAGATGTCTTCAATTCTTATAGGAAAAGGTTACTGTGAAATCCAGAGAAGAGAATACACTGCTATCCTTCCCTTTTTTAAAACTTAACTTTCCAGATTTCTCCTGGCGTGCTTCTCTGGCTGTGTATACATGAGAATCCTCTGGAAGATAGAGTTGGGGGTGGTGGACACTGTTAAAAAGGAGATTCTCAAGGTTTTCCCATTCTCAGGAGATTCTTGTTCAAACTTGAGATGAAGCTTAGGAAATTGCATTATCAACAACCTTCTCCACTCTGGAATTTCATGCAGGTGGTGCACAGACCTCACTTGGGGAAGCGCAGCCTTGGCATCTTGCTTAAGGCCTGCCATTAGGCTCACTGAGCTCATTGAAATGCTGCTAAATTTCATTGTATCAGCACATAGATAGGATGAGAACTCTCCACAGTTGAAAAAGTTCTTTAAAGAGATCTCAAAAACGTCTACCTTAGATGTGGACAGTTTTCAGTTCTGCCTAATTTTCCTAGAAGAATCACAAATGGAATACTTAAGTCATCATTTCCAAATCCATAGGTTTTCTTCCAAAATGCCCAGGTGGTGTCAACAACTCGCCAGAACCTACTGATCAGAGTTTTGCACCTGCTGGATTGGGTCCTGGGATAACTTCATCCTATAGAAAGCATTTGGATGCTCTAAGTTGATTCTTTTTGGCACCCACAACAGGTGTAGAAATGATTACAGGGTGTCTAACCATGTTTCTTATGTGGGAAATGACTCACAAATTATTCCTTCCACATGCTCCTCTTTTATGCCTGCCTCTCTAAAAGAAGATTTTCACCTCTTTATAGGGCAACAGATTAAAAATGAACATGCCTGGGTCTGTTGAGTTTTCAGCCTCTGAAGTGCTAGGGGGGAGTGGAGTCCAGGATGTATTACTGGTTCCCTCAGTCATAGAGACCATCTACTACTTCTCCAGCTTCTGGGGGGATCTTTTACATTTTTTTCATAGTGGAGATAAAACTGCCTTCTCTTCTCATTCAACAAAAAGTATAATCAATTGAAAATCTTTCTTGGAGATACGCTGCCAGCTCATAAAATATAAAATATGGCAAGTAACCCTCCTCTCCATATGCACTGTCAACTCCCATAAGCAATAAAGGCACTTAGACTTTTGCACTGCAGGAGAACAGCACCATATGTATTTAAACTGTAAGGAGAAAGGGAAGAGAAATCACTGCTGTGATCTTTGCAATGTTTCATTTTCTGTTCATTTTTTATTTATTCATGTCATCATATAGGTTTCTAAATACAGAAGCATCGCATCTCCTGTGTGACATCTTCCCCGTGGTAAATCTAATTAAACTGCCATTAAAGTCTGTGTTCACTCGATTATGCCAAGGTGACCGCAGCAGCTACTAAATGTTAACAGTATCTTTCTTTGCTCACTGCCGAGCATTTAGGGAGAAACCAGTAGCAGTAGTTTTTATAGAAATAGATTTTAACAAGTATTTTTTCTTTCTTTTTTACAATAAATATTTGCTGATTTTGAAATCAGTAGAGACAATGAATTCTAACAGGGAAAAATGATATATTTAGGAAACTTTCTTATATTTAATAGAGTTTGATGGACAGTTGAAGCCAATGTTTTTTTCTGGCTTTAGATTAAGTGCTCAAGCCTGTATTTTGAAGATATCCTTGTCTTGGTACCTTCTTTTCCAGGCCTGTTTGCCTGTCACTGATAGCACTGCTCCTGGCTTTTGAAAATAGCAAATATGCTTTCACCATCACGTTTTTGTTCATGCTCATTTCCATTCTTTATTTTTTATCTTAATCCCACTCATCTTCAAGACTAAGCTTGAAATGAAGCTTGTCTTGGCCTCGGCAACCCAAAGGAATTTTTCCTTCCTCTTAACTCATTTGACAACCCACGGGATCCTTGTCACAGTTCATCTTGCATTGTCACTCATCATCTGTTCATCAAAAGCATTGTCCGGGCCACTGACCTGAGGAAGAAACAAGGGATTTGATCATTCCTGTGCAAGTACTTTTTCCATTGCAACGGCGTGCTGTTTTCTTCACAGATAACTGGAACATAAGAGTTTTTACTAAAGTCTGGACTCCCCCAGAAACCAAGCGGGCTGGGGTTTTTCAGCAGCAGGCCTTCTTCCTCTGGTTATTCTCAGTTATTATTATTATTCTGAGACAGGTTCTCACTCTGTTGCCCAGGCCCAGATTGTGGCACAATCTCTGCTCACTGCAACCTCTGTCTCCAGGGTTCAAGTGATTCTCGTGCCTCAGCACCCCCAGTAACTGGGACTACAGGCTCACGCCACCATGCCCAGCTAATTTTTGTATTTTTTAGTAGAGACGGGGTATCACCATGTTGGCCAGGATGGTCTCAAACTCTTGACCTTAGATGATCCGCCTGCCTCGGCCTTCCAAAATGCTGGGATTAGGTTATTTTCTTTTTTAACCTTCATTGTCACTTCTCTATTATTGTCATGTTGGGGCTCTACCTTCACTGTGCTGCTCTGAACCAGCAGGCTCTTATCCTCCATGACCCTTTGCTCCACTCCCAACGCATGCACACAGATGCGCGTGCATACACACACACACACACACACAAAGTGCTGCAGGCCCTCCTGACACAATGTCCGCTCTGTCACAGCTCCTGCCCACCCTGGCAGTCCCCTCCCTCGGGATGCAGGGCACACAGGGCCTGTGGATCACCGGAGAGGCCGCTGCTAAACTTGCTCTCAGCCCGTTTCTTCTCTGAGCATCACTGCACTTCCTTGCCCCTGCTCTTGAGATACTGCTCAGGCTCAGTTCTGTTCCTCTTCTTGAATACCTTGGATACTTGCTGAGCTAGACAGAGAAGCATGGGTTTCTTCCTCTTCCCTCTTTGTCCTTCCCTTCTCTTTTTTGAGCAGTTTTTCTTTTAATCTATCCCTACCCCACAGCTAGATTTCCTTCCACCTGGATGTGAAGATTCAAGCATATGTCTGTGGCCCCAGGGATGGCAGGAAGAAAGGTTATGTGGAAAAAAATTTATCTCAACAATTAACTTACCCACTTAGCTCTGTGGAAGTCCCTGGGTCTACTGGACTCTAAATAAATATGAGTTCAAGTCAATTATTTCAAAGCTCTCTTGCCCAGATAGCAATTAGAGCTACTATTTATCCAGCTTCTATTAGGCTGCCGGCTTCTTTCCTTGAATTATGTCTTAAATACTTACAGCATTACCATGGAGCAGGTATCTCTATTTTCCGTGTTACAGGTAATGAAACTGAGATGCAGAGAAAGGAAGTCACTTTCCCTAGCCACTCAGTTACTAAGAGTCAGAGGAGGGATTCACATCCAGGTCTGATTCCATAGTACACAGGATGTGCTTGCTTCTCAGTGAAGAACAAAATCTCTAGGAAAGTTTAAATTTGTAACTCTCAGTTTACAAGGCCAGGAGATACTACCCAGCTATTTGCACACTTTGACCAAAATGTTAACTGTAACAGAAAGGAGAGGTGTTTTACTGTAGATTAGCATATATATTTATTTATTTGAAAATTACTTGCATATTTTGGAAAACCTAAGCCATACTGAGATGTTTCCTTCTCTGAGTCCCAGATTTGAGTTTTTATCCATAGATCTGGCTTTTGACCCAGATACATGGAGTATGCCACTGCCTCCAACAGTTTAAATTGAAATATATCTCTCCTAGGTAGGTAATTTGTCAGCTGAAGGTTAATGACAGTGAAATGCTAATGATCAAATGGCAATTAAATGTATCATATTTTTAAACCAAACTCCCTTAAGAAGCATTACTGTATAATTACACTCTAGGAAACCTGCGTCATCTACTAAATTAATGCCAGGGAAACCTTCCTTCTTAGCAGCAGCATGTTTGTCTTCTATCTTTCTTGATTTGATTTTACAAGTTTCATAAATCATTTAGCAGCTGCAATTGTTGTCAAAATGTTTTGGTTTCAAATGTAAACATTTATAACTATTGTTTTATTTCCCAAAACAAAGAGGAAGAACTGTGTTGAAAACAGCAACTAGAACTTCCCAGGCTTTTAGCTTAACTGGAGCTGAGCTGCCATTGCAGGACTGGGTCCTCTTGAAAGCCCTATCCCAAGGCTTCCTTGAGAATTCATGGTGGTCTTTGCCAGATGGCACATGCCAGGTCAAAAGCTGGAGCGCCCATTAGAGATCAAGGATTTCTGACCCTAACTGAATTGGACGGACCTAGTCCAGCTCTGACAGTACCCTTAATAAATGGTCTTCAAATGAAAGACACAAGAGCGTTCTTTCAAGGCATTTTACTTTCCAAGAGTTTCAAGGACGTTGAGGATTATTATCATTCCAGTGTTACAATGGAACAGGATTCATACGGGAAAGACACTCAAGAAACAAACAGGCTCATACTGGACCTTCATTTTTGTTGCTCTCCCAAAGTCTCTCTCCCAGCTGGGACACTTGACTGAGGAGGTGCCCTTGTCAAAGGCAAGCTGTGACAATGCAAAGTAGTCACCGGCTCTAAGTGTCCCTCCTGCCACCTTCATACAAATCAATACATTAAGACGAATTAATTCACTCAGATTTGTCTGAAAAGTTTGTTTCAAAAAGAATCCAAAGTGACTTGTAATGGAAGTGTACAAATTACAATGATCATTTAAAAAATGAAAACTATAGATGGGAAGTAGAGAAATTGATGTATGTAGGCTAATATGGCTACTATATATGCGCATTAAATGTTATTTTAAGCTTCCAGAAGGCTCAGAAGAAGAATCACAATGTCATGCCAGTATTCATGTCATCACTTTTAATAGTAAAAGCAACATAAAGAGGTTTTTAAAAAAATTTTGAAGATGAGAAAAGCATAATTCCCTAGACTTTAAAAGATATATTTTCCTTCTTTTTTCATATTCCATTTGTCTTTATTTTTGTGAAAATGGCCTTATATTGTTCTTTTCATGTTATTTATAAAATTTCATATTCTTTTTCTTCTCTCTTCTTCAAAATCCATGTAACCATATGTCAGATGAATTTTGACAGAACCTAGATGACCAAGAGTTCAATATTACCCCTAAGGAATGCCTGGGTGTGTTTAGTATGTAGCATGGAAGCAGGGGCAGGGGCAGCTCTGGGCTCTCTGGTTAGAGCTGTGGTCTCTGACCTGAATAGGTCACTAAGTCCTTTGAGGCTTAACAGAACTAGGGAAATTCTCTCTAGAAAATGTGCAATTACACAATCACAGATTTTTTTGTTTCATGCAATTTTAGGAAATTGTAGAGCCAAGACTGAAGGTCTTAGGTACAGAATTAGCTGCAGTGGGGCCTACAAACAGACTGAAATTCTTCTCAAGGCACTGCTCAAAAATAATAGGTAAGACCAGAGATAACTCTTGGGACAGCAGAAAGGGTGACCCTTAGGCCCAATGCTTTGGGTGTCAAGATGCAATGACTAGAGATATTCTCGAACTGTGGGTCTCAAATGTTTGGGTTTTAGGACTTCTTTACACTCTTTAAAATTACTGAGAACCCCAAAAAGGTTTTGTTGATATGGGTTATATCCATCAATATTTACCATATTAGAAATTAAAGCTGAAAAAAAATTTAAATGTTTACTTATTTAACATAATAGTAAATTCATGTTAACATAAATAAATAACATGTCTTAATGAAAAAATAACTTTTTCAAAAATGTTGAGAAAGTGGCATTGTCTTACATGTGTACAAATCTTTTTAATGTCTATGTTAATAGAAGACAGTTGGATGCTTATATGTGCTTCTGCATTCAATCTGTTGTGTTATGTTGTTTTGATTGAAGAAAATCCAGCCTCACAGTGACATGTAGTCAGAAAAAGGAGGGGTATATTAGCAATATTTTCAGATAATTTAGAATATTCCTCTTTGATACTACCCTCAAAATGTGACAAATGGTAGTTTCTTAAAAGTAAGTTACCAGTGGTTAATGACAGTGCAGTGTGAAAGAATTTAAATGCACTTTTTTCTTCACTCCATTATATTAAAATACATTGCTCATCTTGGACTTTCAATGCTTATTTTACCCAGAAATAGTTTTGACCTCTCAGACCTTCTGAAAAAGTCCCTGAGACTGGAGGCCTACAGAGATACAATCCCACAGCAAGCACTCTTTCCCTTCAGCATATGCACGCAGCAAGTTCTACTTCTGTGATGAATACGCAGAAAGGACAGAGCGATTGTCCTCACGGTCTTTAGCCCCACAGCTGTGGCTGCGCAAGTCCTAGAGGGAATGGGACAGGGTCAGAGACATGGTTTGGGGTGAAGAAGAGAGAGAGGGAAAAGAAAACGAGAAAGAAGTCATATTTAAGGATCAACCATACCAGAAGGGACTCTGCCTTGAATGTGTATGTTGGTGTGTTTTCCTGGGGATGAAGGTGCAGGTGTCATGACAAGTGGGACACAGTTTTGAGAGAGAAGCACTAACAGCAGAGTGTGCCTAATGCCAATCTGGGTGGGAAATGCTACACAGAGTTAAAAGAAATTCTTACAACTATTTTATCTGTCCCAACTCTCAGTTATTTGCAAGGCAATGGGATAATTATTAGAACAATAACACTACTATACTACCTAGTTAAAAGTTAAGCAAAGCTGTTCCAACCAGATTTAGATTTTTTCTGCCATGAAAATTCCTTTTGTTCTTAAACATTTGAAAAAAATACTTGGGTTGATAGTCTCTTTTGAAGACAGGGCAATCCCTAATTTCAACAAATTAATTCAGCACTGGCATTTTCTCTTTCCTAGATGTAGTTGCAATACTGGATTTTCAAATCTGGTCTTATAGAATCTGGAAGGTTTTCATCCCATTACACTTAGTAACAATAACAAATCTCTGAAGAGATAATAGGAAGCTTGAGCCCTTCTTGTCAGATTATTTTTTAAAAGATTCCTTTAGGAGAGTCTTACCCATCAGTCACAGAAGACAGGGTGGTGACTGAGCTAATCAGAAACCAGGTATTATGTGGATTGAGAACGCCTGATTCAATGTTCCTGCTCCAGACCCACTTCTGTGCTTCTGCATCATTTTATTCCAATAAATTAACCCCTCTCAACATCAACACAGATCAGGCCTGGCCAGGAAGTCCCTGGATTTTTAGAGCTGAGATCCCTAGTCTTGAAGTGGCCTTGTTACTTGTTTTTTTTTTTTAATTCTTTTAACATGAAAAAAAATTTTTATAGAGACAGGGGTCTTACTATGTTGCCCAGGCTGGTCTTGCACTCTTGGCATCAAGAGATCCTCCCACTGTGTTGGAATTACAGGTGTATGCCACTGCGCCTGGCCAGGTTACTTCTGTAAAAGAAAAGCTGTTTTCACAATGAGGCTGATGATAATTTTTGCCAAAGGCTCCTGAGGCAGAACTATTTATTAGTATGAAATTCAGGTTAAAGGAAAAACCTATTGTGAGATGGTAACTACAGCCACATCCATAGTGTAAAGAATCTCAGTGTGTGTCGCGTAGGTGGCGTTATGACTTTGCCTACAAATGCCGCACTCTAGCTCCAGGAGACAGGAGGACCCAGGCTGGGTACACTGCAGGCTCAGTTCTGATTGGTGGGAAAGTGGAACACAGTCGGTCTCTTGAGATTTAAGCACCTTACTCACTCAGCTCACCATCCCTTCACTTTTCAAGGAATGGGGTACTAGCTACTGGCACTTTATATACAAATGAACTACTTCAAATTCCTCTCCAGTACCTTCCATATCCCTGTTATGCAACTAATTTCCCCAAAGGAAACATAGCTTGAAGTGTCTGGGGCACCTGAAGAAACAAGACAGAAAAGCACATTCCATGTGAAAGCCAAGCTGGCTCCTGTTCAGCAGCACCCAGGCGCAGGGAAATCTTGTGTTTCTTCCAGATGGCTCCAGGCTCCAGGCTCCAGGGACACATTTTTGGTCTCTGCCTCTGTTGAGTTCTCCTGTATTTTTACTGTTAATGACTCAAGGAGGGGGCAGGGGGTGATGTGTTGGCAAAAAGCATGATGATAAATCCTGCTGAGGCACCTTTTCTGGAAAGAGCGGGCAGCTGTCTTCTGCTTCATATTCCAGGCATGCCTGGTACCTGTGCTTTTCTCGCTTTCCCAGTTCCCTGGTGGGAAGGAGTTGGCGGCATATGCAGGGTTCCAAAACACCTTAATGAGAAGAATGCTATTGCAGGGCAATCATTATTGTGAACATCTGTGAACTGTAGCTTTTAATTGAGCTACAGCTAATGTTTATTGTGTGTAGAAAGAGTAGGGGATTAATGGTGGTTTGATTGTCTTTAGATGGTTTCTTATTATCTTTTCCTTTCTCTTGTGATGTTTTGGCAGAAGTTACAGAGAGGATTCTAAGCCCCAAGACCAGGCATCCAAATTGTCCAGAAGTCTTTGGATTTATAAACAAAGCAGTGAGTGGAGTGGGGTTGTTCTTGCAGCCTTCCTTAGGAATATATAGTATACAATTTAGAAGCTGGTAGAAAAGCAGGTAATGAGTTAAGAAAAAAGACTCCTGCCGCTATAGCAAAGACAGACTTTTAGGAAAATTTATTATAATTCTCCAAGTAATATCAACTTAATACTTTTATTTCCAAATAAAAGTATACTTTTTTTTTTTTTTTTTGAGCGCTCTGTCGCCCAGGCTGGAGTGCAGTGGCGCAATCTCGGCTCACTGTAAGCTCCACCTCCTGGGTTCACGCCATTCTCCTGCCTCAGCCTCCCGAGTAGCTGGGACCACAGGCACCCGCCACTACACCCAGCTAATTTTTTTTTTAGTAGAGATGGGGTTTCACCCGTGTTAGCCAGGATGGTCTTGATCTCCTGACCTCGTCATCTGCCCGCTTCGGCCTCCCAAAGTACTGGGATTACAGGCAAATGAAAGTATACTTTTATATTCATTTCCCCAGTTCAATTCAGTTTGTTTCTGATCAGAACTGGGGAAATGAAAACATGTGAAGGATTTTTTTGGACTAAATGACAAGGCTCAAAAAATTTTTTTGAGACAAAATAATAAATTATCCTAATTTATTTGTTTGTTTGTTTATTTATTTATTTATTTATTTATTTATTTATTTATTTTATGGAGATGGAGTCTCGCTCTTGTCGCCCAGGCTGGAGTGCAATGGCATGATCTTGGCTCACTGCAACCTCCACCTCCTGGGTTCCCGAGTAGCTGGGATTACAGGCAGGTGCCACCATGTCCAGCTAATTTTTGTCTTTTTAGTAGACGTGGGGTTTCACCATGTTGGCCAGGCTGGTCTTGAATTCCTGACCTAGGTGATCTGCTCGCCTCAGCCTCCCAAAGTGTTGGGATTACAAGCGTGAGCCTCCGTGCCTGGCCTATTTATTTTTGACAAAGCTGAATACAGATAAAGTATCCATGATCTTGGCTTCCTCTGGGTCCTTCTTCTTCTGCTGTCCTCCGGGTTTGCAGAATGCCATTCTCTGTATTCCTCTGTCCCTGACAAATGTCTCAAGCCTTAATCCCACAGAACAGGCTTTTCCTACTACCCTGACCCATACTGAATCCTTTGTGTGTCTTAAACTTGGAGCTCAGGAGAACAATTTCCGAGTTGCTTTTCAGTAAGAGCATTCCATCCATCTGACATTTTAACTTCATTTTCATAAGGAATTTGGGTGTATATAAATGTTCCAGTTCTATATGGGAGGCTACTCCTCTGTGACATCAACTTCTGTTCACAGCTGCAGAGAAAGAAATTTCAGTGTTCTTGGCAGTTAATCTTCTAAGAGCTACCTTTTGGAAGAAGTCTGTGGAAAATATGCCTACAGACATGTGCATGAGACTTTGCTTCTTGCCAGGTGAAAAATACCCTGCAAGGAGTATGCCAAGGTAAACAGCTCTGCACAGGGTTAAAAGGCCTGGTTAACATCAGCATCTTGCTCTCATAAGTTGTTGGGAGCAGTGGGCCTCCATCCACATCCATGGCAGCCCTAATTCAGGCCCTTCAGATCATCGCTGTCTTCCTCCTCCAGGTATTTCCTGTAGATCAGAAATAGCACCTTTCTCAGTGAGGCCTGGTGATGCCTCCATGTTTCATCCCAATCAGAGGACACTCAAACAAAAAGAAAAATAAGAGAAAATCCTTTAGGATTAAATCCCTTTGGTCAAACTACATATTTTTTCCTTTTGTCCTAGCAAGCAACTTTCTTAGAAAAACCTGAAAGAGAAAAAATTGCTGAAAAAGACATATGTGATTGAAATTAGCTTTTATCTTCAGGATGCCACTGGATTGCACATGGGATAATGAATTAAATGAAGTAGAAACCATGGCCTGAGCTGGAAATGTGCTTTGTGCCTAATGTAATTAATCTCTATTGGAACAGCTAAGTCATTTAATTCGTGTTGCATGAATAATGAAATGAAAGGGGCACGTATGAATTAACTTCTTAACCAGCAGAGAAGATGCAACCTCCAGGTTTGTAAATTGATTGGGATTTTCCTTACAACTCTTTAGGTCTACGTTTATCAGCTGCAGTTTCTTTCTCCCTTGGTTGGTCAAAGATTGATCTTGCTTTTTTCGCCATTTCCATTTTGTCTAGACATTTTGCAAATCTACATCAGAGGGACATTTTTAGACTGTGATCTAAAGGGTGTGTGTATAATCCAGAAAGCTACTAGCTGCATAGTCTTTTCTTACAAAGTATTTAGCCTTCACCTTTCAAGATTTCCTTCCTCTCAATATTTGGAGAGGACAGAAGGATAGATATTCTAATACTATTTTCATATTGGTCTGTGCTTTTGAGATCACCATGCTCCTTTGAAAATACTGCCGGGCGCCCTGGCCTCTGTAGAATAGCAGTGCCAGGGAGGCCTTTATCTCCTGATGGCTCATACTAAGCATAGAAATCTGGGCCCACCCCCTTAAATTCCTTTAGCTTTTGACACAATTGTACTAAAGACTTAGTAATAGCACATGAAGGCTAAACAGCTGACCTTGGAACAACACAAGTTTTAATTACATGGGTCCACTTATATGCAGATTCTCTTTCATCTCTGCCACCCCTGAGACAGCAAGACCAACTTCTCCTCTTCCTCCTCCTCCTCCTCCTCAGCCTACTCAAGATGATGAGGATGAAGACCTTTATGATGATCCACTTCCACTTAATGAATAGTGAATATGTTTTCTTTTCCTTATGTTTTTCTTAATAACATTTTTCCCTAGCCTACTTTAATGTAAGAATACAGTATATAATACATACAACATTTTTAAAAAAAATGTTAATCGACTATGTTATTGTTAAGGCTTCCAGTCAATCATAGGTTATTAGTAGTTATGTTTTTGAAAAAAGATATGCATGGATTTTTGACTGCATGGGAGATCAGTGCTCCTAACCTTTCCATTGTTCAAAAGTCGACTGTAAATAAGAGCTTAGTGCTAAATACCGTGGAACCTGCCTACTGTGCTCCTCCACCAATTCTCCTGATGCTATTTCCTTTTCTTAGCCTCCCACCATGTTGCCAGCACTAGTCCCAACATATCCTGTGTCCAAATATTTGGGCAGAGGTGGGAGGATCAGGAGCTGAATAATATTTCTCAAAAACAAATAAGAATTTTCTGGGACAATTCAATCTAAATTCATATTTAGAAATTTAGAGAAAAGGTTATCTGAAAGGACACTGTTAATGTTTGTAACTTATATAGAAATATGCCCTTTTAGATAACCTTTGTTTCTTCTAGCCATCCATCTCTTTTCTCGCCTTTTTCTTCCGTCATTACCAAGACAAACAGACTCACTCACTGCTGAATCAGTGAACAGAACAGAGCTCTGACTACCACAGTCTAGAAAAAGAATAATCTTAAAATGAAAGCAATAGAGGTCAGAGGCAAAAAACAAACAAACAAAACTGAGAAAAGGGGAAGAATTTTGTGAATAATTTTATAAGCACAAGTAAAATTGCTATCCATTATAGTTCCAGAGTACAAGTTATTGAGTGGCTTTAGCTAAATAAAGAAAGCAACGTTTGAAGGTATAATCTGTCAGCATTAGTCAGAAATCTGCATTCTAGCTGAAAGAGATTTTTTGCTTGGCTAAACTTTAGTCAACTTTCCGAAACTTCCCCTAGGCCCATCTGTGCACTTCCTGGTAAAATCTAGTTTTAGCAAAATGACCCTGCTAAGTCAGTTTAGCCAGAACCCCCTATCCTTGATATCTGATCATCCTCGATATCTGATCAGGTTCTTCATCCTTCACCTTCTGTCTTCAGCAAGAATCCTGTTATGTTGGTTTAGCCAGAATCCCCCTTATCCCTCATGTTTCCTCTTGGTAATTTTCCATGCGCTGACTTCCACACTGCTCCTTGGCTATCAATTCCCACTTGCTTATGCTGTATTGGGAGTTGAGCCTGATGTTTCTCCTCTATTGCAAGACCTCCTTGCAGAGGCTTCTGTACATATGGCAACAGCTATGAATAAATTCTTCCCTACTGGGCTTTAACAGGTATCACTGAATAATTTTTTTCTTTAAGAGTTACTATGCTGTGACTTGGTTAAGATCAAATTCATTATTGGACCCCCAGGCTTCTTACTCAGGACCCTAAAAGTGTACCTTTGAAGCCTTTGTCCTCACTCCTAACTGATTGATTAGAGATTCACTAGTGAGTCAGGCTCCTGAACCATTGCTCCAGACAAATGCCCTTGAAGTTGGTCAGGACAGATTTTGATCCTTAAGTTATGAGTATGTGTATTTGATCCTTAAGGTACGAGTATGTGCTCTGAAGCCAGGCTTCATGTGAAAGCTTTCCCCTGGCTGGAAGGTCATTTTTCTGGCTCCTTGTTCTGATTTGGGATTATTTCCTGATTCCCTGGGCTGGAAGTCCTTCTTCCTAGCTGGCTGTGAGGCCACTCTATTCCCTCTGTTCTCTCTATTGGATCCTGCTTCTCCCATGGGTACATCTCTGTCATGCAAAGCCTTTCTTTTGAACCCCTACTGATGACATGCTCTGCCAACTCTGTCTACTCCTTGTTATGATTTTGCCTTCCAGTTCTCTTGAATCCTTTGGCATGTCCCACTTCAAGCCCCTACCTCCTCCATCTCTCCATCCACCCCTACCAGATCATTTCTTTACCCACTCCAGCCCCTCAGATCGTTGAACTTAAGGCCCTCCTTTCCTCCATTGTGGGCTTTCAAGGGACTCAGGGTCCCTCTCATAAACATCTAAGACTAAAAAGAGAAGGAAACTGGGAAAATTAAAAATATTAAAAGGCTTCTTCACAAATGTTGGTAAAAAAGCTTTAGCCTTTATTGAGTAGGTAACTTCAACCTGTGCCATTTTCATCAGAAACACAGTTTGGATAAAAACATAAGTGAAGACGAACCAGTGAGTTTACATTATTGTGGTTTACTGCCTCATGACTGAAATTTTTAAAATAAAAAGCCATGAGATTTCATTGCATCTATCTGTATGTTTATGTATATGTATATATGTATCTTTGTATCTTATGTAGATGTGATATTTTTCTACCTACAATTGTATTACCAAATGAAAATACTCAAATTGATTTAGGGATAAGTGAGTGCTTAAACAAATTAAGTATTCATCAAATTCTCAGAAACGTAGAAACTGACCTATTTTTTTTTAATGTTCATGTGATACGGAGTAATGTTTGGTAAATAAAAGCTAATTTTAAAATTGTTGGTAAAATAAAATAGGAATGTCTTTAGAATTAATAGTATTAAATATAATACAGACATACATTTTTACCTGGGTTTGTTGGTCAAATAGGTTTGTATTGTATCTGCTAGATGATTAAGGCCATAAAACCATGAATTCAACCTAAAATCAGAATGCACAATAAAAATGAATTGTTTAATTGCTTGATGCATGTAAGTTGCAAAAGAAAAATAAAGAAAAAAATGAGGTTGTAAAAGGGTGAAAATCTTCTCTTCTGTGGGTAAAGCTGATTGAGATCAGATAGACTCATTTATAGTATTTTATTAAAAATTGTTTTTGTAGTACATTGATGCAAAAGTAAAATTTGGTCTTCTCTGTTAAGATAACAAGGTTATTTTGGAGTATTGGTCTAAGAATGTGAGGTTTTTTTGTTTGTTTGTTTTAAGGAATTGGCCTCGGAAACAAAGATTTTGTGTTTTATCAAGATAGCTTCTTGTGTATAATGTTGTCTTCTATTTAGTGTTTGATTACTTAAGAAAACTGAGTCTTCTCAACATTAAAAGTCTTCTTAACGTTAAAAGAATTAAATTTTTGTTCACAACTGTGAACCCTTCTGTATTTGCCTTTAAAACCTTTTATTGTCATTTTGATTAATTAGGTAACCAAGATCATATTTAATTGTTTTAAATTTTTTGACATTTTTGACAAACTTCCCAAAATCTAATTCTAAATTAAGTCTTTTTAACCTTGAATTAACTTTGAGGTTTTTCAATTAGGCCCCTGAGAAGATCAAATGATGTGTCTCTAAGCTTGTAAAAGAGAGATATTAAACAATTAAACATATTTATTATATTAAATTATATAAAAAGCATTGTCAAATAAGTGGTGCTAAACCTTTTTAAAGCTATATTTATGGGTGTATTATTGATATCAGTGTTCCAAAATTGTATTTGATTCCTAGATATATATTAGTGATAATTTTGGTTATTATGTTCAGATGTATGCCACAGAAATAGCCAAATTTTTTTGTCAGTTGCATCATTATTATAATGAACTCGTTAGATTTTAACCATAGACATTTTAAGTCTTTTTCTTTCATAGAAGGTTATTGTTTCACTTTAATTTTTCTCTAAAAGCATTTGCAATTAGCTATAGTCCAAAATGCTTCTTCTTCAAGAATATAATTGGAAAACACTCTGACAAGTATTCTTGTCAGATTTCTGATACCTCTAACCATTGGATTGGGTAAGAATTTCCAGATCTCTAATGAAGAAACTGATGGCTTCATAAAACTTCAAGCAGAACAAGAATTAATTATGGGATTGAATGAAATGATGAAGATAATTATTTCAATGACTTTTTATTTGAAACATTGCTGTTTCTTCAAATGTTTTGTTTTCCTGATTTAAGGAATTTCCTTTCCTTTTAAGCTATCTATGTGCTTATAGCAATTTGGTAAAGTATACTTTCGTGAAAGAGTTTGAAGCATTTACTTTTTCTCCTTACCAGATACCTTCAGAATTTAGAAACTTTTCATTAGCATTCTTATTTTTATGGCAATGCAGTTATTTGCATAAATTCAATAAGAGTCTGTTTTTCTTGTAACAGTAAATTGGAAACACTGGTTATATTATGAGATATATATATATATGTGACTAGGATATCATATTTTCAGATATGATCAAACATTTTTAAGAAACAAAGGTTGACAGCCAATAAATCTCTTCTTAGAAAAACTGGTCTGAGAGTTCCCAGTCTCATAGGTGAGTAAGGAATGTCACTTCCTGGTAGGCTCAGGAAACAGGATATTTTGGGGATCTTAAGAAGAGAATAATTGATTCAAATCTATAGATGTTACAGACACAGCCTCATGGCAAATCCTTGGTTTGATCTTCTAGCCTCAAGAGGCTTTTATAAGTCCAATTTAAGATTTCTGATAAAAAAATCCCAGCCGAACAAACTTTACAAGAGCCAATATGGCCAATCACTATTCTTGTCTCACCTATGTAAATGAGGAGGCCAAGATTAATGAGATAAACTTATTTTGAAAACAAATGAGTCTGACTTTATAATCTTAGTTAGAAATGGGAGTGACTGTAGAGAGAAAAAATATCTTTCAGAACAAAACTATAGTGTACCCAGTATTAGATACTAGCCCTCTTTGTTTTCTTTGAGGTTTTATTATCTACCTGCAATCGAGACTAGATCTTAAATTTTTCTAGTTTCCTGCAATATCTGGCTCCAACTCTCCAAATTAATGCTCCCAGCTTTCTCCCACTCTTCTGGCCTGGAATCACTAAAATTAATACTTCTCTTTCCTTGAAGCCCTGAAAGCTGAAGCTAGATGACGATATAAACTTCGGAGAGATCACCACAACAGCTTTTGACAACCTTTGTGACATTTAAACTGGAAACCAGGAAAATCTGTCATTTGCCACTGTCTGTTCTCACTCCAGCTGAAGACGCTTCAAGCCCAGCATCTAGAAATCTTCTTGACTGGCTACCCTCAGGACTCAGAAACTGAATTTATAGTTTTTTTCAACTATTAGTCTTCATTTTTATTTTATTTTCATAGAAATTAATCCCTCTTTGTTAAATCCTGTTGGCTGACACTATCCAGTAGACATTCTCTAATACCAAATCCCAACAGATGAGTCAGCTGCTCCTACATGAACCAAAGGTGACCAAGTGAGAAAATCTGCTTATGTTGAACAAGAAAGAGGACTAATGAAGATTATTTCCTGGCTAAACTTTAATCAGGTTTCTGAATCTCTTCCTAGGCCCATCTGTGCACTTTCTTGTAAAATCCAGTTTTATCGAAATGGCCCTGCTAAGTCAGTTTAGCCAGAACACCCATCTTTGATATCAGATAATCCTCAATATCTGATCTGGTTCCTCATTCTTACCACCCGCTAGGTGATGCCTGATCACTCTGGCCTGTCTTTAGTAGGAATTCATTAGGTCCATTTAGTCAGAACCCCCCATCATTGATGTTTCCACTTAGTAATTTTCCATCCATTGACCCCCACACTGCTTTTTGAATACAAATTCCCACTTGCCCATGTGTTACTGGGAGTGGATCCCAATCTGTCTCCCCAGCTGCAAGACCATGTTGCAGTGGTCCCTATACCTATCACGATAGTCCTGAATAAACCATTTTTATTGTGCTTTAACAAGTATTATTAAATAATTTATTCTTAACACTCAGGAAACTCAGGATATTTGGGTGATTTTAAAAAGAGAATAATTTACCCAAATCGATAGGTGTTGCAGACACAGGCTCATGACGAGTCCTTGGTTTGATCTTCTAGCTTCAAGAGGCTTTTCTAAGTCCAATCTGGATTCATTATCAAAAATCCCAGCAAAACAAACTTAAAAAGAGCTAATATGGCTAATCATTATTCTTGTCTCGCCTGTGTAAATGAGGAGTAATTCAATTCAGTGTAATGGATATAAAAAAGGCTGAGGCAATCACCAACTGGATTTCTGTACCGGAGTGAGAGTCTATTGTTTCCAGGGTTCAGAGAGTTTCTTCACACCTTTTTAATATTTTCTCTTTTCTCATCAACAGCTTCAGAGATGAGAAATCACTTTAGCACTTTCTGTCCAATTTTCCTTTTAGTACCATTCGTAGCTTCTGGGCATCCATCCTAGGAAACCAAAGTGCCCTAATGAGCTTCCTTAACTGCCTTAGAGTCCCACAATGTGTCCTCACCATCGTCCACCTCCTCATCAAATATGATATTTTTTCAACTAGCGATTGAGCAGAGTAAGACTGAGATAAATGTATCAATACTAAGGTGTTAATTTTTTTTTTGGTTTTTGTTTTGTTTTGTTTTTTTAGAGGCAGAGTCTCCTTCTACCACCCAGGCTAAAGTGTAGGGGTGCAATCTTGGCTCATTAAAGCCTCAATCTCCGGGGTTTAAGTGATGTTTCTGCCTCTTCCTCCTGAGTAACTAGGACTGCAGGCATGCAACACCATTCCCAACTATCTATTTATTTATTTTTATTTTTATTTTTGAGATGGAGTCTCGCTCTGTCGCCAGGCTGGAATGCAGTGGCATGATCTAGGCTCACTGCAACCTCCACCTCCTGGGTTCAAGTAATTCTCCTGCCTCAGCCTCCTGAGTAGCTGGGATTACAGGCGCTTGCCACCAAACCCAGCTAATTTTTGTATTTTTAGTAAAGACAGGGTTTCACCATGTCAGCCAGGATGGTCTCGATCTCCTGACCTCATGATCCACCCACCTTGGCCTCCCAAAGTGCTGGGATTACAGGCGTGAGCCACTGTGCCCAGCCCCAGCTATTTAAAAAAAATTTTTTTTTTTTTGTAGAGACAGGGTCTCGCTATGTTGCCCAGGCTGGTCTGAAACTCCTGGCCTCAAGTGATCCTCCCACTTTGGCCTCCCAAAGTGCTGGGATTACAGGTGTGAGCCACTGCACCAGCCTTAATCCATTTTAAAGATAATTCTCCTTAGTCAAAAGAAATGAGTTACCAAATGCAGCATATCAGGCATTGAGACTGGTTGATAAGGGAGAAGGTTTTAAAGGAGAACAGGAAAGAGCTTTGTATCCTATCTCACTGCTCAGGCAGGCGATCAGCCAAGTATCCACAATCCTAGACATATACTTGTATTAGTCTGTTTTCAGGCTGCTGATAAAAACATACCAGAGAATGGGAAATGTATAAAGAAAAAGAAGTTTAACGGATTCACAGTTCCACGTGACTGAAGAGCCCTCACAATCATGGTGGAAGGTGAAAGGCATGTCTTACATGGAGGTAGGCAAGAGAGAAGTGAGAGCCAAGTGAAAGGGATTTCCCCTTATAAAACCATCAGATCTCATGAGACTTATTCACTACAACGAGAACAATATGGTGGAAATCACCTTCATGATTCAATTATCTTCCACCAGGTTTCTCCCACAACACGTGAGAATTATGGGAGCTACAGTTCAAGATAAGATTCAGGTCGGGACACAGACAAACCATATCAATACTCTTCATCAGAAATCCACCTGTGGAAGGAAGTCTCTGGCCTTCTCAACACACTTAGTTATGTTCTTTATTCATCATCGAATGTATAACTTTTAAGAAGAGGTCATAAAAGACAAATACTTGTTTTTTTAAGTTGCTGAATAACTAAGAAAAATACCAAAAACCTGAAAAATCCATGACATTATGCAAAATTATACAAATGCAAATATTCTTTCTTATTCTGAAAGGATTTGAGGCAGCATTATGATTCATTTTATTTGTTCTTGGAATAACTAAATTTGGTATGACACTTTTAAACAGTATATTTAATTGTCATTTTATGTCATATTGTGACACAACAAACTTTGAGTTTTCTTTAGTTTTTAAAAATGAAGTGTATATTTTTACCTTCACATTTTTTGCCTGCTTCTTGTAAACAAGAAAATGCTATCACTGTTATATTAAAACAGAACTTACTAACAGCATGGAAAATAGTAAATTACATGTGACTGAAGTTTATTCAATAAAGTTTATTCTCCTTTACTTTTTTGGTTTCTTTTCTAAAAATGAGTGTTTTGTATAGTTATTCAGAACAATGGAAAGCACTAATAGTGGTTTGGCTTCATCAGAACACTGAAGGCTTGCTTGAATTATAAAGCAAATTTTCTACCCTTCAATTATGGCGTGTTTCCTGATTTGGACTGAATAATTTAATTATCCCTAATTTTATCCCTAATTTGGAGAAAATGAGTAAACTGCAGCAAAAATAAGTCAAGTGAAGTCAAGAACTGGAGGCATCCAAAGCTATCCTGCTATGTCAACAGGAGGCACTGGAGCAGTGAAGCCCGTTCTGTTCCTGGGGAGTCCACATATTACCAGTCTGTGCACTGTTTAGTAAAATCCAGTCATTCTTTTATTATTTTGTTATTCTGTATTATGCAAAATGTTAAAGTTTCCTCCTAAACAGCATATTCTAAGTATTCTACTCTTTAAAAATCCTAATTTGTATCTTTATAATAGAATGATTTATATTCCTTTGGGTATATACTCAGTAAAGGGATTGCTGGGTCAAATGGTACTTCTGGTTCTAAATCTTTGAGGAATCACCACACTGTCTTCCACAATGGTTGAACTAATTTACATTTCCACCAACAGTGTAAAAGAGTTCCTATTTCTCCACAACCTCACCAGCATCTGTTGTTTCTTGACTTTTTAATAATAGCCATTCTGACTGGCGTGAGATGGTATCTCATTGCGGTTTTGATTTGCATTTCTCTGATGATCTGTGATGTTGAGCTTTTTGTCATATTTGTTAGTCGCATGTATGTCTTCTTTTGAGAAGTGTCTGTTTGTGTCCTTTGCCCACTTTTTGATGGGGTTGTTTGTTTTTTCTTGTAAATTTGCTTAAGTTCCTTTTAGACTCTGGATATTAGACATTTGTCAGATGGGTGGAGTGCAAAAATTTTCTCCCATTCTATAGGTCGTCTGTTTGCTCTGATAATAGTTTTTTTTGTTTGTTTGTTTGTTTTTGCAGGAAAAGAAAACCAAATACCACATGTTCTCACTTATAAGTGGAGCTGAACAAGGAGAACACATGGACACAGGGAGGGGAACAACACACACTGGGTCCTGTCAGGAGAGGTCAGTGGGGCAGAGCATCAGGAAAAATAGCTAATGCATGCTGAGCTTAATACCTAGGTGATGGGTTGATAGGTGCAGCAAACCACTATGGCACATGTTTACCTGTGTAACAAACCTGCATATTCTGCACATGCACCCCAGAGCTTAAAATAAAAATAATTTTTAAAAATCTAATTTATGTATTCATCCACATTTCTGTTTTTGAATCTTAGAATCAGGTAATTTACAGCAACTTGAAAAAGCTCATGTACTTTTTAATTTATCCAAAACTTAGCAGCTTAAACAATAATACAAGTTTATTCTCTCATGCAGTTTCTTTGGGTCAAACATTTGGTAGCAGCTCAACTAGTGACTCTGGCTCCAGGTCTCTTATGAAGTTGCAGTCAGTATGTTAGCTGGGGATGCTGTCATCGATGGCTTGACTAGGGCTGAAGGAGCTACTTCCAAGGTAGTTCACTCACATGGCAATTAGCAAGAGGCCTCAGTTCCAGGCCATTTGGACCTCTCCCTCAAGTGGCTTGTGTGTCTCATGACAAGGCAACTGGCTTCCCACAAGTAATCTGAGAAAGAGGGGTGCAGAGCAGCAATGTTTCTTATGACATCATTTCAGAAGTAACAAACCATCATTTCTGCAGTATCTTATTGTTTACACTGGCCATCTGTATTGAATGTAGATTTTAGAAGCACAATATGTCCATATCTCATTACCACCCCAAAAGGATCTGGTGGTAACACTTATCCTAAATCCATTAAAATTTCTTCTGCAAAGAGAGGAATATTCTTGGCTTGGTCTTAGGTTTTTTTATACTTAAGGATTTTGAGATTATGGAGAAGGTATTGCAGGCCTGTACAATTCACATTTCTTTTTCTTTTTCCTGTATATAGGTCCACAGCTGAGTTATCAAACTACTTATTTTACCCCAAGTCACTTAGAAAAAAAACAGTCTAGTCCCAATGCCAAGTCTGCTGTAGAGTTTTATATAGAACTATTTTTATTACATAAATATTAGAAATAACTTAAAGATATCACATTAATAAATGTAAATGTTTTATTAATAAATCTTAAATGTTTTAGTCAGCATTATAAAAACATTAAAAATCCAAAAGTATTTAATTATTTAAAAAAAAGCCTTGGAAAAACTAGAACTCTTTGTCTTGAAATTTTCCAGGCTATCACACCTTTAATTATAGTCCAAAAACGTATGTCACTAATTATAGCCATTCAAAGCAAAAACAAAGAGAGTGTACACTCAACTTGGAAGCAGTAAAAGCTACTTATCTCTTTTACAATTAGGAATGATTCAGGTGAATGATATATTGTTGGACAGTACTGTAGACTTTATTTTATAGTAGCAGGTCAGAGTAGAATAATTATGTGCTTTTTGTCACGGAGAGCAACAACTATCTAGGCCCAGGGTGCGGGGGTAAAAGAATTTAACAAGAGAGTTATAGGTAGAAAAAGGGAGATTTGTTAAAGAAAGTGAGAAAATGTTGCGAGTAGGCAATGGGTAGGGTCAGCAGAAGAGAAGTGGAGATTGTATAGAAGAGTGTTTATGATGCATGCTGAAGAGGGCTTTGTGCAGTACCGATAATGCCAAGGTGGCAGTGAGCTAACATGGAGATGTTTGGTGATAGTTGGGTGCAGGAAGATTGTGAGTTATTTGTGCAAGAGGGCTATGTGTCCTGGACCATGAAGAAACGCAAACATAATAGCTGATCTGCTTCTTCTTTTTGCTTTTCTGTGTCCCTGCCAGTCTGACTTTCTTTCCCTAATTAGGACTCCACACTTTGGAGTCAAATGGGTACAGCTGTGAATACTTAGTTATGTCTGACCTTCAACAAGTGACAACTTCCTTGAACTTTATCTATAGACAGGAGATGACATCTAACTTTCAGGTTAATTAGAAGAAATAGAAAGAATTTTAGTAGTGTTAGTAATGCAGGTTCTGCCAGCTTGTATAGACTCAAAAAGTTAGCTTTTATTGTTATTTACGTAATAACATTCCTGAAAATTTGGGTATATGTTAAGTTTCCTAGATACTGAATCACATCTAAAATACATTTGGCAATTTGACTGTAATAAAATTCTTTGTTAATTTTTATTTGGAAAGAGGACAATCCTTCAAGTGACCAATGAGTTGGTCTAGAAATTTAAAAATATTAGGATGAACTTCAGTGGGGGGACAACACACCCATGCCAGCCATGGGTATCTCTGGTCTTCATGAAAGAAGAAATTAAAAGTTTTCCTAGCCTTTTGCTCTGCCCTTTCAGATTCAGTTACAGATAGAAGGGAATCTGGGCTAGTGCCAGGGACAATAAACATGAATTTATCCTTAGATACAGTGCAGTGTGTACAAGGTTAGATGTCTAGCACAGGATTTTGACATTATGTGATACAGCTTTTGTTATGCTAATGGACCTCATTCATATGCTGATAAGAGTTCCACATGGCTAGTGGCAGAGGAATGCCTTTAAATTAATGTAAAGGGCAGTTGTAAGTTTTAATTTACTACAACCTGCTCAGCCCAATGTATGTGCTATTCTCATCATAAATTTAACTATGGTTACATTGCTTGAGTAGATAATTAGAACGCACACCATTACCCTTACATTGAGTACAATATGCATTTTGTTTTCAGCCATACTTGTTTTAACAGTCTAATAAGTAAATGAAATTTACAATGCAGTTTTCATCAAGGTGCATACAGTGATATTCCATCTCAGCAACGGAGGATGTTGGAGATTATCTGGTTCCACCCCTTCATTTTGCCAGTAGGAAAATTGCTCCAAAGAAGAAAGGGAATTTCCCCAAGGTCACACAGCTCCTGAGAAGCAAGCTGAGGCTGGAACTCTTGTGTCCTGCTCCCAAGTTAATTCTCTTTCCTCTTTATTTTATATCAAAATAGAGAAAATGTGAAAACATTAAATAGGAGAACTCAAGTTTCTTTTTCTCATCCACTCACAGTTTCTTTTAAATAATTTGAAACATTCTGCCAACTTTCCCATGGAGTATAAATTATCTGCTGAATAACCAAGGGATTTGTTGAAGGGCTTTGGGATAGAAATTTCTTCCTTTCTTTGCATGCTCTCTAGGCTAATTCCACATCATCTCATGCAAAGACTATTACAATGACCTCATCTCCCTACTTCTGGTATCTCCTCACTCCCTCCCAACCTGAAAAAGAGCCACGATCAATTCATTCATTCAATTCCATTCCAGCTATCTACACTGGATGAGGTGCTGTTATACTGATGGCCATGCTGCAATGACAATAAAGAAACCAGGTGCTATGTTTTCCTTGCAGAATCCTGAAGGCTTCTGTCCACAGCAGCCCAGCCCAACTCCTCTTTTGCAATGCAATAACTACGTAATTTTGGTTTTTTAAAATTTTTTCCTAATTATATTCCTGGGTGCCATCTCGAGGCACTGAATCAAAATCATTGGTTTAAAAATCTGCATTTTAAACAAGCTGACCCCAGATGATTCTTAGGGAAGTTTGCAACTCACAAGTCTACAAAAATCAATGTCTGTGCCATTCACTTGTCACTTACCACACAACACCATTTTACTATTTGTCATTTTACAAGTGAATAAAATATTTTATGTATTGCACAGTTGGCTTCTTCTTCTTCTTTTTTTGACAGCCAGGGTTTCACTCTGTCACCCAGGGTGGAGTGCAGTAGTGCTATTGTGCATGGCTCACTCCAGACTTGACCTCCTGGGCTCAAACGATCCTCCCACCTCAGCCTCCCCGGTAGCTGGGACTATATTTGTTCATCACCATGCCCAGCTAAATTTTTATTATTTGTAGAAAGTGGGTCTCCCAATGTTGCCCAGGCTGGTCTGGAACTCATGGGTTCAAGTGATCTTCCTGCCTTGGCATTCCAAATTGCTAGGATTGCAGGTGTGGGTCACCGCACCCAGCCAACTTCTTAATGATAGTGGCTCTCCTTTCACACTTTTCTGTATATTTCCCTAGCACCTAGCACCACTTATTAAATAGATTAGCTATCTGGTTTATTAAGTTACCTTATCGTTAGATGTGAAGGAATATTATTTGTTCTTGATACACATGTTCCCCAGGAAAGCAGCACAAAGTTTTATTTTTTGTTTTTACAAAAGTCTACTTTGCAAAGATGTCAAACATAATAATCAGAAGATCTGTGAGAACACAAATGAGGCTACAGTACCATGGTTATAACTTCTCAATATCATCCCCTCTTCTCTTCCTATCCACCCTGGGTTTATTGGATAGCTCTGTTCCTTGCCCTCAGCTCATGAGCTTTGTCCTCAGCTGATTATACCCCTGCTCTAGAGTAGTATATGTGCCTCAGGACTAAACTAATCAGCATGATCCTGTCTCCTGGCCTCAGTATATTCAGGGATGCATTTTACTCAATTACAGATGGTAAGACACAAAGAGAGATTGGCTGAGACCTGCCAGCAGGTGAAGCTTTCTGCATATGGAAGAGAAAGCATGTAACCTTGACAGCAACCAGTCTTATCATTAGCAGATGCTGTGGAAGGCAGAGCAGAGATGGAAAGAGTCCCTCATGATCCCAACGAGTAGATGAATCAAACCATTCCTGAAGCCTACTTTATCTTGGACTTTTCTAATTGTAAGACAATTATCCCTTTTTATTATTTAAGTCGCTTTGAGCTGATTGTTCTGTTACGTGACCAAAAGCATCCTGAATGACAGAGATAAGGACCATATTTATCTTTTTCACTGCTATGTCCCCAAGGCCTACATGGTACATATGCAAAGTAGATAGTTAAGAAATATTTTTGAGTGAACATACATTCTTGTTTTCCTGGTGGAATAAATAACTACAATACATTCAGAACCTGTCATAGTTTGCTAGAGAGTACCGCTCATGGAGTCTAATATACTAAGCTACATATTCATGTATTGATTCCATCCCATACTCCAAGGGCTGTGTTATTTCTGGAAATATAGAGATTTTTAACAGGGAAGATGAAAGGAATTCACGCTTGCTGACTAATTTTAAAAGTTCAGCACTGTGCTAGGTGCATTTATATAAATGTTCTCAATTAACCCTCACAAAAAAACAAACAAAATTATCTCAGGATGATTAAGTGCTTTGACCAAAACCTGCCTAGCACTATGTGAGGAAATTGACATCCAAACTCAGGTTCCTGCCCTTTCTCCTATGCCACAGTTTGGTGTCTGTGTCCAAGAACCTCAAGGGCTTGTCAACCTTCACTAGGGGGCTGGCGAGAGAGAGAGCACTGCAGAAGAGGTTAGAGGCTTCACAGTTTATCTTCTGCAGCAGGAGCTCAGTCATTCTTTCTTCCAAGGTCGCTGAAGGGGAAAATACAAGCCTTTGCCTCAGAGAAAGAATGATGTTTGTTAGTCACGATGCTTTTTTCCTTCTTTCAATATTTAATTGGAGCTAGTTTTTAGCTTCTGTGACTGCCAAATGACCATGAGGTCAGTTGCCCTGCTGTGGGGTTTTCAGCCAATTCATGAGGGTTATCTTACCTGACACGGGTTCTGTTATAATGGGAAGGGTTGTCACATCCTATTCATTTTCTGTTTTTGAGCTCACTGAAGCAAATTTGGTTAAACTACTCCGCTGCCCTCAATACTGTCCCTTCCCAGATTTTTCTTTCAGCAGCCCCACTTTGATATGCAGAGAGAGCTTGTCCTGGTCAAGCTGTTTCCTGCCTCATTGGATTTCCCCCAACACCGGAATGTGCTCTTCAGCATCCGTCAGCGTGGGGAGTGCCAGATCCGCAGCAGCTGCACAGCCAGCTGCTGAAGGATTGCAGGCAATATGGGTGAGGACCTTGTCAGACCTGGCTTCACAGCCATCACCATCAAACACCCTCTCCTGTTCCACGAGGCTGTTATGTGCTGTGCTGCTCTACTTGGCAGTCGCTTTAATTTCTTCTCAGCAGCAGACACCATTGTTCAGTGACAGATAAATGTCTTGAAATGAGTCTCTGGGCAGCCCTGCTCTTGAGTGAGAAGGCACATCCACTTGGAGTTCTTTCACCCGGAGGGGAAGCAGGGCTTGACAACTTCATTAGCACTTAGAAGCCACCACAGGGCTTGGGGATCAGAGCTGGGTGAAGGCATGGACGAACAAAAAGAATGAATGGAAGTGGGGATATTCAAAAAGAAAGGAGAGAACTAAAGATCAAGGAGGGCGGTAAAGAAGTCATGTGACTTGCAGAAGTATAGGAACATGACCTACATGTGCATGGGGTCTCTTATTCTCTCTCTCAGTTGCAATCATTCACAGCCTTTTCACTCATGTTTGCCACCAGTCTGTTTTCTGCACTAATCCTGCAGCTTATATCACAACTAGAAACCTCATTATCATTGCAGCTGAGGGCTGGAATTCGTCTCAATTTTGTAGGACCGTGTTCCAGAGATGAGCCTAGGACTTCCTAACACTCTTTTTCCCATTTTTGAAACTAATTAATTTATTTTAGGGTGTTTGTAAAAAGTTCAGACATGTAATAATTGTAAATGTGTATGGGGTCCAGAGTGACGTTTCAATACATGTGTACATTTGATGCTGCAGCTTCCCCCAGACCCTCACCAAGTGTCCCAGTTCAATGTCTAGGTTTCTACCTTAGGTCCCCCTTCTGACCTCAGCTACTTAATAGCACAGAGGTCCTGTTTAGATTCCTGGATTAGTGGTGCACAGGGCACTACACAATTCCCATTTAGATTCCTGGATTAGTGGTACACACAGCACTACACCATTCCAAGTGATGCTCTTCATGCTGCAGTGCGTGTGAATGTTGTTTTTGGGAGTTGCACTTGAACCAACTAAGTGACCTTCAGCCCTCTTGCCAATATCCCAATAGTCCTATTGTAGGAGGGGGGTTATGCCTTTTCATCCCAGAGCTTGGCTAGGCTCCTTTTGCAACGAATCACATGTCTACCTCACTTATTCATAGAAGTGCTATATTGGGCCTCTCAGATGGAAACCTTCCTTCCAAATTATGGAGCTTGGCCTGAACCAGGCAAAATCCTCTAATATCCTTGGATTCTGTTCCCCACAACTGGACCTCCCATTAGGAACATGATACTATAGCTAAGTTCTCCTCTCAGCTTTGCCCCATCCAGCCATGAGATGCTCTTGCCCAACAGCTGGGTCCTGGAGGCTGCCATAGGACCAGGAGCCCAGCCTGGCCATGATGTTCTCTTCTCCACCCCAAGGCCCCTCAGTGGGCAGAGCATCTTTTGCAGCACAGACATCCTCAGGCCACTCCTCTGCTTAAGATTCTTTAGCGGCTTCCTACTGCCCTCAGAAGGAAAACAAATTAAAAAGATAAAATCAAAGCAAATTTAAAAACTGATCAATTCCAATCAAAAGTAGATGTTCTAACAAATAAAAGTGAAAAATATTTGGCTAATTTACTTAAAAAAATAAGAAAGTACAAATATAGAAGAATTATACATTTACACACATACACACAAATATACATATATATAGTTACGTGTAGTTTTATAAATGTAAACTTATGCTTATACACATATATAACCTCAGTACTAAAATTAGGGATCTTGATAACAACTATATTTAAAGTTTTTTAAATGACTCTAATAGAGGAAGAAAAATAAAACAAAAATGTGAAGAAAGTTTTACAAGTTTATGAAAAAATAACCTCTAGGAAAGATGTCCCTGGGCATCACAGGAATTATTTCAAAGATTTAAGGAACCAATTATCCCTGTACTATTTAAATGTTTCAAAGGATTCAAAAGAACTGAAAACCTTTAAATTTCATTTTACTGAGTATACTTTGATATTAAAATCTGATTAGATTGTTTTAAAAATAAAACATTTTGACCAGAGTGACTTATCAATATAGATGTCAAATATGTTAAAAAAAAAAAGTAACGCTCACTGGTCATTAGAGAAATGCAAATTAAAACCACAATGAGATACCATCTCACACCAGTTAGAATGGCAATCATTAAAAAGTCAGGAAACAACAGATGCTGGAGAGGATGTGGAGAAATAGGAACACTTTTACACCATTGGTGGGAGTGTAAATTAGTTAAACCATTGTGGAAGACAGTGTGGCGATTCCTCAAGGATCTAGAACCAGAAATACCATTTGACCCAGCAATCCCATTACTGGGTATACACCCAAAGGATTATAAATCATTCTACTATAAAGACACATCCACACGTGTACTTATTGCAGCACTATTCACAACAGCAAAGACTTGGAACCAAGCCAAACGCCTACCAATGTTAGACTGGATAAAGAAAATGTGGCACATATACACCATGGAATACTATGCAGCCATAAAAAAGAATGAGTTCATGTCCTTTGCAGGGACATGGTTGAAGCTAGAAACCATCATTCTCAGCAAACTAATGCAGGAACAGAAAGCCAAACAACACATGTTCTCACTCATAAGTGGGAGTTGAACAATGAGAACACATGGACACAGGGAGGGGAGCATCACACACCAGGGCCTGTCGTGGGGTGAGGGGATAGGGGAGGTAGAGCATTAGGAGAAATAGCTAATGGAGATGACGGGTTGATGCGTGCAGCAAATCACCATAGCTTGTATATACCTATGTAACAAACCTGCACGTTCTGCACATGTATCCCAGAACTTAAAGTATAATAAAAATAAATAAATAAATAAAAAGTGATGCTAAATAAGAGCTAATAAACTTGTAAGTATATTAAAGGAATAATGCCCTTTGTCAGGTAAGGTTTAATCTAAGAATATATGGATAATTAAATATTAGAAGACTTATGAACATAATGTATGATATTAGTAAATTAAAAGAAAAAGTATACATTTGATAGAGTTTTATTCCAGTTTTTTAAAATTAGTAAACTAGGAGTCAATAAATATATCCTTAATATGATAGGAAACAATCATAAAACAATGGCGAACATCTAACCTGGCAGTGAGAATTCTAGTCATATTCTAAGTCAGACATAAAATGAAAAAAGCCCCTTTTACTGCTGCTATTATTATGGACATTTTAGTCACTGTAAAAAGATAAAATAAATCTAGATTTCTTAAAAAGAGAGAAATATTATCAATTCTTATGTTGAGTTTTCTAGAGTAAGGAATCAAGCACTTTTATTATCTGGTAATAAGAAAGTTTATGATAAAACATTTCAGACAATTTGGTAATGGATACTGAAAACTTTGGAAATATATATAAAATTCTTCAATTTCAAAGTAGCAAAAATAAATGTGAGCATTTACTTAATTCAGTGTTTTCAATATTTACATAGGTAGAAATTGAGATGATAGAGCTATGTATGTGGATATGTGGGTTGCGCTATAGAGAGGCAATAGAAGATGGTGACATGTTAATAGTGGTTGCAGGTAGTGGAACTGCTGAAGTAGAATTTTCAACAAGGTGAAAGCCATGACTCGTGAAAATACAAAATAAACACATGTCCAAGATTTTGTTCCAATTATTAAGCAATGAGGGCACCAGTAATATATTAAGACTGATTCAAAGAATGTTTGAGGAGCCAGGTATTCTTTATAGGTAATTGAATAAAGGAATTCTAGGATATTATTGCTCAGCTGCATACAAAATTAGCTAAAAATTTAGAACCCAAAATGATTACTGGTGTTTCTCTTTCCTACTGGACAGACCTTATTTGTATCTCTACTGAGAAAAAAAAGCAACAAATTAACTTGTTACTTTACTAGTCTGAGGCCCATAGTGAACAGTGAGTGGAACAAAGTTCTTTCCCTTAGATTTATGTTTTTCATCATGGTAGCCCCTAGTCATATGTAGCTTTTGAACATCTGAAATAGCACTAGCCTAAGCTGAGATGTGCTGTAAGTATAAAATACATACCAGATTTTAAAGACTTAGTACAGTTAGAGAATATAAAATATCTCATTAATGATTTATTCTCTCTCTTACATATTAAATTGATAATATTTGGGATATATTGGGTTACATAAATTATAAAAATTTGTTTTACTTGTTTCTTTTTATGTTTTAAGATGCCAATTAGGAAATTTAAAATTATGTGCTTTTCTCTTGCGTTTCATATTATATTTTTATTAGTTTATTGTAGCACTATTCACAACAGCCAAGATATGGAATCAACCTATATGTCCATCAATAGATGAACAGATAAAGAAAATGTCATATATAGATATAGATATATACTATGGAATACTATTCAGCCATAAAAAGAATGAAATCCTGTCATTCAGAGCAATACGGATGAGCCTGGAGGACATTTCACTATGTTAAGTGAAATAAGTCTGGCACAGAAAGAGAAATACAACATGTTCTCACTCATATGTGGGAGCTAAAAACAATTGAGCTCATAGAAGTAGAGAGTAGAACTGTAGTCATTAAGGGCTGTGAAGAGTAGGAGAGAGGAGGATAGGAAACAGTTGGTTAAGGGATACAAAATTACCGCAAGAAGGGAGGTGTAAGTTCTCGTGTCCTGCAACGCTAGAGCTGAGTGAGTGTGGTTAATAATAATTTATTGTATGCTTTGGCTGGGCATGGTGGCTCACATCTGTAATCCCAGCACTTTGGGGGGCCGAGGTGGGTGAATCACCTGAGGTCAGGCGTTCAAGACCAGCCTAGCCAACATGGCAAAACCCTGTCTCTACTAAGAAAATACAAAAATTAGCTGGGTGTGGTGGCGTGCGCCTGTTGTCCCAGTTACTCGGGAAGCTAAGATAGGAGAATCGCTTGAACCCAGGAGGCAGAGGTTGCAGTGAGCTGAGATCACACCAGTGCACTCCAGCCTGGGCAACAGAGCAAGACTCCATCTCAAAAAAAATAATAATGATGATAATTTATTGAATGTTTCAAAAAAGGTGAAAGAGAGGATTTTGAATGTTTACAATGCAAAGAAATGATAAATATTTGAGGTTATGGTTATGCTAATTACCTTGATTTGATCATTACACATTGTATACATGTATAAAATATCAATGTGTCTCATAAATGTGGACACATTATGAATTATGAAGTGTCAACTAAAAAGGAAACTAATACATTTCAGATTTGAAAGAGCTAGTTCAACAAAAAAATATAAAATAGCTCATTATTAATTTCTTCTTT
Source organism: Homo sapiens (assembly GCF_000001405.40). NCBI lineage: Eukaryota > Metazoa > Chordata > Mammalia > Primates > Hominidae > Homo > Homo sapiens. The sequence goes on from NC_000008.11 coordinate 40,328,793, forward strand.
CTCTTACATGTTAAATTGGTAGCATTTGGGATATATTGGGTTAAGTAAATTATTTTATAAAAATCAGTTTTACTTGTATCCTTTTACATTTTGAATACGACTATTATAAAATTTTAAATTATGGACCAGGCAGAGTGGCTCATGTCTGTAATCCCAGCACTTTGGGAGGCCAAGGCGGGCAGATGATTTAAAGACATGAGTTCGAGACCAGCCTGGTCAACATGGTGAAACCCCGTCTCTACTAAAAATATAAAAATTAGCTGGGTGCAGTGGCACACATCTGTAGTCCCAGCTACTTGGGAGGTTGAGGCAGGAGAATTGCTTGAACCCATTATGCAGTTTCACAAGTCCTCCCGTGTTTCACATGATATTTGTACTGGTTCTAGAGAATCCTTGAGTGAGCTGTCGCCCTCATATAATGTTGGAAAGATATGCCACCTGTATTTCTGGCCCATTTTCAAGTTTTGAATATTTTGTTCTTCACAGAAATAGATCATTTTAATTTTCTTTATTTTTTATAATTTTACACAATTTCTAAAGTAAATAAGTGTTCATTTTATAATCTGAAAAAGATTATTTTTCAAGTCCTTCTGAATATTGGAATAAAACATCTAAGTCAGGTTAGGAGATAAAAAGCACATAAAGCAGGATTTGGAAAGACTCAGAGCCAGGCGCGGTGGCTCATGCCTGTAATCTGAGCACTTTGGGAGGCTGAGGCAGGCAGATCACCTGAGGTCTGGAGTTCGAGACCAGCCTGGCCAACATGGTGAAACCCCCATCTCTACTAAAAATACAAAAAATTAGCCAGGCATGGTGGCGGGCACCTATAATCCCAGCTACTCGGGAGGCTGAGGCAGGAGAATTGCTTGAACCCTTTTGGGCGGTGGGGGCGGAGGTTGCAGTGAGCCAAGATGGCGCCATTCTACTCCAGCCTGGGCAACAAGAGCGAAACTCCGTCTCAAAAAAAAAAAAAAAAAAAGAAAGAAAAGAAAAGGACTCAATGGCACTTTCAGCTATGTTACCTCAAAAGTCCTCCTGTGAGTTATTTTCACTAATGATGTTACGCAGCCAAGCATCTCTTAAAGTCTATTTCAGAGAAAATGAGAGAGGCCCCAGGCGTGAACTGTAAAAGCATTGTCTGGATGAAAAGGAGCTTCACTGTACTTCTCTGAGGAAAACACCCTCCCAACTAGTTATCAAACGGACAGCCTAGGACTAATCCTGCAGGTAAGTCAGGGAACCGTGTGAGCTTGAGTGGCAGAGTTTTGGAGAAGGTGGAGAGATCCATAGATGCTACATAAGGTTCCTTTAACGTTGGCGGCTGCCTGAGATTCCTAAGGGTCCTCGGATCCCAGGGTTGTTATATCTGTATCTGGTCCTACAGTCTGTACATAACAGACCTTGCAGGTTCTGACCAACTTCTATGGGTAACACCTGTCCCAGAGGTAGCCTCTTTAAGGGTAATTTCATTTTGTTGGTATTTGGGTGAAATTTAGGTATATAAAAGCCAAGACACTGAGGTTTGTGTTCTAGCCTGCTACACTTGTGTTCCCTATGATTGGCAATGTAAAACTTCTCCATACATGAAAATAAATGTTATACATTTAGAAGTCAAGGTCACTCATCATCTCGAATCTAATCCATTAGATTTTCCAAGCTATGAGCATTTTCTCTAAAGTATGTAACATACAAATAAGTAATAGGATCCCTAATCACTTGGGTCTTCAGGAGGGAGGACATAACTCATGCAGAAAAAATAGTATTTATATGAATTGTAAAACTAAAATGGCAATTTCTTTTAAAAACAAATGATCATCTCTATTTTTTTTTAAAGGGAGAGTACCAATTCTTTAGTTAGACATAATGGCAAAAGTAATTTATTCATGTGTCTTCTGTTTGATTTTTTAATTTGAATCAACTGCCAAGATTTTCAAGTTCACTTAGCAAAATGTAGACTAGCTGAAGTTGGAACTACTTCACCAAGACATGTTTAATAAACAAACTAAAAGGATGATGTTCTCTCTGTCCATGCCTCTGTTCTTAGGAGCAGAACAGAGCAGCTCAAGCAGCAGTTTCCGAATTGCATAAGCTCAGCTCCACGCAGATTGGTTGAACACACTTTGCTTCCTCTTACTTCTATTTTCACTGGCCTAACTCCATTAGTCCTGTGGGCCTCTTCCTTTCACCTAGGCTTTTATGGAGCTGCTGTCTTCCAGTGTTCTATTCCTGTGGTTCTCAAAGTATGGCCTAAAGACTTTTAGAGTACCCCAAATCCTTTTAAGGACATTTGAGAAATTAAAAAACATTTGTAATAATATTAAGATCTTACTTGCTTTTTCCACTGTGCTAAAATTTGCCCTGAAAGTGCAAAAACAATAGTGAGTGAAACTGCTGCCTAGCATGAATCAAAGTAGCGGTCCCAAACCATGCCAATAGTCATTGCATTTCTCACTAGTGTGCATTCCACTTAAGAATGTTCTGGATGAAACAATAAAAATTATTAATTCCATGAATGGTGACCCTTAAGTACATTTCTTTTTAATATTTCATGTGAGGAAATAGGAAGCACACCAAAGCACTTCTGCTGCATACCAAAGTACTACGGTGGTCTCAAGAAAAAGTATATGTAGTGAATATTTTTTCCTGGTATACAAAAATCCATTAGTTTATACAGACTGAAATGTAGTAGTCTACTTTGAGTGGGTCTTTGACTCATGTTCCACATTTTGTAAAAGCATGCATTTGTCATTTGGAACATATTGGTTCACAGAGTTTTACAAGTCTTCCAAATGTTGACTCATTAAATTTGAGATTCCATAAGTTTATCTACCACTTGTAGAATTTTTCTAGAACAATGAGAGAGAATATCCACAATTATATGAAAAGGGTATTAAAATCCCCCTACCTTTGCAAGCTATATATTTGTGTACAGCCTCATTTTCTTCATATATGTCAACCAAAAGAACATAACACAACAGATTGAATGCTGAAGCAGATATGATCTTCCAGATGTCTTATATTGTTAAACATCAGACAGATAAAACACATAAACAAGTGGCTCTGGGTCCTCAATAATTTTTAAAATTGTAGAGTGGTCTTTAAGACCAAAATGTTTGAAAACTGATGATCTGGTCCAATCTTGTCTCATTCCGGAGACCTTTGTTCATGCCTCCTCTGATGTCATCTAGCACAGTGCTTTTTGAACTTCAATGTGCATGCTGTCTACCTGGGGAAAACGCTAAATAAAATGCAGATTCTGATGCAGTCCCTCTGGGCTGAGGCCTGAGCTCCTGCTTTTCTAACAGCTGCCCAGAAGATGCCAATGCTGCATGGCCATAGGTCCTACCTTAAGTAGCAAGGGTCTAACATATGCTGCCTGCATCTCTCACATAATCCTATCATTTCCAGCCTTGTGACATTTGAGTTACCTTACTTCTATTATTATTATTATTGTTGTCATTACCACCATTAGTATTGTGTCTTATGAAACTATTACCAAATTGGTGTCAGAAACTGTGCTAAGAACTTTATATGTATTTTCTCATTAGTGCTTACAGCATTCCTGTGACATAGGTTCCATTGCTCTCTATAGCTCAGGAGACTGGGGAAGGGTAATTTGTCAAGATCTGATACTGTGCCCATTTGACTCCATGGCCAATGCTACTAACCACTCCATTAAAGGAATTTGCATCATTTTAATTCCTATAATCTATTTTCAATTGTATATACTTGCTTGCCTTTCAGTTTAGATTATATGCTCCATGGGGTCAAAACACAAGCATTATCTCAGTCATCTCTACATTTTGCCCAGTGATCTATTCAAATGGTGATGAATAAATAAATCATCATGAATGCTCATGTAACCCTGGGAATCCAAAGTTGTTCATTTATCTATCTTTAGTAGGATATAAACTCTGGATTTTTTCATTTATTTTTTATTTTATCTTTCTTTTTTTTTTTTTTTTTTTTTTTTGAGATGGCATCTTGCTCTGTCACCCAGGCTGGAGTGCAGTGGCGCGATCTCGGCTCGCTGCAAGCTCTGCCTCCCGGGTTCATGCCATTCTCCTGCCTCAGCCTCACTAGTAGCTGGGACTACAGGTGCCTGCCACCACGTCCAGCTAATTTTTTGTATTTTTAGTAGAGACAGGGTTTCACCGTGTTAGCCAGGATGGTTTCGATCTCCTGACCTCATGATCTGCCTGCCTCGGCCTCCCAGAGTGCTGGGATTACAGGAGTGAGCCACGTGCCCGGCCTGGACTATTTAAATATCCAGTAGTGATGTTGGATCTGATGAATTCCTATACTTTTTCTCTAGCTCCTTTGGCCCAAAATTTAGGCCCATGATGTCTTATAAAGGTATTTCCGGAGTACACAGCATGGTTGAACATCTACATTTCTTTTTAATTAATTAATTAATTGGCAATATGTAAAAATCAGGGAATTTTACAGAAAATCCAGATCAATCGCTGTGGCTGAAATGGTGTCGCAACTCCATTTGACTGGAATGCGACACCAGTCGCATTGACTGGAAATGAGAAGCAGTCACTCTCTTTAGCAGGTTCACGCTCTCCTGCTTGGTACAGGGCCTGGTTTCACCATCCTTGCCTCCACTCCTCAAGTGCCTTCAGTCATTTAAGTTTGTGTCCCCAATTTTAGGACACAGGCATGCTTTTATAAATATTTTTCTTTTCACCACAAGACAAAACATAAGTCAAAGAAGCAGTTATTACATTAAAGTCATTTCTACAAAATTCCTGACAGTATATATTTTTTTAAAAGATCAGCTTAAATCTTTTCTTGTTGAAGTTTCATAATTGCCGTGCTCTTCAAGGTCTCTGCAGAGGATCACTAGCAGCCAGTTCTCTCTGAGGTTTTGCCTTGAGAGGGAAGGAAAAGGAAAGCAGAAAGAAAATTTTCACGAGGAAGAGTTAAGAAGGGACTAAAGTTTGGGAAATGGCATGGAATGACAATGGGAGATGAATGAATGAAGGAGAATAGACAGAGTGTTTCAAAACTGGGTACTTTTGAAAGTTATCCCCTTTTTTTTTTTGAAGTTCAAAATCATAATTCGTAGTTTGTACCTGAAAGAACAGTTTTTTGAAAGCCCAGGGTCAACTCTGCCTTTCTCTTAAAAGCGTCATCAGGAAAGACCAAGTGTACCCTTAAGGGGAAAGAAAATAGCAACAATTAGCATTTGAATGGGCTTCTTAAAGTTTATAGAGCTCTTTTACTTACCTTAACTCATTTGATCCTCACTGCAATCTAGTGAGTAGGTATTATTACCTTTCTATTATAGATAAAGATACCAAGCCTTAAAACTCCGTCTCACTCGCTCCAGGACACTTATCTATTAAGTAGGTAGAAGAATCTAACCACATCCTTTGCTCCTTCCATTCTCCGCAGTAGGTTATTGGCATAAAATTACGATGAATGCATACAGTTAAGCTGCATATTGGACTAGAGCTCATTGAGATTAAGAACACTGGCCGGGAGTGGTGGCTCATGCCTGTAATCCCAGCACTTTGGGAGGCCGAGGCGGGCGGATCACGAGATCAGGAGATCGAGACCATCCTGGCTAACACGGTGAAACTCCGTCTCTACTAAAAATACAAAAAAAAAAAAAAAAAAAATCAGCCGGGCTTTGGCAGATGCCTGTAGTCCTAGCTAGCTACTCTGGAGGCTGAGGCAGGAGAATGGCGTGAACCAGGGAGGTAGAACTTGCAGTGAGCTGAGATCACGCCACTGCCTTCCAGCCTGGGCGACAGAGCGAGACACTGTCTCAAAAAAAAAAAAAAAAAAAGATTAAAAACACTAACTTTTAGCTCTGAATCTCCATAAAAACACTTAGTAAATATGTAATTAATTTAATCTAGATATTACGTCTAACATAATTCTTTTTGTCACTGCAGTTAACTGTACTTAGGGAGGCTTCTATCTATTCTCAGCCCATCTTTGCTTGAAGTTAAGTTTATTTCTTCTATATTTATGCTTATTAAATAAATGATATATGAGTGGAGAACCAATGGCAACTTTGTTGCCTTCTAGTTTTTTGTCCTGTTTCTAATGAGGGTGTGTGTATTGTGTGTGTGTGCATATTGTGTGTGTGTGCATATGTATGGGGTAGAGGGAGATTGAAGCCAAAAATTGAGCTTTATAGATATGCATGCCTTTACCCTTATTAGAATTTGGCCTATAGCTGTTCTTTTCCATGATTAAAGTTCGAAACTACCCTAGCCAGCATGGTGAAACCCCATCTCCACTAAAAATACAAAAATTAGCCAGGCATGGTGGTGGGCACCTGTAATCCCAGCCTCTTGGGAATCTGAGGCAGGAGAATTGCTTGAACCCAGGAGGTGGAGGTTGCAGTGAGCAGAGATCATGCCATTGGACTCCAGCCTTGGGGACAAGAGCGAAACTCCTCAAAAAAACAAAAACAAAAATGAAAGAAATTCTGGGGTAAGATGAAGGATTGTGGAGACTCAAGTTCTTATTTGCAGAGGAAGCCTTCAGGTAGTAGGGCTTCAGGAAGAATAGGTTGTAAAATGTTTCTATTAGACCTAAAGTCTGTGTTGACATTAATCCTGGAGACGTATAATGAGGCATCATATCCAACCCCACTTCCCATCATGACCTGAAACAGTCTTTCAGGTTAAATTTTAAAAGCCCTGGCTTAGGAAGAAGCTCATTCAGATGGTTGGCCGGGGAGTGGGGGGTCTTAGAATTTTATTTGTGGTTTACAGTGAGGAGAGGCCCTTGTCTCCCAACCCTCATTCAATCTGTGTCTTCTATTTCTTCATATGGACAATTAATATTTTCTAATAATTAATAAATTTATGTGCACACAATGGAAATTTCTTAGATCCCATTTCTTCCTAAATTGCCATCCTTAGGGCTCTTCTGTAGAAATTTTGGAGTCTGGATTTTCTGTACTCCCCATATGGAAGCTCAGAGACATATAACTGTGCATCTTCCTATGGCTGCCACCCGGGGCTCCTGAGAAATTACCCCTCTCATACGGCTGTGTCAAGGATCTCATTATAAAACCACACATGGATCTAGAAGTATCCTTAGAAGTTCTGAGTTTGGCAAAATCACATTGTACTTGTGCTGCTCTTTGGGCTTAAATTCTTATCCCTTTCCCACACCTCGTTGATAAAATTGCATAACATTTAGCAAATGTTTACCATGTGCCAAGTGTTTTGCATACGTTGTCTCTAATCCTCATAAAACCCATGCAAAAATATAATTATCCCTGAGTTATAGTGACAGAATTTAGATTCAGAAAGGATGAATAGTTAGTTCCAGAATGGGATTTGACTCCAACTCTGCTGCATTCCCAATCATGTGTTTTTCCTAATATATCATGCTATTGCAGCTTTCTGGTCTTTTTCTGGCTACAATTAACATCTGTGGACCCAAAGCAATTCATCACCAATAAAAAACAGAGCAATCAGCAGATGCTTCTTCCCCAGAATTGAGGTCTATCTAGCTTGCTCACTGACTGTCCTGCCTCAGGCCTCCCTGCCTCTCTCTGTTTTACATGAAGAGACCCAACCTATTCCTGGGCATGGTGCTTGGATCCTCTGCAAGAGCTGGATTCTGGCATTGGCTGTCATGGGTTCATTCTTAACGCACTTTGCATAATGATCAGTATGATCAATAACCAGCAGTTAACAGGAATTTCCTAGGACACTCCATTTCACTCATGTTTCATCACATAGGTCCTCATATAGAAAATGCCAATCTTTTTCCATGCCATTCCAGATTTTTGAACAGGAGTAAACCCTATAAAATTATTTCCTCTGACACTTTACTTTGTAGATGACTAAACCAAGGCTTAGCGAGGTGACATGACTTTATTCACATGTGCTGAGTAGACAGTGGAGGAGGACTAGAATGCAGGTCTCTCAGCTCACCACACAGACCTCTTTCCAGAAACCACACTGAATCCAGAGGACTCCTGTGCAGCTTTTGCCCAGGTGAGTCATCTCTGCCTCTCTCCTAGCCCCCCTGAACCAACAGCCAACATGGCCATGAGATTTTTCCCAGTCTGAGTGGAAAGCCTGATGAATGATGAACGTTGATCCAGAGCCCACTGTCCCTTATCAAACTGGAAGGTACCCTGCTGTCAGACAACCTGGTTAGCAATCCAAACAGCAGGGGTCAGCGGGTCCTGTCAACTAGAGACAGTCGTCCTGCTGGCAAGCTAAGAGCCTGGAGGCAGTTACATTTGTGTATCTTGTCTCAGAAACAAACTTCCAAATGATCTGAAGCCAAAACTTACTGAACTGCAGAGCAAACAGTGCAGGGCTCTAGTTTAGACATTTTCCTTGTCACTGAGAATTTTGAGGTTGGTTTAAAACAAACAAACAAACAAACAAACAAACAAAAACTAGGGGAGCAGGAGTGACGGTAGCTGGAACTCCATTGGAAGAAAGTTGGGTGAGAGAAGAGCCCAGTAGAAGACTTGCTTTTCATCCGTGACTGGGGACTTGGGCTGTATTCAGGTGGACCTCATTTTAACTGCGGGATGCTGGAGAGTCAGGTCACCTCTTCAGGCCATAACTTTTTCAGTGACAGAACGAGGAGCTCAGGCCAAGCCATCACTAAGATCTTTTCAGCTCTTGTGAGATAAACCAGATAAATTAAAAAATTTAGCCATATAACCTAAAATGTATCTGAGACATGTCTCAATCAATTTAGACGTTTATTTTGCCAAGGTTAGGGATCACTTGGCAAGGCCAGTGAGGTTCTGAGCACATACGCCCAAGGTGGTTGGGTTACAGCTTGGTTTTATACATTTTAGGGAGACAGAAGTTACAGACAAACACATCAATTAATATATTTAAGGTATTTATTGGTTTGGCCCAGAAAGGTCAGACATCTAAAAGTAGGTGGGGGAAAGATGGGGGTGGGCATGGGGCTTCCAGGTCATAGGTGGATTAGAAGATTTCCTGATTGGCAATTGGTTGAGTTAAGCTCTGCTTGAAGAATTGAATTCAGTATAAAAAATGCTTGCGTTTAGACAAGGGAGTTGTGGAAGCCAGGGTTCTTGTCATGTAGATGAAGCCTCCAAGTAGCAAGTTTCAGAGAGAAGAGATAGTGAATGTCTCTTATCAGAACTTAAATGTGTCAGATTCTCTGGAAAAGACTTGGTGAAGGAAGGAGATTCTTACAGAATGCAAATTTCCCCCACAAGAGATAATTTGCAGGGCTATTTCAGAATATGTCAAAGAAATATGTTTTGGGGTAAAATACTTTGATTTTCTTCAGGGCCTACCATCTGTCACATGATCCTAAACCAGAGTCAGGTTGGAACTCAGTGTCTTATTGCTACGGAGTCTGTTTTGTTCATTTTAAGATATCTGTTTTAATGTTAATGCTGGTAAGTTGTGTCTAAACTCCAAAAGGAAGAGGCTATAATGCTGTATATTCGCCCCCTGATTCCTGTCATGGCCTGAACTAATTTTTCAGGCTTCTTTGGGGAATCTTTTGCAAAAAGAGGGGTCCATTCAGTTGGCTGGGGAGCTTAGAATTTTATCTTTGGTTTACGACCAGTATCTTCCACCTACATTTCATTTTCACTCACACCCTGCATGTGCCCCTTCAAACCTCCAAACCCTTTGTCCCTTCCTAGCCTCTCTCACCTTCCTGACAAACCTAAACAACTCATCAATATTCTCAGACGCCATACCGTAACATCATCCTTATGTCCCAACAGCTTCGTTAATTCCTGTTATCTGACCAGTTTAGTTACCTATTCCTGAGAAGCTAAGTCTTAGTGGAAAAAAAAAAGATTTGTCTGGGCACGGTGGCTCACGCCTGTAATCCCAGCACTTTGGGATGCCAAGGCGGGTGGATCATGAGGTCAAGAGATCGAGACCTTCCTGGCCAACATGGTGAAACCCCATCTCTACTAAAAGTACAAAAATTAGCTGAGCATGGTGGTGTGCACCCATAGTCCCAGCTATTTGGGAGGCTGAGGCAGGAGAATTCCTTGAAGCCAGGAGGCGAAGGTTGCAGTGAGCCAAGATCACGCCACTTCTGTTCAACATGGTACTGAAAGTTCTAGCCAGACTATTAAGCAGGGAAATAAAGTCATCCAAATTGGAAAGAAAGAAGTAAAATTATTTCTGTTCACTGGTGATATGATCTGATAAGTAGAAAACCCTAAAGACACCACTAAAAATTGCTAGAACTAATAAATTCAGTAAAGTAGCAGGATAAGAAGTCAGTACCCAGAAATCAGTTGCATTTTTATACACTCACAATGATCTAATGTCAATCATGAATCTGTTTTGAAAATGTTAAGTTTGAAATTCTTACCCTATAACCAAGTAATGATGATGATAATTTAAATAAATATACAGCCTATGATTCTAATAAAAGGGTCTGTTTAGAGATGTAGATTTGGGAGTCATTGGGGGATAGCTTATAGTTAAGGCTTTTTGTGTCAAATTATATCAATTTCCTTTCCTTCCATGTAAAATGTAACCTAATTTTCACCCATCCTAACTTTCTTTATACTAGTCTAACAAGCCTTTTTCCTTTCCAGTATCGCATATTTTCACAACCCGTATTTCCTAATGCAGCCTCTATAGCCACATTTAACTCACATCTCATCTTCAATATGTCGACCCTATGTCTAAATTGTTTCTTGTGTCTGATTTTTTATTACAGGTGTAGACATCACTATTTACTGCTTTTCCTTAGCTAAAAAGCTCATTCATCATTGATTCTTTCATTGCTTCCACCTGTGGCATTCAACTGGTTGTCAGCTTTTGCCATATATGGCCTTACAGTGATTCTCATATCTAACCTCCTCTGTTTTTCTCATGACCTCCCAAATCTTAAGCTTGAGTCTGGTGCCTTAGACCACTCAGCCATCCTGACACTTGACCTCTCAAATCTTATTCAGAATTATATAGCTAACAGTTGACTCCACCAGTCTCCCCATTCACCCTAAATTGCAATTCTGCCAGCCTGTGTTCCATTCCAGAAGCATGCCACTTTCCAGGTATTTAAAATTCCCTAGCCTCACATGTGTTTAAATTCCACTGGTACTTCAAGAATTATCTCCAGTATTACCTTTTCTGGGATACCTTCCTTGACTCCAACTCAAAATTAATTTCTGCTATCCACTAATTTTATAGCACTCTGTTTATCTATGTTTGTGTTTGGCATAGCCTGACTTTATATCCTGGTATGCATACCTATGTGTTTCCTTCTCTCTTTGGTGTAAGATCTTTAAGGATATAAATCATTCTTACTCATCATTGTCTCTTCAAGAACCAACAGGGTAACTGGCAACTAGGTATCCATTAAATACTGATCAATTTAAGTTATATATGTGATATGTCTTGGCTGTGTCCCCACCCAGATCTCATCTTGAATTGTAGTTTCCATAATCCCCACATGTTGTGGAAGAAACCAGGTGGAGATAATTGAATCATAGGGGCGGTTTTCCCCATCCTCTTTTCATGACAGTGAGTTAGTTCTCATGAGATCTGATGGTTTTATAGGGGCTTCCCCCTTCGCTAGGCACTCATTCTTCTCCTTCCTGCCACCATGTGAAGAAGTATGTGTTTGCTTCCCCTTCTGCCATGATTGTAAGTTTCCTGAGGCCTCCCCAACCCTGCAGAAATGTGAGTCGATTAAACCTCTTTCCATTATAAATTACCCAGAATCAGGCATGTCCTTATAGTAGCATGAGATCAGACTAACATGATATGTAATTTGGTTTTTTGTAATAGATATTTCCTAAATAATGTGACATTCCCAATTCCTTACTAAATTGTTCTTTCTCATAGTTAAGTAAGGTTTATCCAGCTGGCTCCATGCTTGGAAAGAAAACACAAATCCTGGCCAGAAGCCCCTTTAGTGTCTAGAATAGCTTGATTGACGTACCATTCCACCATCTATGAGAAAAGTGGGCTCTCTCTTTTACTTTGAAGAGGTGTCTTATCAAAAACATTTCTGAGGGATTACCCATCAACTTCAGAACCTTTTATTATTTCCTCTGTGGACTGATTCCAAATTATCCCCCCAACAATTTTCTTGTAGACTTTTCACCTGATAGTCACTAGGTATTCTACAGTCACCCTCACTATGAGAAGAATAAGTGCTGAAAGTAAGACAGAGGTCACACTCCCAGAAGTAAGGACTTATTCATGCAATAGGCATTGTGATTAAGTGCTCATTGTATATAGAGTAGAATACTAAATGCTGTGGAGGATCACAGGAGAAATAAAAGATGAAGGCTCTGTCTTCATTTATTTTACAAAATGAATTTGTAGGGGAGACAAAGACAACATAGATTAAAAACTTGAGAATGACAGTGTATTAGCAAATTATGAAATGTACTTATAATGTAAGTAATGCGAAGGATGGTATTTGAAAACTGGATCCCATCTCAAGGTGATTTGTTCTTTTTTCTTATGTCTTATGCTATGCCCATTTGTCTGCCTGTCCCAGTGCTTCTCCCTTTTACCAACATCAAGTTTATTTTAGATTCTTCCAGAAGACTTCTTTGGCTATTCCAGCCAACAGTTGTGCTCCACTTTTCAACACTATAGCATTTATTGTCTATTACTCTCAGTTGGCTGACATCACATAATTCCTTATTATCTTATCCATATGCCAGTAAGAATTGTCACTGTATACTGAGGTCCTATTGTGAGGGCAACTATGCGTTAAGCATGGCACACGGATTATTTCATGTAAATGCCGCAAGACCCTATGAGGTATAATTGTTTTGACTGTTATTTTACAAATGGAGAAACAAAACTATTTAATATACCCCAAACTCCATAGATTTGAATTCCGGTCAATCTAAATCCTAAAAACATACCCTAAATGTATTTCTCTGGAATAGTTCTTGGCATTTTTTGGTGGTAAGGGAGCATGTCACTCATCCCACTGAAAATTTAATAAGTTTAATTGCCATTTCTCTCAACATATGATTGCATCTTTTGGGTATAAGAAACCCAGAATAAACTCAACTAAAATCAAAAGGAAATAAGTAATAAAGATGAAGACAGAAATAAATGAAATAGAAAACAGATGCTATAGAGTAGGTAAACAAAGACAAAAGTTGGGTCTTCAAAATTTGAAAAACAAACACATGTACACACACAAAAAACCCTGGATAAATTGATTAAGAAAACAAGTAAATAAAGCACAAATTAAGAATGTTTGAAATATAAAGGAGGATGAAACTATAAAAATTTAGAAGAAACATCAGAAATTTAAAAGAAAACTAAGCATACTGTAAATAATAATTTAAGTAAATGATTTTGAACATAAATAAAATGCACACATCCATAGGAAAAAAATCTAGGCCCAGCATCATGGTTCATACCTGTAATTCCAGCCCTTTGGAAAGCTGAGGTGAGAGGCTTGCTTGAGCCCAGGAGTTCAAGACCAGCCTGGGCAATATAGGGAGACCCCATGTCTACAAATAATTTAAAAAATTAGCCACATGTGGTAGTGCCTGTAGTCTCAGCTACATGGGAGGCTGAGGTGGGAGGATTGCTTGAACCTGGGAGGTCAAGGCTGCAGTGAGCTGTGATTGCATCACTGCATACAAGCCTAAGTGACACAGCAAGACCCTGTCTCAAAAAAAAAAAATTAAAAATCTAATCAAAATTGACTCAAGAAGGAATAATGATTCTATAATCACTACATATATTGAACCCTGAATTTAAAAAATTTCCACTAAGAAAACATCACAGTATCTAACCAGTGTGGTCAAATGTCATCTTTAAGGAATGTATTCCTATCCTATAAAATTCTTCCAGAGGAAAGGATGTAATCCTCCCAAACTTATTTTATGACGCTATTACTGTCATAATGTAAACCACAGAAGCATAGTCCAAAGGAGAGAAAGTGAGAGGCCAATTTCACTCAAGAATACAGGTTCAAATGTCCTAAACAAAACACTAGCAAAGCTGATCCAGCAATGTTTAAAAGAAATGCATCATGTCCGAGTTGGTCATGATGTCAATTGATTTGACATTAGAAAATCTATCTGTATAAATTCTTGCATTAATATATTAAAAAAGAAGAACAGTGTAACTCAATTGAAGCCAAAAAATTAAATGTCATAGCCATTCATGATTAAAAAAAAGATCACTAAATCCAGATTAGAAAGAAACTTCCTTAATCTGATAAAGTTTCAATTAAAAAAACACTACAACAAAGATCATATTTAATTTTGTAATGATTAAAACATTTCCTTTTAAAAAAAGAATAAAATGCAAGAATGTCTAGCAGCACTTCTGTTCAGCATGATGTCTCATCACCCACATGAAAACCCAGTTCCCTGGGCTCTCACGGACCTACCCAATCTCATTCTTGGGTCCTTTCAGTCTTTCTCTATGACCCTTCCCAATTTTTCCCTGAGCAATATCCTAAATAATCCACTGGCATCAGTTCTAACTTAGTGTATCTGCTAGGCAGGTCAGGAAGGACTGCTCAGACTCACCAGAAGATGATTTCTTCATCCCTAAGTGCCAACTCTCTAGACTTGTTTGGAAGTCTCCCAACATGGCGTGTGGTTTCAGTCACCACTCTGTACCTCTGCCTGTGCCATCTCCTTCACCTCCTGCCTTCTCTCCTCCCTTCTGCATCATGAATCTGCCACTTCCTTCTAAAATGCAATTGGGAAGGTGATCTCCTGAGTGACTGCGTCAATGACTGTGGGGGCAGTTCCCAAAGGCAGGGAGGAGCAAGCTCTCTGGTGACTCTTTTTTTTGAGACAGTCTTGCCCTGTTGCCCAGGCTGAAGTGCAGTGGTGCGATCTCAGCTCACTGAAACCTCCACCTCCTGGGTTCAAGTGATTCTCCTGCTTCAGTCTCCTGAGTAGCTGGAATTACAGGCAACTGCTACCATGCCCAGCTGATTTTTTGTATTTTTAGTAGAGATGGGTTTTCACCATGTTGGCCAGGCTGGTCTTGAGCCCTGAACCTCAGGGGATCCACCCACCTTGGCCTCCCAAAGTGTTAGGATTATAGGCGTGAGCCACCACCCCCAGCTGACTCTTCTGACAATGGCACTAATCCTAGCTGACTTATGCTTCACCCTCATGATGTCATCTAACTGTAATTTCCTCCCTAAAGTCCCACTCCCAAATGTAATTTGACTGTTAACTGAAGAATCACTTCATAAGTGCACAGCCTCCCAGAGTGACTGAAGGATAGCAAGTATTTGGTTGCTTTTTTTCTGGCATGTTTATTTTTGAAATAATCCATCATTTCCTCAAAGCCATTTCCAATTATACACACAAATAAATTTATCTTTTTTTCTTAATGACCACAGTACTTTATCTGTGCCTGACTGACAACCCTGACTACTTTTTATCTTTTATTATAAATTTTTGTCTGTAAATCTTATCTCTCCTGTTAAGCAGTAAGCCCTCTATCTAATCTACCTTTATATATCTCAAATAATCTTAACAAATATATCAGTCTCCCATGAAAGAAATGAATGAAAATGAATAAAACAATAGATAACATATCAGATACTTAGTATGTTCTCTGCATTATGATAAGCACTTTGCATGTATTATTTAATATATACATGCAAAGCATTCTAAATGGATTCCATTAGTAACCCCACTACACAAATGAAGAAACAGAGACTGAGAGGTTTTAAAAAAATACCAATATGTCCAAAGTCACATGACTGTAACGATCAAAACCAGTTTTGCATCTGGGGCTATCACACAGCCAGTAAGCTTCACTTCTGTGCTCTTAAGCCTCCCTACAAACAGCCCTGTAAGAGACAGCAATGAATATAGGAAAGCCTCTGGTTTGGCAATCAACTCTTGCCTTCTTAGTCTGCTTAGGCTACCATAACAAAATACCATAGATTAGGTGTCTTAAACAACAGAAATTTATCTCTTACAATTCTTGAGACTGGGAAGAAAGTCCAAGATCAAGGTACTAGCCAAATAGCTTTCATTCTGGGGCCTCTTCTTTCGACTTGTAGGCAACCATCATCTCTCTGTGCACTCATGTGACTTCTTCTCTGTGCATGTGGGGCTGGTGGGGGTGGTGGGAGGAGCAAACTCTCTGGTGACCCTTCTTATAAGGGCACGAATCCTAGTTGACTTGGGCTTCACCCTTATATGTCATTTAACTGTAATTTCCTCCCCAAACCCCACCTCCAAATACCATTACATTAGACTTTGAAGCTTCAACAAATAAATTTTGGGATTTTGAGGGGACACAAACATTCAGTCAATAACCCCCCTTTCTTTTTTTATTTTTTTTTTGAGACAAAGTCTCATTCTGTTGCCCAGGCTGGAGTGCAGTGGTGGGATCTCTGCTCACTGCAACCTCTGCATCCTGGGTTCAAGCGATTGTCCTGCCTCAGCCTCCCAAGTAGCTGGGATTGCAGGTGCCTGCCACCATGCATGGCTAATTTTGTGTGTGTGTGTGTTTTTAGTAGAGACAAGGTTTTACCATGTTGGCCAGGCTGGTTTCAAACTCCTGACCTCAGGTGATCCACCCACCTTTTTTTAAACCATCAACATTTACTTTCTTACAGTTCTGGAGGCTGGAAATCCCAGATCAAGGTGTCAGCAGGTCAGGTTTCTCCGGAGACCTCTCTCTTTGGTTTGCATACAGCCATCTTCTCACTGTGTCCTCACAAAGCCTTTTCTCTGTGCATGCTCACCCCTGGGCCTATAACACTTGTAATTAAAATAAACAAATAAACAAACAAACAAAAACCTGAATGTTTAACCCAGTTCTTCCTGCTGAGAAAACGCAGGAAATCATTTGCCTCTCAGCCTTAGTCTTCTAAACTGTAAAATAAGAGATGTTATAGGTGGGTTTGAAGGTTGCTTTTACTCTATGATTTTGTGTGCTATCAAACTTGTTTACCATATTTCCTTATTACAAACACCCCCTTGCAGAGATTCCTTACCGAACTTCCTATGTGATCTAGTTAAGCTCACCTCTATACCTTTACATTCTATCTTTCCAATTCAAAGCACCTTGTCCCTTGCTCTTGACTGGTCCAGCTCTACTCTCCTTAAAGACACCACTTCCATCCTACCTTTCCTTGAAGGCCATGCCAGCCCACGCTAATCACCATCCACTCAGAGAAACAGCACTTTCTCTTTTACATTGTTCTCTAGTCATTTATTGCATGTTGTTTTGCAGTGGCATTTGAAATAGAAGCTCCTTAAGTTTAAAAATTGTGCCCTTTTTAAATGTTCTACTTCACGTACCACAACCATGGACGCACTATAAAAACTCATTTACATTTGATTATTTACTTGGGGAAAAAAATACCTGATGCTTAATGAAGAGAGAACACTGTGGGAAAATCTAAAGAGTTTACAGGATTAGTTAGAAGCTTTGGTATGACATTGTCCAAGGTCACGGTATATCAGGAAATCAGAATGGGTTTTATTGAAATCATGGCCCATAGGGTAGACCTCAGTAAATGTCTTCTGTTGACACAGCTGGATAATATAAGACAGAATGAGATCCATGTCTATTAAAATCAGCATTCCTTACTACACAGCCATACAAAAGAGGGAGATCATGTTCTTTGCAGGAACATAGATGGAGCTGGATACCATCACCCTTAGCAAACTAACCTAGGAACGGAAAACCAAATACTGCATGTTCTCACTTACAAGTGGGAGCTAAACGATGAGAACACATGGACACATAGAGGGGAGAAACACTGGGGCCTACTTGAGGGTGGTGGGTGAGAAGAGGAAGATCAGAAAAAATAACTGTTGGGTACCAGGCTTAGTATATGGGTGATGAAATAATCAGTACAACAAGCCCCCATGACATGAGTTCACTTAAATAATAAACCTGCACATGTACCTCTGAACCTAAAATAAAAGTTAAAAAAAAAAATCAACATTCCTTGAAAAAAAAAACTGGCTTTTTTTTTTAAAGGAAAAAAACAACATCAAAACCCCCAAAACAAGTAACCTACAGCAATAACACAACAATGACAAAGCCTGTCTACCAAGAAAAATGTCAGGAAAATTATAGTTAAAGCAGTGACAAGCACAGATTTTCTTTCCCAAACATGATCACTGTAGAGGGAGGACTGACAGGCTGGGCTGTTTGAACAAGCTGGTGCTTGGGTCATTTCTCTTTAGTCCTGTCTGGTTGGACACTAGTCCACGATTCGTAGTCTCCTCTCAAAATACAATCACCTCCATCTCCTCCTCTCTTCAATTCATTCTTGGATGTCACCCTCACTTCCTGCTTCACCAAGAAAAAAAAAACTAAGAGAAAGGAACTGACTCAACTTGCATAGTTCTCCTTTCTCTGCTGCCTCCTCAGGGACTCCCTCCCTCAATTATCCCCCAGATCTCAGGTATGATCACCTCTCCCATCCTATTCTCTCTCCTAACAGCACTTAAATAATTTCAAAATCTCTTTTATCTGAATAGAAAAAAAAATCCCTGCATCTCATTTTTCCTACTCCACCTCTTCTGACCTTCCATGCCAAACTGCATTAAAAATTGAACTCTCTCTGTTGTCTCTCTCCTTACCTCCCATTACCTAGTTAACCAGTTGCAGTCTGCTTCATGACATCATGAACCCTGAGATAATAAACAGTGTTCTCAAGGTCATTAAGCACCTATTTTGTTGTCAGATTCTGTAGAGCTTGGAAGTGGCTTTGAGCTCAGATGCTCTCGGGTGTGATGCCTAGCTCCTCTGTTTACCAGCTGCTTGACCCTGTGCAGTTGCTTAACTTTAAACTTCACTTCCCACCTATGTAAAATGAATATAACAAATCCTCCATCAGAGGACTGCCCTGATAATTAGGTGAGGAAATGTGTCTAATGACCTTGGCCTGATTCCTTTCTGGTGTGTGAGCATGTACTGAGGGCTTACTACTGTTGATTTCTCTACACCTTTGATCCTGTTGCTGCCTTCCTCCTTCTTGACCTCCTGTCTCTTCTTAACTTCTAATGTCATGGGTTGTTTCTGCAATGCTAATCATATCCTTCTCCAATGGTTCCTAACAAATTTAGAAATGTAATAGAAATCAAATCGGAGTCGGCTGGACACGGTGGCTCGAGCCTGTAATCCGGCACTTTGGGAGGCCAAGGTGGGTGGATCACCTGAGGTCAGGAGTTTGAGACCTGACCAGCATGGCCAGCATGGCAAAACCCTGTCTTTACTAAAATACAAAAATTAGGCCGGGCGCGGTGGCTCACGCCTGTAATCCCAGCACTTTGGGAGGCCGAGGCGGGTGGATCACGAGGTCAGGAGCTAGCAAGACCATCCTGGCTAACACAGTAAAACCCCGTCTCTACTAAAAAATACGCAAAATTAGCCCGGCGTTGTGGCGGGCGCCTGTAGTCCCAGCTACTCGGGAGGCTGAGGCAGCAGAACAGTGTGAACCTGGGAGGCGGAGCTTGCAGTGAGCCGAGATCATGCCACTGCACTCCAGCCTGGGCGACAGATTGACACTTCGTCTCAAAAAAAAAAAAAAAAAAAAATCAGCTGGATGTGGTGGTGGATGCCTGTAATCCCAGCTACTTGAGAGGCTGAGGCAGGAGAATTGTTTGAACCTGGGAGGTGGAGGTTGCAGTGAGCCAAGATTGTGCCACTGCACTCCAGACTGGAAGACAGAGCAAGACTCTGTCTCAAAAAAAAAAAAAAAAAAAAAAAAAAAAAGAAATCAAATCAGAGTGAATATGTTAGCTTAATTGCAGGTAAACCTGTATTAGGGACTTCAGGTATGGCAAAACTGAGACTTCTATCACTTTCCTCAAAGTCTAAAGGAGTTTGGACCCACATGAAATCATAGCTACATCTGACCCAGCCAGTTACACTTTTCAGTACAGACCTCACCACCTTCCTCCCTCTTTCTCATCACAGGCAGCTTGCACTAATTTTTTTTCTTAGAATCTTTTTATCTAAATCACTTTGTTTAGTTGTTTAAGAAACATTGTACATATGCACAACCTGCCAAGGCAGATTTTCCCACACTTTTTATGTTGTGCAAAAAATTCTGTAAACACCTTTAAACTAGGTTTTCATGGCTGAAATGCGATACATTTTGACCTCTATTCTCTTGTTTTGTTTTTGCAAGTCATGGGAAAATACTGATGTAACAGCTTGTTCTTTTCAGAAATTATGCTGATGGAGCTCTGATCTTTCAGCCATAGGCTGGGTCTGGCTCCAGCCAATGTACAGCAGCTTCCCCTTACCCACAGGGGATATTTCCCAGGCCCCCAGTAGACACTGAAATGTCTACTGTGAATGACATCGAGCCCTATATATACTACGTTTTTTACTACACATACATATCTATTGCTATGGTTTGGATATGATTTGTTAGGCCCGATCAAATCTCATGTCACAATTTGATCCGCAATGTTGGACGGGGGGCCAGATAGGAAGTGTTTGGATTCTGGCGGAGGATGCTTCATGAATGGCTTGGTGCCATTCTCCTGGGAGCGAGTGAGTTCTCACTCAGTTCTAGTGAGAACTGGTTTTTTCGGAGTCTGACACCTCCTCTTATCTTTTTCTTTTTTCCCTAGCGGGACGCCTTTTCTCCTTCTGACCTCGGACATCAGACTTCAGGTTCTTCAGCCTTTGGACTCTGGGGCTTGCACCAGCGGCTTCCGTGGGGCTGTCAGGCATTTGGCCTCAGGCTGGGAGCTGCTCTGCCAGCTTCCCTGCTTCTCAGGTTCCACACTTGGACTGGCTCACTGAGTTTGTGGGGCTTTTCATGTTCATAACATCATGATGCTCATCACATCATGAACCCTGAAATAATAAACAGTCTTCTCAAGATCGTTAAACACCTATTCTGCTGTCAGATTCTGTAGATATTGGAAGTGGCTTTGGGTTCATATAACTCTCGGGTGTGACTCCTAGCTCCTCTGTTTAGCAGCTGTTTGGCCTTCTGCAGTTGGCTTCTATCATTCCCCAGCTTGCAGAAATCATTTAAACCTATCTGGTGGAGGGATCTTACCTTTATGGTCATGTGAGCCAATTCTCTTTAATAAATTCCCTTTCAAATATATGTTTTCTATGGATTCTGTCCCTCTGGAGAAGGAAGCCTGACTAATACACCTATGATAAAGTGTAATTTATAAATGAGGCATAGTAAGAGTAACAACAATAAAAAAAAATAGAACATTATAACAATACACTGTAATAAAGTTACATGAATGTCTCTCTCAGGACATCTGATTGCACTATGCTCACCCTTCTTGTGCTGATGTGAGAAGATACAATGCCTTTGTGGTGAGATGAAGTGAGACAAATGAGTTAGAAATTGTGACATAGCATTATTAAATAAAATAAGGGTGACGTGCATACAAGCACATCATAGTTCATGATAAGCACTGCCATATCATGACCATTGAGCTGATAACTGAGACAGTTGCTAGTTGACTCAGGGGTTGATGACATCTACAGTGTGGATTTGCTGGACAAAGGGATGATTCATACCTTGGGTGGGACAGAGCAGGACTGGGAAAGATTTTATCACTCTACTCAGAACAATGCACAATTTAAAACTTATGAATTGTTGATTTTGGGAATTTTCCATTTAATATTTTCAGTCTGTGGTTGACCTTGGGTAAATAAAACTGGAAAAGAGGAGACAACTGTATTAGCTGGCAGAGAGAAAAATGGGACTTGCTTCCCTGAACAGCCCCCAGAAACTTAGTGGAAACCATAAAATTTTTATGTTGCCCATTCATAGACACTCACATGTTGGGTAAGGGTGTGAGGCTTCTGGGGTTTCCACATTTACAGGATGGTCCAGGAGCTACCTCTACAGGACATGGCAAGACAAAGGCAGAAGCAAGTAAGTGTCCGGTGCAGGACCTTTGCAAGCAGTGAGCACTTGCTTAAATTTTACCCTGTGATTTCAAAGCCAGTCCCACATTCCAATCGTACTCTGTTTTGTTGTTTCATTTTGTTTTCCATAGCTTCTAAGCGGGATGCCAAATCTGTAATTAACCAATCCTCAGGCTATACAATAATAGAAATAGTTTATATTAGAGGGATGACTCACTGGCTGTGCTCCAAAGAAGTTCTGTTCAATTTTTCAAATTGAAATATATTTTATTTTATTTTATTTTTTATTTTTATTATTATCTTTTTTTTGAGACAGAGTCTCGCTCTGTCGGCCAGGTTGGAGTGCAGTGGCGCGATCTCGGCTCACTGCAAGCTCTGCCTCCTGGGTTCACGCCATTCTCCTGCCTCAGCCTCCCGAGTAGCTGGGACTACAGGTGCCCGCCACCACGCCCGGCTAATTTTTTGTATTTTTAGTAGAGACGGGGTTTCACAGTGTTAGCCAGGATGGTCTCAATCTCCTGGCCTAGTGATCCACCCGCCTTGGCCTCCCAAGAAATATATTTTATTTTATTATAGAGTCAAGAGGTACATGTGCAGGTTTGTTACATGGGTGTGCTGTGTAATGCTGGGGTTTGGGCCTCTAGTGAACCCATCACCGAAATAGTAAACCCAATAGGTGGTTTTTCCAAACCTGGTCCCCCTCCCTCCCTCACTGCTTTTGGAGTTTATTGTTTCTATCTTTATGATAATACTTACCCATTGTTTAGTTCCTGCATATAGGTGAGAACATTTCGGTTTTTTTCCTGCATGATTTCGCTGAAGATAATAGCCTCCAGCTGCATCCATATTGCTGCTAAGGACATGAATGTGTTCTTTTTTATGTCTGTGTAGTATCCCCTGGTATATTTGTAACACATTTACTTTATCCATTCCACTGTTGGCAGACACTTAGGTTGATTCCATGCTTTTGCTCTTGTGAATAATGCTGTGATGAACCTATGAGTGCATGTGTCTTTTTTATAAAACAATTCTTTTCATTTGTACCCATTAATGTGATTGCTGGGTCAAAAGATCGTTCCATTTTTAGTTCTTGAGAAATCTCTGTACTGTTTTCCATAAGGGTTGAACTAATTTGCATTCCCACCAACAGCATAAGCATTCCTTCTTCTCCACAACCTCACCGACATCTGTTATTTTATGACTTTTTATTTTTTATTTTATTATTATTATTATTATTATTATTATTATTATTATTATTATTTTGAGACAGAGTCTTACTCTGTCACTCAGGCCGGAGTGCAGTGGCGTGATCTCGGCTCACTGCAAGCTCTGCCTCCCAGGTTCACACTATTCTCCTGCCTCAGCCTCGCGCGTAGCTGGGATTACAGGCGCCTGCCACCACCCCTGGCTAATTTTTTTTTTTTTTTGTATTTTTATTAGAGATGGGGTTTCACTGTCTTAGCCAGGATGGTCTTGATTTCCTCACTTCGTGATCTGCCTGCCTCAGCCTCCCAAAGTGCTGGGATTACAGGCATGAGCCACCGCGCCCGGCCTCTTTTTTGACTTTTTAACAATAATCATTCCGGCTGGTATGAGATGGTATTTCATTGTGGCTTTAATTTGCATTTTTCTGATGATTAGTGATGCTGAACATTTATTCATGTTCGTTGGCCACTTACATGTCTTCTTTTGAGAAGTGTCTGTGAGACGGCATATTCTATAAGCAGTTGAGAATATCAGAGTACTAAGAAAATAATTCTGGAATAAGAATTATAAGGCCTCTCACAGCTGTAATCCCAGCACTTTGGGAGGCCAAGGTAGGCAGATCTCGAGGTTGGGAGTTCAAGACCAGCCTGGCCAATATGGTGAAACCCCTTCTCTACCAAAAAAATACAAAAATTAGCTGAGTGTGGTGGCATGCGCCTATAGTCCCAGCTACTCAGGAGGCTGAGGCAGGAGAATCACTTGAACCTGGGAGGCAGAGGTTGTAGTGAGCTGAGACTGCACCACTGCACTCCAGCCTGGGTGACAGCGCAAGACTCCATCTCAAAAAGAAAAAAAAAAGAATTATAAGGCCTCTATTTTACTACCCAGTCTGACACTACCTACCCAGGTAGTCATAGCTTTGGACAAGTCACACAGGTCTATAAAAACCTTTATTTAATTAACAATAAAATGGGAAATTTTGATAACTAGATTCCATCCAGTTCTATAAATTGTTTGACAAAGAATTCAACGTGTACCTATTTAGACAGTTTGGATTTGGGGATGTTAAACTGTGTTAGAGCCAAGACTCAACTCCATTCCCTTTGCCATATATTCTGGAAGTGGTGCCTTACCTGTTTCTTTGCAATGAGCAGAAGTATTGGCAAAGCTATGTTTCTTAATGCTGGAGAGCTGCTTTATATAACCCTATCTAGAAGATAATGCCTTTTCCTCTACTAAAAATCTTGACAGAGACAAATCTTTTGACTGTAAGGAACCCCAGAGCTGTAATAACCGTTGATCAGTTGGGTTAGATTCTAGGAAGAAGATTCTCGTAGCATGCAGTTGGCCAGAGGGACCCCAACTGTCACTGCATTCATGTCAATATGCAATTATGAAATAAAGCAGCAGGATGTGTACAGTTTGGTTTGAAAGTGAACTCTTAATCCAAAATCAAATTTCTCCTGGAGGGGCAGAGTACTAGGAGGTGGCTTTCTTCTACTAAGTGAGCTGGGCTGTGTGGCCATCCAACCATATGCATGGAGAAAGAGCATATCTCAGTGGCATTGAGATTCTGTAGGATTGTACCTTAGCTTAACATTAAATTTAATCTTGTTTGGTAAATTCAAAATCATATATAATATGTAATAGCTCAGTTAACCCACAAGCATGCCTCTGGCAGGTACTATATGCCTGGCACTATGGGAAGTTTCAGAGGTATAGCTATAGCTGCAAAACTACAAGCTACTGCCCCTCCCCAGGAATAACTGATTATGCAGAACCTCTCATCTAAAACAACATTGCTATGAGTAAATATTTCATGACTGTAGAAAAAAAGTGGATGAATTTACCTAATTGTAGGTGACCTAGGAAAAGTTTCTTACACTTTCTTTGTGTCCACTACTTTATCTGATAAAATGGAAATAATAATAATAATACACACTTTTAGCGTTTATTAGGAAGATTAAATGAATTGATACAGAAAAGTGCTCAATAAATGTTAGCCTTTATTATTAGTTGGGAGATAAAATACTTATGCACATAAAAAACAAAAGATAAAATTCTGTGATGAAATAATAAATGATCCATCATAGGCAAGTAGAAAATAGGTGAACTCTGTTAAATTGGGATTTCCTGGGGTGAAATAGATAAAGCACAAAGACAAATTGACTAAGAGAAGCATCAGTATGGGTGGAGCTTATGCTTGGATGGGGCCTGGAAGGATGAGTGGGAGGTGGCTGGGCAGATGGAGGGGATGGCAAGATGGTAAGCTGTGAATGATTGAAACTTCAGTATCAGTTTACTACACACATGAATATTTAAGAATTCAACTTTCAGGGTGCTATAGAAATCTACATATACAATGTTGAGATAAATATGGGCTTGTATAAGTTGAATTATTGGAGAGACTCTATCTTCATGTTATTGTGTGCACTCACATACACGCACGTGCTTCAGTTTTCAAATGCATAGCATGGAGCAGGCATGAATCACATCTTCCCCAGTGATTCAGGAACAAGGGATAAATATGATCTCCTAATAATTTTGTACATTTGTTTTTAATAATGCTAGATTACATCCTAAAATTTGTCCAGCTATTCTCAAATATAATCAAGTATACTAAAATCAGTAAGGTAAGATAAATTATAATTTATTAATTACATCAAATAGTATGTTTTGAGGTAATTGCATACCCAGTAAGGGGATCACTTCTGAGAGTATCAACAGTGATACAGGAAGGGTGCACATGAACTGGGGGAGGGACTATGGTAAGATGACTATAACACCCTAAGGGTTAACATGAAGAATAAGAGACTCTGAAGTACTAACACTTCCCTCAAGTATCATGACAATGCGTTACATCTTTATTTACTCAACACCTATCAGTTGTTGACTATATTACATGATGAAGATGCAGCACAGATTAGAAAGAAACATGCTCTGCCTAGCTGCTTAATCAATATTGTATGATTAAGTTGTCTAATCACAGTATATAATTATACATCTTTGTAGAGCATAAAAGAAATGTACAAAGAGTACATTTCAGGGTCCCTGTAGCTACTTGGGGGAAGGATGAGCAGAGTTTGTTAGTGTAACAGCTACAACTGTAACCCATCTAGCATACAACTGGAAAATTCCTTTGTTGTTTTCAGAGAGGAAGACAGAAATTCTAGTCATCTTTGGACAAGATGAGGGAAAAGTTGGCTGACTTTGGGCTCTGGCTACCATGAACTCATGTTAACAAAGGGCCTCCATGGTCAGGTGCGGTGGCTCATGCCTATAATTCCAGCACTTTGGGAGGCCAAGGCAGGCAGATTGCTTGAGCTCAGGTGTTTGACACTAGCCTGGGCAACATGGTAAAGCCCCATCTCTACCAAATACAAATAAATTAGCTAGACATGGTGGTGCATGTCTGTGATCCCACCTACTCAGGAGGCTGAGGTGGGAGGATCACTTGAGGCCGGGAGGGGGAGGTTGCAGCGAGCCAAGATCATGCCACTGCATTCCAGCCTGGGCGACAGAATGAGACCCCATCTCAAACAAAACAAAACAAAACCACAAAGGGCCTCCTCAAATCATTCACATGTGTCCTCAGGGCAAGAGATGTGTGGGATTATTTGGCCAAGCCACAATCTCTAACGCCTCCTTCTCATGTCCATCTGTGTGCACAAATAGACACACACACACACGTGCGTGTATGCACACACACTCATCAAAGCCATATCTGCTGCCTGTGCATCGAGAAATAATTGCCAGTGTTGCCCCCTGCCCTTCTTCATTACCCATGCAAAAGGTAGAAGAGCTCAATTCATCACAAAAGCCTGGGGCTGCGCAAGAAGTCTTGAATTTGTCCAAGCCTCCCCGACATTGCCCAGGGCAGAGAAACCAGATCTGCTGCTTGAGTCTCTCACAGATCAATTTTCAGGATTAAGCAGAAATAATCCTCCAGGCTGAAATGAAATATTCTACAGGACAACTCAGCTGCCAATGCATATATTCCATACACCCCAAACTGTGGGCAATTGAGCAATTCCTATTTTGCAATGATAAATACAAACAAATACTTATTGAATGTCTAATAGATCTCTGTGCTATATTTGCACTGGGCATTGCTGGAATAAAAAAGATTGTGAAGGTGCATACAGCCTGATGTAAAATGCCCATTAATTAGGTAAATTACAGGGTGGTGAGTGCCTCCCAGGGGGGTACCTTGAGAGCATATGGCCTCTACGTGGATGTGATTCTTAGGCTGAAGGACGAGAAGGGCTTAGGTGAGAGAAGGGTAGTGGGCAGGAATATCTTAATGTTCCAAACTGAGGGAACACAGGTAGATAAGAACAAATTGGGGAAGAAAGGCGGTTAAAAATTTGAGTCCTGGACAGGATTTGTCTGTTTGATTCTGAATCCACTTCCTGTGAGTTTGCTGTCATCCTCAAGGTACTGCCCCATAGGGATGACATCAAAAGGTTCATTTGCCCTGGGCTTCTGTTTGGCCAATAGGGAGTTTTGGCAGATATAAGAGGGAGGGTGGAAAGTGAGTGCAGGCTATTAGTACCTTTTCTTTTTCTAGGTTGCCTTGGGCTGATAGTGTCCTTTGATCAAAGGTCACTACTCCTTTCAAAGTGGCATTCTCTGCCTACTTCTGCCTTGCCTGGTTGGGATAGCTCATTCTCTCTTCATCCCTTCTGGCCTAACTGATAGCCTGTTACTGGTCCCAGGTAACTGTATGGATCTTCGGAGACGCCCTACACCTAGCTGCACCATTGTCTGTGGCCCATTTATCATCTTAATATTTTAATTTGGATGTGCCATCTGTTTCCCATTAGGATGCTAACTGATGCAGTTATAGAGCTGAATTCTGTGCAGAATAGCTATGTAATGATCTCAAAACCAAAGAAACCTCAGTTTGTCTGAATCCCTTTTAACCAGGAGTGGTCATACAACATAATTCAGGCCAGTGAGATGCAGCCAAGCATTGTAAAGGGGAGATTTCTAGAAATGTTCTTTAAAAAGGGGACTGTCCCAGATGGTTTGCCTCTCTGTTTCTTTAGCTCTTTATTCTCTTTTTTTCTTGGACAGTGGACACAGTGCCCACATTTTGAGCCTCAAATGAAAGCAACAAACTAAGGATGGAGCAGAGAGCCAAGAAGGAGTCTGTGAGCTTAAGGCATTGAAAGGTCACAGTACTAACTGTGGCCTGTTAATTTCCAGATTATAGTTACATAAGGAAAATAAACCCACATGTGAACGAGTCACTGTGATTGGGTTCCTGTCCACAAGCAGCCGATACAATCATAACTGATAGTACTTTTCTCCAATTCTGCTTGCCTTATACTGGATGTATATATAATTTTCCTGACTTCTTTCTGTTTCAATGGCTCAAGTCTGGAACTCTGTTTATTGGCTTCTCTAGCTTTTGATAACACTTCTTCTGGCTTTTCACTTCCAGGTTCCTCAATCTTGTGCCTTTTCAGACTACCTACCTAGAAAAGAACGTGAACAGACATTTCTCAAAAGAAGACAGACAAGTGGCCAAGAAACATATGAAAAAATGTTGAACCTCACTAATCAGCAGAGAAATGTGACTCAAAACCGCAGTGAGACACCATCTCATACCAGTCAGAATGGCCATCATTAAAACATCAAAAAATAATAAATTTTGGCTAGGTTGCAGAGAAACGGGAACTCTTATACACTGTTGGTGGGAATGTAGATTAGTTTAGTCACTGTGGACACCAGTTTGGATATTTCTCAATTCTCTTGCTGGCTGTATACCCAAAGGAAAATAAATTGTTCTATCAAAGACACATGAACACGAATGTTTATTGCAGCGCTATTCACAATGGCAAAGACATTGAATCAATCTATGTGCTCATCAATGGCAAATTGGATTTAAAAAAAAGTGGTACATATACATCATGGAATACTATGCAGCCATAAAAAAACCCAAAATGATGTCCTTTGCAGCAACATGGTTGCAGCTGGAGGCCATTATCCTAAGTGAATTAATGCAGAAACAGAAAACCTAATACTGCATTTTCTCGCTCATAAGTAGGAGCTAAACATTGGGTACACATGGACATAAAAATGGAAATGGTAGACACTGGGGACTCCAAGGGAGAGGTAGGTGGGAGAAGGGGAAGGGTTGAAAAACTACCTATTAGGTTTTTTTGTTTGTTGGTTGGTTTCTTGTTTTTTGAGACAGTCTCACTTTGTCTCCCAGGCTGGAGTGCAGTGGTGCAGTCTCGGCTTACTGCAACCTCCACCTCAGGAGTTCCAGTGATTCTCCTGCCTCAGCCTCCTGAGTAGCTGGGATTACAGGTGCATGCCACCATGCTTGGCTAATTTTTTGTATTTTTAGTAGAGACGGGGTTTCACCTGGTTGGCCAGATTGGTCTTGAGCTCCTGACCTCAAGTGATCTGCCCGCCTTGGCCTCCCACAGTGCTGGGATTACAGGAGTGAGCCACCGCGCCTGGCCCTTATTAGGTATTATGTCCACTATTTGGGTGACGGGATCAGTAGAAACCCAAAGCTCCGCATGGGTGCAATATACCCTTGTAGGAAACCTGCACATGTGGCCCTTGAATCTAAAATTAAAAATAGGAAAAGGACTACCGATCTAAAAACTAGGCTCTTTTACTAACTCCAGGATATTTGCTGGTAAACCTTTGTGTGCAGCTCTCTGAAACAGCTCCAGAATTCTTGACTCTAGGAAGAAAATGGTACATAGCAAGTTAATGTAGTAGAATACTTACTGCAGTTGAAATCAGAGGATCTGGATTTATTTCTCTATTATTTTCTGCTTTGTGACCAGGGGCAAGTTTAGTCATCTCTCTTAGACTCAGGTTTTATCATTAAAAAAATGTGATAAGCTGGTTTTACTTATGCCATAAAGTTGTTGTGAGATTAAAAATCAAATAAAAATGTTTTTCAGCTTTGAAAACAGCCCCGCAGCATCATAATGCAAGCATTATTATTAAAATCTGGGAATGACGGTGCTAGGACATTGGGTAAGAGCCAGGACATCTGGATGGTTATGAGCCTAGAGGAGTCATTTAACCTTCTGATACTTCAGGGTTTCCAGTAGCTAAATAGTGATATTATTAACATCATCTGCCTCACAGGGTTTTAGGATATTTACTATCCCAAATAAAGCTGCCTTGGGACATTTGACTTTTTTTTCTCATTGTTGAGGTCTTAGCTAGTGATATAATAAGAAGTGAGGGATCCACAAATAAATTAGGTCAGAAATTACCTTATTATTGTAAAATACAGGAATCTGGATATTTCTTGCAATCCTGTTTATTTTCTCCTCTGGAGCTGGAGAAAGGAGGCATTTGGCAGATATTTCCTTTTGTCTGAATCTGGCTTTCTCTCCATTTCATTTGGCACTTTCTCTACTTACGAAAGCCATGGGTAATTAACTTCCATCTACTAAGTCACTGAGGTCCTCTGCACTACTTCCTCAAGAATTAATTTCTAAAATGAACTGCCAGCTAGGTTTTCCTGCACTTAAGCGGTAAACTCCTGCAAGCTACCTGCCAAGAGAACATGGTATAAGGGGGTATTGCACACACACACACAATGTGTATAGCACCAAAAATGGGCTGGTTAACATAAAAGGTGGGGTGGCACAGCCATTTTAGAGCCCAACGCTGGAGCTGGACTTCGTGGATTTGAACCCCATCTTCTGATTGCGTGACTTTGGGCAAGTTACCTGATTTTCTCGTACATCTATTTTCTCTTCTAAAAAATAGGAATGATGAGAGTACCATTTACATAAGTTTGTTGTAAAGATCAAATCACATTATAGACAAAATGCTTAGAACAGTACCTGGCACATGGTAAGATTATATGGGGTTTTCCTATCCTGGCCATCAGACTAGAGATCCATGTTTGGAAACTCAGATCCCTCCAGGAGCCAGAGAGGTGATAATAGCAGATGTGGGTACTCTGGAAATTGCAGTAACCAGAGACTGCAGATCCCATCCAGAGCAGGCAGTTGATACTCTGCTCCACTCCATTATTACCAAGGTGAGAATGTGGGCCAACTGTGTCAGAGGATTCAATTACTTAAGCTAAGCTAGAGGCTGGCTGCAGTGGCTCACACCTGTAATCCCAGCACTTTGGGAGGCCAAGGCAGGTGGGTCCCTTGAGCCCAGGAGTTCAAGATCAGCCTTGGTGTCAGAGCAAGACCCCCTCTCGAAAGAAGAAAGAAGGAAGGAAAGAAAGAAAGAAAGAAAGAAAGAAAGAAAGAAAGAAAGAAAGAAAGAAAGAAAGAAAGAAAGAGGGAAGGAAGGAAGGAAGGAAAGAAAGAAAGAGAGAAAGAGAGAGAGAGAAAGAAAGAGAGAGAGACGAACTAGAAATTTTATTTTCACTGTAATTTCAAATATTAAGTAATTTAAAAACCTTTAACACTGTACTTACACCAAACAAGACATAGCCAAGGGCTGAATTCAGCCTACAAGCCTCTGGTTTACAATATTTGCATTAGAAACGCCTAGAGTAGATGGGCATCTATATAACTCAGCTTTGTAATTTCATGTACTGTTTCCCAACCGCTGGGTTCCTAATCTTGGAAAAATCTGCTTGAGCCAGGACTGCACCTGCATCTTGAATTGAATAAACTGGTACTGGAAAGAGGAGCATGAGCACCTGCTGTGTGCCAGCTTGTGCCAACAACTGAAAAATGTGATCTTACTACTGTCTCATAAAGAGGTGCAAGGTGGGCACGCCCATCCTGGTTTCATAAATGAGATAACCCAGACTCAGAGAGATTCAGCAACATGCCCAAGTTTATGTGGCCACAGTTGACAGAGCAGAGATTCACATTCAGATCTGTCTGACACCAAAGCCCATGTACTTGACCACTTCATAAAATGGCTTGTCAATTCAGTTAAACATATGCAGATAATGTTAGCCACTGATACAATACATACATTCCAAAGTCTTCATGGCTTAATCCAGTTGTAGGTTATTTCTCACTTACCCAACACCCAAAAGTATGTATCTGACCAGCAGGCAGCTTCTCGCCAATCATTCAGGAACCATCTTCTAGCTCAGCTCTCTTTTACCGTGGTTGCCAACAGGAGAGTGTGGGGAAGAACATGGAGTATATCACACCAGAGGGATTTATGGGTGGGGCTTGGGAGTGGTGCGTGTCACTTCCAAGCACATGCCACGTCTCTGAGTCCAGACACAGACCACACAGGACAGGGCAAGGGAGGCTGAGAAATGTCATCAAGATATGACCCAGAAGGAAGAGAAAACCAGGTTTGGTGAACATCTAGACATCTCTGGCAAAGAAGTTTGGCTGTCAATATTCTTATCTAAAAGGCAATAATTTTTTTTTTTTTTTTTTTTTTTTGGTAGGGACAGAGTTTCACTCTTGTTGCCCAGGCTGGAGTACAGTGGTGCAACTGTGGCTCACCACAACCTCCACCTCCTGGGTTCAAGCAATTCTCCTGTCTCAGCCTCCGGAATAGCTGGGATTACAGGCATGTGCCACCACAGCTGGCTAATTTTGTATTTTTAGTAGGACGGTTTTTCTCCATTTTGGTCAGGCTGGTCTCAAACTCCTAACTTCAGGTGATCTGCCTGCCTTGGCCTCCCAAAGTGCTGGGATTACAGGTGTGAGCCACCGCGCCCGGCTGGCAATAATTTTTTTAACCACCTGGATCCAGTGCATTCTTCCTTGGGGAGTCTTTGTAATTAGATCATGGGATTTTCAGCCTATTTTGTCCATGAGGTGATGATGAAGTCTCATCAGTAGCTATATTCCCATGAACATGTTTGGCTTTTTCTGCATTAGCATATTACAGAGGTCTTTTCTTTCTGATAGTTTATAACCTCAAAAAAGTTATGATGTGGACAGTCCCTTTAAATCCCATAATCCATCATCAATGATAGTATTATGTAGTAACTCCCACTTTTAAATTGAATTTTAGTGCTCTCCATTAACAGTTCACTAGAGAGAAATGACAAATAATTTCATGGCTCAAGAGCAAAAGACATATGAATTCAGCAAAAACCCACAGGGTCTGGCAGCAGTGATCAGTAGGGGGTGAACAAAATATGTAGCCTTTAAATTAAGGCTATTTGCTTTCCATCTTTCTAATTGCACAATTTAGTATCACAAAGGATCATTAGCGCATCTTTTTTAGAAGAGTGTTTTGCTATTGTCCTGGATTAAGAGTGTGTCTTCTTGCTGCTGTTGTTTCTCGTTGCCCCATGTTTGTTTACAGGCAGAGGAGACTGGAGCCTTAAAAGCTGAAAATCTTTGCTTCAATGTATCAACCAATTTCCCATTCTCATTGAAAAGAAGATGTTCCAGGGTCCCTCATTTTTTTCTTTCCATGAGGTTTTTTTTTTTTTTTATTCCTTTTAAACTCTTCAAGAAAGAATAGCACTTTAGGCTCAGTTTATTGGGAAGATTTGTAAATGCATCCAGAATTGGCTTCCTCATACAATGTCCTTTTTAAACGCGAGGAACATCCCCCTAGGACATTGTATGCACTCAGCACAGCTCCCTCTGCACTAGCCACATCAGGAAAAGAGGGCAGGATGACTGTCTTATGTAACCTCCACCTCTGGGCCTCTACAGAAAGAAGAAACTAGTAACTTTATTGAGATTTATCCCTTGTCTATAGGAATAAGCCCCTACCCAAACTACAGGGACGTCACTCCATAGCTGGCCATTGTTTGACCTCCAAATACTCTGGGCACCACGTATGAAAGGGAAATCTAATGATGATGTAAGAAAAGCTAACAGCATTATTTGTTCATTGTTAGGAAGTGAAGAAATTTCAGGTCCTGACATTCCTGTCAATCTCATAAGAAGCTATTCTCCATTCAGCCCCTGGCAAGAGGTATAATTCCATCGGAATCCACAGAGGTTTGATGATGGTCTGAACACCATCTTACTGTGTCATTTGTTGAAAATCAGGTCACTCACCTGTTCCAGAGAGCCCCCGATATGATCAGAGAAAGCTTCAGAACCGTCTTGCTCTGCTGCTACTCTCACCCTGAGAAGATCCTCAGTCTGACTCCTGGCAATGTGGTAACACAGCTCGGAGAACCAGAAGGTTAAAGTCTTCACATCCCCTTCTAGAGTTCGTCTGCTTCAAAACCATTTGCCCCTCCCAGACACTATATCCGCACTTATTCTTAGAAATAACTTGACCATCAGCACCGTTTTATAGAACAC
Organism: Homo sapiens; assembly: GCF_000001405.40. Classification (NCBI taxonomy): domain Eukaryota; kingdom Metazoa; phylum Chordata; class Mammalia; order Primates; family Hominidae; genus Homo; species Homo sapiens. The sequence continues at coordinate 40,363,018 of NC_000008.11, forward strand.
TTACTATGTGCCAGGCATTGTTCCAACTTTCCTATAAATATTACAAAACCAAAATATCTTTTATGTAACCATGTTGTATATTAAAGACTCATATCTGTTATTAATTAATTAATTAATTAGCTACTTTAAAAATTTGAGATAGAGTCTCACTCGGTCACCCAGGTGGGAGTGCAATGGCACAATCTCGGCTCACTGCAACCTCTGCCTACTGGGTTCAAGCGATTATCGTGTCTCAGCCTCCGAGTAGCTGGTACTATAGGCATGCACCACCTCACCTGGCTAATTTTTGTATTTTTAATAGGGACAGGGTTTCACCATGTTGGTCAGGCTGGTCTCAAACTCCTGACCTCGGGTGATCCACCCACCTCGGCCACCCAGAGTTCTGGGATTACAGGTGTGAGCCACTGTGCCCAGCCTCTGTTAATTTATTAATTCATTTGTTCCTTTATTCACCAGGGCACTCCATTCGCAATAGTGACAGCTGCCATAGGGTTTCAGCATTTCGGAGTCTTACCAAACATTAGCAAGCTTATTGTCGTCATACTATCCATGGACATTATGGGAGCCAGCAATTTGTTGTCTAATGTTCAAGTCAAAATAATACAATATGTCAAAGCTTTATATGGGCTAATGTTTGTTCCTCATTTCACAGTATTTTCACAATCTCCACTTCAATGTCTTTCTGCAGACCAAAAAAAAAAAAAAAAATCTTATGACAAGTGAATCTTCATTCTAAGCAGTGAAAGAAAGGAAATGTACAAATATCATATTTACCTATGCAGTTAAAGATGTTTTATCCTTGAAGATCTCAATATAGAGACTGTATCTTTTCCTTGCTGGCTCTTACAGACTTGCAATAGGCAGCAACAGCTCATAAATACTACAAAATTATTCAGCTTTTTAAGGTGCTGCTCCCAAGATACTATTGCTTACATCTGATACTGTTAGCTGTATTTCTTCCCAAATGCCTGGCATCAATATGATATAATACCAACATTATGTAAATTCTACATCTAAAAGGATGGAAAACAAAGAATCTTAGCACCTCTATTAAAAATATTCAGAAATATCTTTTGTCTTTGGGCCTAAAATATTCAGAAATAAATAAAATGCAGGTTAATTAGGAAAACATAGAATCTTAGAAAACAAAACACTGAAGATAAAGAACAAAGGGAAGGAAAATGCAGGCCTGAGTAGGTTGGAAGCTCATTTGATGAATTGAGACATCTTTTTCTTTAACACACCAGTATGGCCTGATGTAATTGATAACCAATTTGTTATGCCTAATCCCAGCAGAAACCTATCATCCACATCTACTATGTAATTGCTCTAAGAGTAGGAACAATTTCATTTTAGCTGGAGACCTAGACATAGAAACACATCATTTTAGTACACACAACATAGTACAGTAGTGATGTAATGCAGCTAGTAGGAGAGAATTTTTTAAAATACCTGAGGGGTAATCCTTAACCTAATTACTACTAACAGACGCAAGCTTCTCCTCCATCTAAATTCTTGGAAATGTTGTCAATGACTTTTCAAATTGCTGGTCACAGTCTTTGTTGATTCTATTTCTCTTCCTATTGGAAGAATTGGTTTTAGTTGTCATCTCCGTTCCCTTTTTCTTAAAAACCTGTACAGTTCATGCTATTAAAAACCTGTACAGTTCATGATGACTTCCATACTCATCACCACCAAAGAGTTCTCTATGTTGCTGATTCCAATTGGTGTTATTTAGTACTGTTTTTCTCAGCCTCTCATAAAGATGACTGGCTTGTATGGTTATCCTCCCAATCTTCTAGAATTGAGTTGTCTTTTTCTTGTTGAGTTGGAGTTCTTTATTATTCTAAATATAAGTCCCTTATTTTATATATATGTGTGTGTGTGTGTGTGTGTGTATGTATATAAGGTGCATATATATATTTAAGGTCACCCAGGTTGGAGAGCAAAGGCACAATCTTGGCTCACTGCAACCTCTGCCTCCTAGGTTCAAGTGATTCTCGTGCTTATATATATAAGGGGTGTGTATGTGTGTGTGTGTATATATATAGTATATATATATACACATATATAATAAGTTTTATATATAAGGTGTGTGTGTGTATATATATATATACACACACACATATATATACAATTTGCAAATAATTTCTCCCATTCTCTGACTTGCTTTTTTACTTTCTTCATTATGTCATTTGAAGCACAAAAGTATTACTAACTTACCCTTTTTTTTTTGGTCACTTGTGCTTTTGTCTAAGCTGGCTTTGACTAACCCAATATCACAAAGTTTTACTGCTATGTTTTCTTGGAAAACTTGTATAGCTTTAGCTCCTACATGTATGTCTATGACACATTTTGAGTTATTTCTGTTTATGGTGTGAGGAAGGGATTTGACTTCATTCTTTTGCATTGGTGTGTCTACCTATTGTGGCACAATTTGTTTAAAATAGCTATTCTTTTTACCATTGAATTATTTTGGCACCCTTGCTGAAAATCAACTTACTGTAAATGTAAGGGCTCATTTCTGAACTCCCAATTCTATTTTGTTACTCTATATGTCTATACTTATGCCAACACCACACTATCTTGATTGCTATATGTTTGTGTTAATGTTGACATTGGGAAGTTTTTTTAGTCTGTTGAGCTACTATAACAAAATATCATAGATTGAGTGCCTAATAAAAAACACAGGTTTATTTCTCACAGTCCCAGAGCCTTGGAAATCCAAGGTGCCAGCAGATTCAGTGTTTGGTGATGGCTGGATTTCTTATAGATAGCAGCCTTCTCCCTGTAACCACACATTGTGGAAAGGGCAAGGGAGCTCTCTGGGGTATCTTTTATAAGGCTGCTAATCTCATCCATGAGGACTCTGCCTATAACCTAATCACCTCTCAAAGGCTCCATCTAATACTATTATCTTAGTGATCAGGACATCAATGTATGAATCAGAGGAGGACATAAGCATTCAGTGTAGTGTAGGAAATATGAATCCTTTAATTTTGTTCTTCTTTTTCCAGATTATTTTGGCTAGTCTGGGCCTCTTGAATTGTCATATAAATATTAGGATAACTTCTCATTTTCTGCAAAAAAAAAAAAAAAATTGGAATTTTAACTGGTATTGCATTGGATCTATAGATAAACTTGGGAAGTATTACCATTTAACAATAGGAAGTCTTTCAACTCATGGACATGGGATGCCTTTCCATTTATTTACATCTTTCATGTATTACAGCAATTTTATTGTTTTCAGAGTAAAAGTCTTATACATCTTTTGTTAAATTTATTTCTGAGCATTTTAATATTTTGGATGATATTGTAAATTGAACCTTTTTAAAATTTCTATTTTGAATTGTTTGTTGCTAAGGTAAAGAAATACAATTTGATTTTTGTATGTTGATCTTATATCTTTCAACCTTGATGAACACATTTATAAATTCTAATAGGTGTTGGATGGATTCCTTAGGATTTTTAAATATGCAGGTTCATATCATATGCAAATGGAGGTAGTTTTACTTTTTTGTCTCATTTTATTGCCAAGTTTCCCAGGCTAGAACTTCCAGTACAATGCTGAATGGAAGTATTGAGAGTAAACATCCTTGTTTTGTTACTGATTATAGGGGGAAAGCATTTGCTCTTTTATTTTCAAGTATGATGTCATCTGTGAGTTTCTCATGCATAGACTTTATCAGTGTGAGGTAGTTCCCTACTTATAGAGTGCTGTTGTTTTTATCACAAAAAGGTGTTAGATTTTTGTCAAATACTTTTTTGGCACCTCAGATGATCATTGTGGATTTTGTCCTTTATCCAATTTATATAGTATATTACATTTATTGATTTTTGGATATTGAGCCAATCTTCATTATTAGGATAAATCCAACTTTGTCACAGTGTGTAAGTCTTTTTTAGATGTTTCCAGATTCCATTATCTAGTGTATTGTTGAGAATTGTTATGTCTATAATCATAAAGGATAGTGATCTCCAATTTTCTTTTCTTGTGATAGCTTTATTTAGTTTTGAAAGTTTTTTATTTTTAAAGTGAACTGGTTTGCTACCCCATTTTCAACTTTCCTGTTAACTTCTCAGAGAATAATAGCCAGAATCTTTAACCTGGTCTGCAAAATGCTGCAAAGCCATACTCAGTTATTGCTGGCTTCCTCACTTCTTTTTCCTTTCACATTTTAGAACGTTCTCTCTTTCCTATATGTCTGATATGTAGTAGGTGTTCAATTAAATTTTTATTAAGTAAGCAATATTTATAATTATAATTTTCTATAATTATAAGTTTAAAAACTGGTTACATGTCCAGCAGTGCTGTAAATGTTTTATGTATATTAACTCATTTAACCTATACAATGACCTTTTCTTGTAGGTATTGTTATTCCTGATTACAGATAAGAAAACAGAGGCAAAGAGTTATTGAGCAATTTGCCTGTGGTGCCAGAGCTAGTAAGAGATAGAGCAAGGACTCAACTCTAGAGGCTGTTTACAGAAACGTTGCTCTCAACCAGGAAACTGTAACACCTCTTAGTAAAAAATCTGGTATATTCTTTTACAAATAGCTGGTAAGGCAAGTCACTCATGAGAATTTCCACATGTGATTCCTGCAGGTGATATATATGAGAGCAATTCGAGACCATAAAAATTAATGTATAAATACATAATAGTCAAGTACCAGATTTCATGGTAAAGATAACAAATATAACATTAGTCCAGAGAAGGAAAAGTTCATTGAGTGCTCAACTCAGGAAGCTCAGAAATTCAGAAACGAGGCCAACTATGAGTTGAGTGTTGAATGGAGACTAGAATTTAAATAGGCTGAAAACTGGGGAAAGAAGAAAATAAGGGCATAAACTATTCCTGAGAGTGGGGGTTATGCTGCATAATGCTTAGTATGTGCCTGGGTGCATAGGCTGTCAGTTACACCCACTGATTCACACTTTTCTCTTTCTCATCAGAATCACCACCTGTATCATTTTATTCTCAGAAAATGGATGTAGTGTTGACAGAGTTTGTGAGATCATACTCAGTGCCTGGATCTGAGTTATTTGCAAGGGTGATATTAGGGTCTGTGTGCAGATGACATGATCCCATATGGGGAAAACTCTAAAGAATTCACAAAAATTAATAAAGGTAATAAGCAAAGTTGCACAGTACAAGATCAAGGCATAGAGATTTGTTGTGTTTTATATATGAGGAATGAACAGTCTGAAAAGGGAGATTAATAAAATATACAATTTCATTTACAACAGCATCCAAAAGGATAAGCTACTTCGGAATAAATTTAACCAATGAGGTAGGAAACGTGTACACTGAAAACTATAAAGCATTGCTAAAAGAATCTAAAGATGATACAAATGAAAGAAAAGACATCCTGTTTTCATGGATTGGAAGACTTAATATTGTTAAGGTGTCAATACTATTGATACAGTTTGGATCTATGTCCCCACCCAAATCTCATGTTGAATTGTAATCCCCAATGTTGGAGGTGGGGCCTGGTGGGAGGTGATTGGATTTTGGGGGTGGATTTCTAATGAATGATTTAACACCATCCCCTTGGTGCTGTCCTTGTGCTAGTGAGTGAATTCTCACAAGATCTGGTTGTTTGAAAGTGTGTGACCCCCCTCTTCTCTTGCTCCTGCTTTTGCCATATGATGTCCCTGCTCCCCCTTTGCCTTCCACCGTGATTGGAAGTTTCCTGAGGCCTCTCCAGAAGCAGATGGCACTATACTTCCTGTGCAGCCTGCAGAACCATAAGCCAATTAAAACTCTTTTCTTTATAAGTTACCCAATCTCAGGTATTTCTTTATAGCGATGCAAGAATGGACTAATACAACTGTCCAACATAATCTACACACTCAAGTGAACACAACATAATACAACAATGAAACCTAACACGACCATGAAACTCAATTAAAAAAAAAATCAGCAACAGATCTGAATGGACATTTTTTTCAGAAAAGATATACCAATGGCCAATAAACACATGAAAACATGCTCAACATAATTACTTATTAGGGTAATACAAATTCCCGCATGAGATACCACTTCACACCCACTAGGATGGCTATAATAACAAAAAATAACAACAACAAACAAACACTAAAACTCAGGAAATAATGACTGTTGGCAATGATGTGGAGGAATAGGAACTCTCATACATTGCTGGTAGGAGTGTAAAATGGTGCAACTATCATGGAAAACATTTTGGTGGTCCCTCAAAAACTTAAACATAGAATTACCATATGACCCAACAATTCCAGTCCTTGGTGTCCCAGGTGTGACTGGCTGGAGCTGGCATCATGGGAGGTAAAAGAACTTACCAAGACAGTCATGGGTAAAGAAAGGCAGGTTTATTAGAGAAAGCACAAAATATGTTGTGAGAGTGCAAGGGGCAGCACAGCAGAGAAGGGGCTGTTGGCCAAGAGGCAGGGGCTTGAGGGAAGTTTTACAGGGTTGTGTTAGAGAGGCTACATGCAGATAAGGTCATGCTGCTGGGGCTAGTTTCTGAGAGAGTTATTTGGGAACAGGATGTTGTGCCAGAGAGTTGTTCGTGGTTAGTTGTCTCTCAGAACAATTGTTCTTCCCTACCTTGGGGCTCCCTCCTCATTGTTGCTAATTTATCCACACTTGGTATATGCTCAAAAGAATTGAAAACAGGTACTCAAGCAAATATTTTTACAGGAATACTCCTAGCAGCAGAGTTCACAATAGCCAAAGGTAAAAACAACCCAAATGTTCATCAACAGATACATAAGTAAACAAAATGTGGTATATAACAGAATATTATTCGGCCATAAAAAAGAGTAAAGTTCTGGTACATGCTATAACATGGATGAACTTTGAAAATACTATGCTCAGTGAAGGAAACCAAACACAGAAAACCACATATTGTATGATGTCATCTATATGAAATGTATAGAATAGGTAAATCCATAGAAACAGAATGCAGAGCAGTGGTTGCTTAGTGGTAGAGGGAGGAAGAAATGGGAACTGACTGCTTAATAAGTATGGGATTTTTGGTGGGGTGTTGATGCAATGTTTTGCAACTAGATAGGGATGATGGCTGGCTGCACAGCATTGTGAGTATACTAAAATTGTCCTCTTAAAAATGGTCAATTTTATGTTATGTGAATTTTACGTCAATTTTTAAAAATTGGCTTGGTGTATATAATCCTCTGTGAGTCTCCATTCTGTTGACAAGTAACCACAGCTCCCCATACTCACACTTCGTATCTCCTCCCTTTGCCCTGACACCTCACCACCACCCCACCACCCCACCACCCCATTCCCATAGGGCAATGCGTCAGCCACCAGAGACTTTTCACTTACCCTCTCTGTTTTGCAACTTTTACCCATACTGGCCCAGCTACAGATGATGGCATGTTAGGGGCGCGGCGGCAGTTCAGCAGTTCCATTGACTGCTAATGAGATACACACTGATAAGTAGCCAAAAATAACCAGGGTAGGCAGAATGTTTCTAAATAGAAATGTGATACACTCATAAGTGGGCATGAGGCAGAATATGGCAGAGCACCAGAAAGACAGCAGATGGGTGGTTTAGACACAGCTGCTGTCACTGGGGGGGAGAGACTTGTGATTACCATAGAGATAGGGGGCAAAGAGGATTTATTTGGGGAGCATGTTTCAAGGGCATGAAGGATGTAAATAGTCACTTCTAAAACTCAGTAGAGGGGTTATATTTTATTTTATTTTATTGAGTTTCGCTCTTGTTGCCCAGGATGGAGTTCAATGGTGCAATCGCGGCTCACGGCAACTAGAGGAGTTATAACACAAGATTTGGGGTGACGGCATGGAAATTAAAAGCTGGTGAAGCACATGGCCTTTAGATCTGGATGTACTTGAGCTGTGGGATACAGAGCATAAAGGGGAGCACACCACTAAGGTGATGACTGGTAACATTTTAGAATCTGAAAACACTTAAGAAAGAGGTTTGTGTGGAGAGCAATTATTGCAGTTTTTCCTAAAGCTATTGGAGCGGAGAACTTAATTTAGTTACTTTCCAGCAGTCTTTATCTTGTCAGGCTCGTTCTTTTCTGCAGACTTTCAGGGAGACTTCTCAGGAGCCAGGTCTGTATCTATCCTCATCCTGTCTTAGCATTTGCTGAGATGCAGCTCGTCACTTCTAAATCACATCTGATCTTTGGTTATCTTGTTTAGACTACTAGCACCTCCCTGGATTCTGTAATTCACTTAAAATCACATCAGCCAGAACAGTGTGATCTTATTTGTGTGTTATTTAACACTCTATCGTAGGGCAGTCAGTCGCCTTATTCTGGAATTCCCACTGTTAGCATTGCAGGCTGGCCTACTCTAGAGGTAGCTCCTTTTTTCTTTTTCTTTTTTTTTTAATTTAAGCTGAACAAACACGTAGTGTTTACTTTATGACAGGCACTGGGCTAAATGCTTTATAAATATGAAGTCATATTAGTACGTGAATAATATAAGTGCTTTAGCTATCTTTATCTCCTGCCAACATCAGAGGCTTTAGGAATTAGCATGATGAATATTAAATATGGGTTCTCATAGTTGAGATTAGTGGTATTCAAACTGCATGTCATGACTAGAATATTGCAGAGGGTCTTCTCACTTTTGCATGAACATCTAATCAGCTTTGCAACTTTCCTGTAAGGGATAACACTTGGAGTTTGATTTCTAAATGGCCAGATATTGCACAGTATAGTGTCCAGCTATTAGTCAGAAGACACTGTTATGTAATACTTATTCTCATGATAAAAGAATTCTGTCTTTAGAATATTGTTTTCTATCTGCATTAAATGAGAATTTTACACAGGATTGGTTGAATGACCTAGATATAACGATTGTTTTATGCCTATTAGCTAACAAATGTTTATTTAGTAAATGTCCAAACATGGGAAAGATTTCAGTCTGAGACTTGTTTTCATTATAATCTTGTAGCAAGACTGCAGAGCTATAGCTACTCCTCACCCAACTCAAACATTTTGGTGACTACTGTTATCTACCAGAAAGAACCTGTGAGTTGTATATGACCAAATCAGCCAGTTTGCAACTTCACAATAGCAGCTCTGTTTCCAGCCTCCAGCAAGAGCGGTCCCCACACCATCTGTGGCTATAATCTCTCACCAAGACTGTCAGATTGTCGGGGGCCTCTGCTTCTCAGGTTTATAACACTGCTGCCTTAGACATGTGGTAAATGATTTCACTGTTCCCTGTGGGCATGTGGGGTCTTCTTTGCAGAACTTTTCTCTGATTCCTCCTAGCTATAGCAGAAGGAGGAGAGCTGCAATGCTTGCTGATTTCTTGGGATCTGGACGAAACCATCATTTCTCCCCCAGTGGCATCTCCCCTGTTGTGTCCTGATATAGTTTGGCTGTGTCCTCACCTAAATCTCATCTTGAATTGTAGCTCCCCATAATTCCCACGTGTTGTGGGAGGGACCCAGTGGGAGATAATTGAATAATGGGGGTGATTTCCTCCAACTACTGTTCTTGTGGTAGTGAATAAGTCTCATGAGATCTGATGGTCTTATAAGGGGAAAACCCTTTCTCTTGTTTCTCTTTCTCTCTTGCCTGCCACCATGTGAGATGTGCCTTTCACCTTCTTCCATGATTGTGAGGCCTCCCTAGCCACATGAAACTGTAAGTCCATTAAACCTTTTCCTCTATATAAATTACCCAGTTCCAGGTATGTCTTTGTAAGGAGCGTGAAAAAGGACTAATACATGACCTGAGTAACATCTGAGAAGTTACTGTTACTCCACCCCCCCGATGTGTGGAAGCCAGCCACTAAGAATGCCCCCATCACCTGGGCATGGTGGCTCACGCCTGTAATCCCAGCACTCTGGGAGGCTGAGGCAAGCGGATCACCTGAGGTCAGGAGTTTGAGTCCAGCCTAGCCAACATGATGAAACCCTGTCTCTAATAAAATACAAAAATTAGCCAGGCGTGGTGGTGGCACACACCTGTAATCCCAGCTACTTGGGAGGCTGAGGCAGGAGAATCACTAGAACCCAGGAGATGGAGGTTGTAGTGTGCCAAGATCTTGCCACTGCACTCCAGCCTAGGTGACTGAACGAGACTCTGTCTCAAAAACATAAATAAATAAATAAAATAAGAATGCTCCTGTCATTCTTGACTCCTGGTTGTCATACCCTCTTATGATTCCCTCCCAAGGTGTACCAAGGTTGTTCTGTGACACCAGTGGAACGCAACAGAAATAATGATGTGTCCTTTCCAAGGTTAGGTGGTAAAAGACAAAGCGGCCGCAATGTTGGTTGTTCTCTCTCTTACCTCTATGACTGGACTATACAACCCACCAAGAGGAAAATAAGTTATCTGTAACCAGGTTCAGGATGATTTTGACCCCAGGGAAAGTGTTGCAGAATCACATTTCAAAAAATGCCTTTCTGTTCCAGAGAGCTTGATGTTGAGAAACTGCCCTGGGAAGTAAATATTTATCCAGACAGATCTAGAATTCCAGGTGCCTGAATGGTAGTGATTCAGCAAATTTATGAGGTCACAAAACCATCAGTTATAGCGCTGGCCCTGAATAGCCTCTAGTGCTTTCCAGTGTGGGGGAAGGTTAGGGTTGTGGTATGAGGGCCCTGGGATTAGGGACAGGTACTGTTATGCAATGGAAAGGGGCCTGGCTGTTATGGGTTCCGGTCACTTACTTTGTAACTTTGGGAGAGTCACATCCTCTCTGTGTCTTATCTTTAGCATCTGTGAAATGATGCTTCCCAGAGTTTTTGAGAGAATAAGGTGAGTTAAATGTGAGAGTCTTTGGTAATCTCTGAAATGCTATATAACTATGAAAGATTATTATTACTCACCCATACCAATTTTAAAAACCCAAATGTAAATTGACAAATTAGAAAGTCATTCTGTGCTAAAAATATTGTTCCAAATCTAATTAAATTAGAACAATAGTGTATTTGCCAATTTGTAGGCTAAGTATCCAAAAAGCAACACTATGGAATGTAACTAACTAAAAGGAATCGACCACAATAATATATATATATATATATATATATATATATATATGTATATATATATATATATGTGTATATATATATATATATATATGTATATATATATATTTATCTGTATAACAACTACCTATAATAGCCAAGTTTTAATAACAACCTTATTCAGAATTCATTTTTCAAGACTGGAAATCAGTGCCTTACTAACACCTGGCTTGCTTAAGTCCATTAAAAACAGTGTCAAAATGTATACAAACTTTTTATTTGCATTGCACTTTGCAGTTTTCAGTTTTTCATGCATTTTCTCATTCAATTATCGTAAAACACTTCGAAGCTAACTTGTGTTATCTTCATAGTGTTATGATCTCCAAGGTATAGGTGAGTGAAGAAATTGAGCTTCAGAAAGTATGAAAGTCTTTCCGAGGTCATGTAACTGTTAATATTATGTACCAGTGGCGCAGTGGGGACTCACGTGCATGGGTTGTCACTTCAAGTTCCATATACTTTCTATTACACCACAGATATCGTGAACTCTGTGGATGGGTGATCTTGATCTTTCAGGCTCTCTTCCAAGCTTTGGCCTCTTGAACATACAGAATCATCCTATCTCTCAGCAAATCAGCTTACATCACTTGATTTTGCCCCAGGGATCGATCCACCAATTTCTCTTAGCCCCTTTCTGAGCTGGGATACCTTTACAAATCACGCTACTTTACCGCAGGCCCTTAATATAGGAAGTAAAACCTTCCAGCATGCCCAGTGTTTGTATATTTTAATATTCTGTAGAGTCCTGTTTGGAAAAATAATTTCTCCCCAGAAGCCCTGATTGACCTAGAGATATAGCAGAACCTGGCAAAAGTGATTCTGCACATCTAGACTGAGACCCAGAGGGCAGGGAGGAGGACTTTAATTCCCGGCATCTATCTTCCTGTGGGACTCATCGTTAGAAGAGAGAAGCTGAACTGCCTTTTTCTTCCTTTCTTTTCTCTTTCTTTGTTTATTCGTGTTTCTGAGGACATGCTTTCCTCCCCCTGCTTCCCTTTGCCTCCTGGAAGCAGAGATTCTCAATTATGAGATGGAGTGGGGATAAAACCTGCTGGTCAGAACTTTGTTTCAGACCCACTGAATTGAGAGCCGTTGAGCTGATGGGTGGTTGCTCAAATCAACCTGACTGAGGTGGGAGGGTGTTGCTGTGCGGATGTGCACTGAAGGCCTCCACTCACTTCCCTGTGGGGGCTTCCAAGCCCCTGATTGTGAGTACGATCGGGCAATAACTGCATGGGCCCTCTTCTCCCCCATTCCTTTCTGCTGCTGTTTAGAATAGAAGAGAAATATAGCTTCAGTGATTCTGTTTACTCCACACAATAGAGATCAAGCCCATGGGCAGATTTTTTCAGGGGACACAATGGGCTGAGAGTAGAAGGTGCTGCTGGGTACATTTGCTTCTGCTAAACAACTTCTCATTTGATAGGGCGTGGGCATAAGTAAATAGATTCATATGAGGGCTTTTTTTAAAAAAACAAAAACAAAGACTTGAGGATCAAGCTTTACAAAGAGTGGGTGTTCATTTTACCGGACAGTCGGGGGGTTTAGGAGACACTGAATACACACACACACACACACACACACACACCCACACACACACACCCCCACACACACTGCTCTCTGCATAAACCAGCAGTCCCAAACTGAAAAATATACCTCTAAGACAGTAGCCATTTATAAATCAGTTGTTCAGAGCAACTTCTCAGAGAAACAATATTACGAGGGCTTGCACAAGTCATAAAGATCTATTTTAGCCCACGCGTTCCTAAACAGTAATATTCTTCAAGAATCATAATATATTACAATGTCCCTAAAGAAAAGTGATTTCAGCTGTCAAATCAAAAAATTCTGGCTGCTCTAAGCAGGGATTAAATCCATGCAAACCACAGGTTTTAAGTAAAGTAGCAAATACTGAGAGAATTATAATCATGAGAAATTCCAAGGACAAATAATGCTTGACAAACTTTGTATTCAAATTCAGTTTATTCCCACAAATGTGTATTTTCCACAGGCTAATCGAAATTGGGCTCAGCCTGTCCTCCCTTTTCCATACTTCCCAGTTCAGACTTCGACTCAGGCTGGTATCAGCTGGATATAGCTTACTATAGAGTGGATGTTATGTTAGCATTGCAGCTGCACGTCTTGGCGCTTTTGAGAACCTTTCCGATCTTTACTTTTGTTTGACTGCCAAGGTGGTCCCTCAACATCTGGCTGCCTGTGGCAAGACCTCAGTTTTAGGTGGCCCCGTGCTTTTTACCTGGGTCCGAGACCATCCTGCACTTGCCTTCCAAGCAATTTCTTTTCCCACAGGTGGGTTGTGTGGTTCAGCCCTCAAAGTGCAATCGGCATTTCCGGTGCTCTGTGTGGTGACCTATGACATCTTCAACAGGTTCTTGGCTTAGTCGCACCAACCCCACCGCAAAACTTCTTCACTCTTCTAAGATACGGTCAGCATTCAGGCTGTGTTTCTTCTGCCAAAGCCTGCTGCAGATGCTGTCCTCTTCTGTTTCAAGGCTGGTGATCCTTTGCTACCATAGATTTCAATGGCATCAAAGACTCATCTAACGTCCTGCTTTTTGCCTGAGGAACGTCTTGAATTCTAGCTCACTCAGAGATGATTAACCTATCCACAGTCCAAGAAATGATCAAGCCAGCACTGTCCAATTTCAGCACTTTTTGAAGATTACTTGATGTAGTCTTTCACTGATCCCAGAGTATTGAACATACTGGGTTTTCTGTTTTCGAAATTATTATTATTATTATTATTTGAGACAGTGTCTTTCTCTCTCACCCAGGCTGGAGTGCAGTGGTTTGATCTTGGCTCACTGTAACCTCTGCCTCCAAGGTTCAAGCGATTCTCCTGAATCAGCCTCCTGAGTAGCTGGGACTACAGGTGTGCACCACTGCACCTGGCTAATTATTTTGTATTTTTAGTAGAGACAGGATTTTGCCATGTTGGCCAGGTTGGTCTCCAACTCCTGGCCTTAAGTGATCTGCCCGCCTCAGCCTCCCAAAGTGCTGGGATTACAGGCATGAGCCACAGCACCTGGCTGAAAATACTCTTTGTTTTGAGGGAACAGACATCATTTTAATCAAGGGGAGGATAATGTGATATCCTCAAAGAAGACTGACTTTATGATACTGTGGCAAGGAGTCGGTAAGGAGCATAACCACTGCAAAAGGCCACACTGTGGCCAAGCCCAGGGCTCAGGGCTGTGCCTGTTCTTGGGCTGAGAAAAGAGTGCTCAGATGGGTTCATAAAGATGAGCACCTGGGCTTGTTTGAGCCTGGGCTCTGCCACCAGCCGGATTCCTGACAGCAGGTAAGGTACCTGCTTCCTCTCAAATCTGTCAAAACTCCCTCATCATCTCATCACGATAAGTGAAAATAAATGTGAATGTGCTTTCAAAAGTTAGGGCTTGGAAGTAAAAATGTTGTTTTTTATACCTCTATCTAGTCCTCTGTTTCAGCCTCAATGAAATCCACAGCTCCGTTCCTTTTTCTATATTACTTTATGTCTGCAGCTGTGTGTCTAAATGCAGACTTGAACATATCCATGGAGAAGGACGGCTGTGACTGTGGCTATAAATGTGCTTTTAGCTTTTTTTTCCTACTGGTGCAGATGACTATGTGTCTTAAACCCCTCCAGTGAGCTGTGTTTTGCTTTAAAAAGCTGATGCGCCAAAAATAAGGCTTGGGCTGAGTCATCAGCCCTGAGTTTAGGGAAGGGAGATGGTAGAGGAGGCAGGGAGGCTTTTCCAGTGAACAAGCACTAAGCAAAGTGAGTGGCTTTATCCCAGGGGTGAGCAACCTATGGCCCACAGGCTACATTTAATCTGCTGCCTGTTTTATCCATAAAGTTTTATTGAAACAGCCACATTCGTTCATTTAGGGATTGTCTTTTGCTACTTTTGTGCTACAACAACAGGCTTGCACAGCTGCAATAGAGACTGTATTTGGCCTGAAAACCTAACATTTTATTATCTGGCCCCTCAGAAACAGTGTACGGATCCCTACTTTTCCCTAACATCTGCAAACATCATAATTTCCACATTTTTCTACATATTGACCTGTTGTAGCAGCATAACACCCTATGAAGCGGTTGTGGTGGGTGACTTTACAGCAATTTTCTGCTGAGGAAAATGACATTCAGAGAGGTTTTATGACTTACCCCCATTGCATCATCTACCACTAGCCAGAATGGACTGGCATTAGGATTCCTCAATGTGTATCTGATTCTCTGTTCACCCCACCACATCAGCTCCTGAGTGGCAGCCTTCTTATGAGGCTGGCTTGGGGATGAAGATTTTAAATTCAAGTTATTAGATCTGCCCTTTCTTTGACTGAACACTGTGTAGTCATGTGTTACTTAAAGAAGGGGATACCTTCTGAGAAATGTGTTGTTAGGCCATTTTGTCATTGTGCAAACATCACGGAGTGTACTTACTTAAGCCTGGATGCAGCAGCCCATTGCAGTCCTAGGCTATATGGTGTAGCCTACTGCTCTTAGGCAACAAACCTGTACGGCATGTACTGTACTGAATACCGCAGGCAATTGTAACACATTGGTATTTTTGCATCTAGATATATCTAAACATATAAAAGATACAGTAGGCCATGCACGGTGGCTCATGCCTGTAGTCCCAGCACTTTGGGAGGCTGGGTGGGTGGATCACCTGAGGTCAGGGGTTTGAGACAAGCCTGGCCAACATGGTGAAAACCCGTCTCTACTGAAAATACAAAAAATTAGCTGGGTGTGGTGGTGGGTGCCTGTAAACCCAGCTACTCGGGAGGCTGAAGCAGGAGAATCGCTTGAACCTGGGAGGCAGAGGTTGCAGTGAGCCGAGATCACGCCATTGCACTCCAGCCTGGGCAATAAGAGCAAAAATCTGTCTCAAAAACTAACTAACTAACTAACTAAATAAATAAAGATACAGTAAAAATACGGTGTAAAAGGTAAAAATTAGTACACCTATATAGGGAAGTTCCATTATAATCTTAGGGGACCACTGTTTTGTCTGTGGTCTATCAGGAGCCAAAATGTCCCCATGTGGCTCATGCTTCTACTAAATTGGAGTGTAAAGAAAACTGCACTGGGAACCCTAGTTCTTGCTCTTGCTGAAACAGCCGAAGGACTTTTGGCAAGTCACTTGGTTCTTCTGGGTCTGAGTTCCTCATCTGTAATATAAATGGGTAAATTAAAAAACAACACTAATTATTGACAACTTGAAATTCTTGCAAAGTATTCTGGTTAATCTCCCTTTCCAATACTGCTACATTTCTTCAGAAAGCCAGCAATCCCAGGTAATGCCCCACAGCAATGGCAGGTAGATTGTGCAGGGGGATGGGGAGACAGCAGGCAGTGGGAGGATGGAGGTGGTCCTAAGCTCTCCTGCCCCTGGCTTCTTTCCCTTGCCCTGGGTCCCCCTTTTAACTGTGTCCTGCTGGTCCCTAACATTTCCTGGAAAACTGTAACTCTGCAGAGAGTCTGGTGAGGGGGCTGCTGTCTGTAGAAAAAAGGGACAAAGAGAACAGTCACTTATTTTGCGACCAAAGGGTTTTTTTTTTTCTTTCTTTTAATGGAAAGTGTTATTTTTAAGTCCCCGTCAGCCTGCGAGTGCATGTGCAGCAATTGTCCTGTGCACATTTGAATAATGTCTCTGCATCCCTCTGTGATGTGGTGCGGAACGGCAACTTTGTACTTTGCATTTTTATTGTGATGAAGATATTTTATGACAGCATTTGCATCTTAACAAAAAAAATCCTGAAAACAAGGCCTTTCTAGACCACTTATACAAAAGGAAGGTGACTCAGACTGGCCTCCTCTTGGGAAATTCTGGTCAGGGTAGGTCTGGTCTCCAGGGCAGTAAGGAACCCCAGGCAATCTGTAGAAGTTAGTGACTGTTACCTTGGGAGCCTCTCATTACCCCATTCAGCTCCCTGGCCACCCAGCTGCAGCATCAGGACCAAGCCTGGGGTGAAATCAGCAATTCCATTGAATTTGCCTTTTGGTGTGTCAGGCACTTTCCAGCCAGCTTTAATATGGGGAGACAGTTATAAAAATATTGGAGGAGTTGAAATTTCAAGGAAGGGATTGTGAGGCAACTCAGAGATTTAGCAATAGCAGGAGACTGTTACCACTTCTAGGGCTGGAGAAACCCAGGAAGGACATGGTGTTACCAGAGCTTAGGAGCTACTCAGTAGAAGCTGGGCCTATATCTGGGGTTGCCTGTAGGAGCTGAGACCATGGAGAGAGATTGTCCAAAGGTAGCTGGAACCATAGAGGAATCAAAGTCACTTCCAGAGATGCAGCCCAAAGCAGAGGGAGGAGAGGAGAGAAATTCCCTGGCTACTTCCTTCCATTTATCCCCAGGCCTCCTACCAATAACTCCCATTTGCTGCACTCAACAGATTCAGAAAGGCTGGAAAATTTAGTTTTCATGAGTCAGCTTCTAATAATACAAGCCAGAGTAGGAAAGGGTGAAAAAGTAATTTGAGAGAGAAAAGGCAAAAAATGGTACCTTGGGCAGCAGTGAATTCTGTCAACTTCATTTCCCCTTAAAGAAGTGTCTGTCATCCTGGGAAAATTTCCTTCTGCTCATAGGACATGCCTATGACTGAAGGTGACAGAAATAGAGCCAAGCAGGACTGATGTGACAAGATAACTGGGCCTAGGCAATGTGTGAGTGATGGGAAGAGCCAGGTGTCACGTGGACTTGTGCTGGTGTCTGGGGCTTATGTACTGACAGTATTCATTAAAAGAGTCTCCAGCAGAAATGTAAACTATAGGAGACTCTCATGATCAGACAAAATGACTGTATGGTGGTTTCTGATGACCAGCGCATTTGGGGGGCTGGATTCCAGCTAGCAGCTAGTTGTTTAAGGACCAGGTTTCCTGAGGGAGGGATTGACAAGCCCTGAATACCATGTTTAGACTCCCATCAAACTAAGTAGAGCTTAAGCATTGGCCCTAGTTCTAGCAAGGCCACCCTACACCTGCCCCTTTATGTGGGACCAATTCATTCACGCATAATGCCCTGCAGGCCCAAAAAGCCAGCATCAAATACCAAGCTACCTTCAACACAACTACTCAATCTGCCTATCCAGTTTGCCTCTAATCTCCTTTGCTTGGCCTTAATTTTCTAATTCCAAAGATTTGGCTTTTATGCTCACCTCTTTTCCCTTAGGACTGTCTTTCTATGCCACTTCTGGTTAATTTGCTACTGCAGCTCTGGTACCCCCCCCACTGTCTTGGGAAGAGCTCCCTGCTCCAGTTCCTGGACTTTGAAGAATGCTTCCCTCACCTGTTATGTCTGCCATGGCCAGCCCTAGCCCCAGATGAAGGTTCATTCTGAAAAGCAAAGGGGCCATGTGTCAGTCAGAGAGAGGGTAGACTTTCTGTGGGGTAGGCTGGATAAATATGGCAGGGGCCACGGAAGACCAAGGCTCCTCATATACTCATCTTGAGCCAGTCAAGATGTGGCTGCCAAGGGCTTACCATGCTACCCCTTTTCACCTACATCAGAGGTTTCCTCATGTGTCAGCAACATGTGTACCCCTGCATCCAATATAGAAATTCCAGGGGAATCTTCCATCTGTGCTTTCCTTTTCCAAATGATGGCCACTTCCTCTGTTTCAACTGTTTCTCTATTTGTTGGTTTGTTAAGAATCAATAAATCACACTTTCTATATTTGAACACTCCTTCCATCATTGACTACCTCTGTGACTTCGGAGAATAATTTAATCTCTCTAGGTCTGAAACCCTGCATCTGTATAAAGAGACATAATGTTAGTATCTCTTGTACAGGGTTGCATTGTAAAATTAAATTGGATCATTCTATAAAGAGCTTAACACAATAAGTTTTCAATAAATGCTGATTGATGTCATCATTACTGTCATCATCATCATCATCACCCAAGATTGAGCAGTAGAAATAGTCTTCCTCGTTCTCCACTTTCTTGATACTTCCCACAATAACATTACCGCTTGTTTTTCATGATTTTTACTACCAATCACTACCAAACAAAAAATAGTAGGAGTCACATGTCACAAAAAATTAAAAAATAGGCCAGGCGCGGTGGCTCACGCCTGTAATCCCAGCACTTTGGGAGGCCGAGGCGGGTGGATCATGAGGTCAGGGGATCGAGACCATCCTGGCTAACAAGGTGAAACCCCGTCTCTACTAAAAATACAAAAAATTAGCCGGGCGCGGTGGCGGGCGCCTGTAGTCCCAGCTACTCGGGAGGCTGAGGCAGGAGAATGGCGTGAACCCGGGAGGCGGAGCTTGCAGTGAGCCGAGATTGCGCCACTGCACTCCAGCCTGGGCGACAGAGCGAGACTCCGTCTCAAAAAAAAAAAAAAAAAAAATTAAAAAATATTCTTATGATATCCTCAGCCTCACTGTCCCTAATTGATAAGTCCTAAATATTTTATTTTTGGTACTCAGTTTATTGGCCCCTACTTTTTTAAATCTAGAAACAGGAATGCTCTTGGCTCTTCCAGTCTCTGTCAAGTTTTTGCCCCATGCAAATCCTACTCTTCAGCACCTATGTTCAGTTTCACATTTGGGGTTCTTTCTGCATGTAGGTGACCATTTACCTCGTAGGCCTCTATTATCCTCCTGAGAACTCAACTTCCACAAGTTTCCAAAAATAATAAAACACTCTTTCTCAGGAACTCGAAGCAAAGAAAAAAGGTACCATTTATAAAATTATCAAAGATGGCTAGTCCTACAACTGGGCATCATCTAGCAGTCTTAGTGACATCGTGGTTGGCTTCTAGGCACATGTCCTTGTTTTTCCAGGATATTGTTCATCAGATCAGGCCTTGAAAATGTGGGTAATGGATCAACAAAGAAAATATTTGTTTTTATTTGGGCAATCTTTCATTTCTTATCGACAGTGGGATCAGAACCTGGGTTGCCAGGCTTTTAACCCAGTGGATTTCTCATCTTACATACTTAGAAAAAGATTTAAAACCCCAACATTTTAGGACAAATTAAAAATGGGTCACAAAGAGGAGAGCAGAGAAAGAAAGAAACCTTATGCCTGTGGCTATGGCTCCAGTAAAATCTTGTAGTCAGGACCTAAGTGGACATTCGACTGATTCAAATTGCATTTCCGGCACTTACTAGTTGCATGACTTCGAGAAAGTTCCTTAATAGATGAATGCCTTAGTTTCCTTGTTTGCAAAACAGGGAGACTAAAACACTTTATAAGATCAAGGTGTGGTTTAGATTAATTAATGCATGTAAAACCCTTAGAACTGTCTCTGACTGGCTCAAAAATAAGCAACTTTACCTAAATAATTCCAAAATTCTCAGTCACATGCAATAGCAAACAATTCCTTTTCATCTGTCTGCAATCAGCTGGGGCAACTCTAAGCTGCAGATTGCATTGGGTGCACTCCATATTTCTCTCACCCTCCTTGGGGCAGTGGGCTAGGCAGGAATATCCTTATATTCCTGTGGCAAACAGAACAATCCTGAACAAGAAAGCACAATCATCAGTCCTCTATTTCTTTCTCATCTGGTAACAATGTGTTGGCCAAACAAGTCATGTGGATGAGCCCAAAAATAAAACATCAGGGAACTATATTCTATCTTTATGGGAGGAACTGCAAAATTGCATAGCCAAGAACATGAATTTGAATGGGAATATAAAGAATGAGGACCAATAATTTAACTGTGCCACCTTGACATATAATAAAAGCTCAATTAATGTTAGCTGTTAGCAATGGTACTATCCCTAAACACTCTTGAAAGAGGAAGGTTCCGCTTTCATACTTCTGCCTGATACCCTCTTTCTCTTCCTGAGCTCTGCCTTTATGCACCTCCACAACTCACTGTTAGGAAGTGATCTCTGATAGCTCCATCCTGCTTAGGGCCTCTACAGCTGGACTCTGTGCAGACTCATGCTGGCAGTACAACTTTTCATATCAACTTGTCCCTTAATAAAATTTAATAAGCCCAGAGCCAATTTCTCCTCTTCTCTAAGATTGTTGCAGGTTGACAGGGAATCTGAAGAGCAACTTACAGCTCTATACATTAACACAGCATGTAGTATATTTATTTTAATAGAGGTCTTTTGACAAAGGCTTTAATGGTAAAAAAAATTCAGACAATATTGTAAGCTTGCAGAGGGAACTATTTAGGGACCTGGGAAACAGGCCAATAAGTACAGCCATGAGGATATTGAGTTGACCTTGGTATTTGTGTGACAAATGACCTCCCAAAGATGTCCACATCCTGATCTCTGAAACCTGTGAAGATGTCAGCTTATATGAAGAAAGGGACTTTTTGTTGTAAGTAAGGCTTTTGTGATGGAGAGACTATGTTAGGTTATTCAAGTAGGCCCAATATAGTCACAAAGATTCTTAGAGAAGGAGGTTGTAGAATTAGGCTTAGACAGAAAACAGTGTGAGGATGGAAGCAGAGGGACACACAGAGAGAGGGGAAGATGCCATGCTGCACTGCTGATTTTGAAGATGGTGAATGGGGCCACAAGCCAAGGAATGCAGGAAGCCTTTAGAAGCTAGAAAAGGCATGGAAACAGGTTCTGCCGTAGAATCCCCAGAAGGAACAGAGTCCTAGTGATTCATCTTAGGATTTCTGACCTTCAGGACTGTAAGAGAGTAACTTAGTGTTATTTAAACCACAGAATTTATGGCAATTTGTTACAACAACAATGGAAAACTAATATAGCCTCTGTCAATTGTGGGATCCCAGCACCTTGGAAAAAAATGAAATCAGAGTTCCTATTCTCATGTGGTCATAATCCAAACTGGAAAAACCCCCTAATTTTCTCTGTGTTAGACCATGGAAATTATACCTCTAGGTCAGTGAAACTGAAACCGTGTTTTTGATAAAATAAAGAGTTAGGGGATCAAGCCACCAGGCTCTTTCAATTTCAAGCAAGCTAGTTCAAGCACAAACCCTCCTATGTCTGTCCATCTCTTGTGTGCTTGGATTCAGCCTCTAAATACTTCTGTTGCCCGGTAGGCCTAGAGGGCCCATCCACAGCCTGCTTTGTTTCAGAGGTCATGCACCGTGTAACTTGTTTCCTAGTTTCTTCTCAACATGGGCTTTTAGAATATTCACTCTCAGAGCAGAGGACCAGTTCAGGGCAGGGCTTCCATCCTGTGACTTTACCTAGGTCCGCCCTATGGATGGGTAACATAACAACATAAAGAAGCAATTACTTCTGGAGTATGAAGCTCCACTCAATACTGGTATAAGCTAGGATTAGGTTAATCTGTATGTAACAGAAAAGGAACATGGTTTCCATAAAACATATTTATTTTTGTCTCTCCTAAAAGAAAATACTAACTTCATTAATTGAAGACTAATATGTGGGTATGGTTAGGAGAGACCCAGTCTCCTTCTATCTTCCTGCTTCACCATCTCAGAACTGGGCTTCATACTCAAGGCTGATTTGAGGTCCAAGTTGACTGGCAGAGCTCCAACCATCATCTCCACATTTTTGGTAGGAAGAAGGAAAAAGAAAAAATGCAAAAGATCACCCCTCCCAGAGGAATCACCTGTCTTTAATGAGCTTTCCTGGAAGACTCCCATGACCACCAGCTGGATTCCATTAGCCGCCCCTAGCTGTAAGGGAACTTGTTAAAAATAGCCTCTAAAAAACAAAACAAAACAAAAAATGCAGGGACATTGTCTTAAATAGGAACATTCAAGTTCTGTTAGAAAAAAAGAAGGGGAGAATGTATATTAGTGAGCAGCAAACTGTTCTCTCTCTCTCTCTTTTTTTTTTTTTTGTAAACAGGGTTTGGCTCTGTTACCTAGGCTGTAGTGCAATGGCACAATGATGGCTCACTGTAGCCTTAAACTCTCCGGCTCTAGGGATCCTCCCACTTCACCCTCCCGAGTAGCTGGGACTACAGGCGCACACCACTATGCCCGGCTAATTTTGTTTTTTTTTCTTTTGGTAGAGACGGAGTCTTACTATGTTCCTCAGGCTGGTTTCAAGCTCCTGGGCTCACACAATCCTCCTGCCTCTCAAAGTACTAGAGTATGGTGTGTGTCACCAGCCACAACTCTTTGTGACACAGCCTGCCTGTTTACTCTCCACCTATGAAAACTACATATGAGGTTGGTGCAAAAGCAAAGGAATTGCAGTTTTTACCATTACTTTTAATGGTAAAATTGCGGTTTTTACCATTACTTTCAATGCTTTTGCACCAACCTAGTAAAATGTAGTCACCACCTCCCTCAAGAGTCAGTTCCACATTCTTATCCAATGGCTGTACCCAGCTCAAAGTTCAGGATATCTAGATGGTGTGCAGTTATCTCCAACAAATCTGGATGTTTCTTCTTGCGGTTCAGTGACACCTAAGTTCAAAAGCAAGTTATCTTCTTCACAAAAACCAAAGCACCATGAGGGAAAAGAAATGGAATAATTGCAATTTTGTTTTCACAAGTAAACAAAACCTTTCATCTGGAAAATGGAGAATGGGAAACACTAATCTATTATAATTATTAAATTCTTTTGGGTAATAATAGCAAAGATTATTAGTCAGGCAGTGGGGGATTTCATGGGTGTGTTTGATGATTTAGGTTATCAGGCAGCCTTGGTTCTGCCCTCTGGAAAGAACTCCCCTCCTTGTCCTTTATTCTCTGTTGCCCTGGCCCTGAACACTAGAAGTCCTTGACTGCACCTGAAGGAGGGACTGAAGAGCACTCTTTGGGGAGCTGCGTACCTCTCATAGTCCACTTACTTCTGGTACAGTTTTGGGTCCCAGAGATTGCCTTGATGGTAGAAAAGTCTCAGCTGCTTGCTTAGGCATGGTGGCTCATTCCTGTAATCCCAGCACTTTGGGAGGCCAAGGCTGGTGGATCACCTGAGGTCAGGAGTTCAAGACCAAAATATTGAAACCCCATCTCTACTAAAAATACAAAAATTAGCTGGGTGTGGTGGTGGGCACCTATAATCCCAGCTACTCAGGAGGCTGAGGCAGGAGAATTGCTTGAACCTGGGAGGCAGAGGTTGCAGTGAGCCGAGATCGCACCATTGCACTCCAACCTGGGCGACAGAGCCAGACTCCATCTCAAAAAAAAAAAAAAAAAAAAAAAAAAAAGGAAAAAAAAAAAGAAAAGTCTCAGCCTGATAGGTTATGCTTAAGTTTATTATAATTATTATCTTGTTTTTGTAATTTTGAGCAAGCTTCCTCTCTTCTGGCTTCTATTCAGCTATAGGCAGAGTAATCACAGGCAATGGCTAGAGAGAGCTTTTAAACAGGAAAGGTCTCATCTTTTATTTATTGGTCTCTGTGCTCTGCTATGTCTTGCCTTCTCAGATTAATGGTCACTTTCTTGACTCATCTGAAACAATGAGCTTGGATGGGAATGTAATACCTTTAATCCCATATTTATCAGTGAGTTCCCAACTTCCAATGAGAGGATATCAGTTTTGTCGCTTGTAAAGGCAGCAATTTTACAACCACTAATTATAATGGCTTCAGTTTGGGGTACAAATGCATTTGGCCTTTTCAACTGTGCAAGGCTTAAATTATGAGACTCCTATTCAACTCAGACTGCAGATCGTAAGCAGGAGCATCTCCCTTAGGAAATTGTCATTTCTTTCCATTTGTGCTTTTAATGTGGCTAGCTCTAGTATGGGCCACTTTCTTTCTTTTAGGACTCTGTAGAGAGCAGCAGGGAGAGGCCAACACACACCAGAATTTGTAATTTTCCTACCATTTTCCCAGTATTTGAACTTTGGTCAGCATACGCTCTGGTCCCCAAGGTATAGTGGGCGACAGATGTGACAAAATGTTTCACCACAGCTTTAACAGGGGCAGCAAGGTTTTCAGGCTACAATATCTGAATCCTTAACATCGGCCTCCCCACCTCCTCTGTTCAGCCAGGTTGATGTTTTGGGTTCTATTATCTCTAGCACCCCACTTTTAGAACCTTCTGTATTCATTAAGATTTGTTTCAGCTGCATATCACTAAGACCCCAAATATGTGATCTAAACAGGATAATGGTTCATTTCTCTCTCACATGAAAAAAGTAGGCAGGCTAGGACTAATAGCATTATTACAGGAAAGGGGTCCCAATCCAGACCCCAAGAGAGGTTTCTTGGATCTCATGCAAGAAAGAATTGAGGGCGAGTCCATACAGTAAAGTGAAAGCAAACTTATTAAGAAAGTAAAGGAATAAAAGAATGGCTACTCCATGGACACAGCAGCCTTGAGGGCTGCTGGTTGCCCATTCTTATGGTTATTTCTTGATGATATGCTAAACAAGGGATGGATTATTCATACCTCCCCTTTTAGACCATAGAGGGTAACTTCCTGACGTTGCCATGGCATCTGTAAACTGTCATGGTGCTGGTGGGAGTGTAGCAGTGAGGACGACCAGAGGTCACTCTTGTGGCCATCTTGATTTTGGTGGGATTTGGCCGGCTTCCTTACTGCAACCTGTTTTATCAGCAAGGTCATTATGATCTGTATCTTGTGCTGACCTTCTATCTCATCCTGTGACTTAGAATGCCTTAACTGTCTGGGAATGCAGCCCAGTAGGTCTCAGCCTCCTTTTACCCAGCCCCTATTCAAGATGGAGTTGCTCGGGTTTAAATGCCTCTGACAGAGTCATTATGGAAATTTCAAGGAACTAGGCTCCTTCTTCCTTTCTGCTCCACTGTCCTCAAGGCTACCTCATTATCCAAAATGCTTGCTGACTCTCCAGCCGTGACATTCGTGTTCCAAGCAAGAGGAAGGAGAAGTGGGGAAGAGTGCTGAACAAGAAGTAATACCTGCCAGAGGAGCCATGTGATTTAAAATCTTTTCCTCTGAGCTTTCCAGTGACTGCTACTCACAGCAATTTGGCCGCACATAACTGCATGAAAGGCTGGGAAGTGCAGTCTTTTAGCTGAGTTCATGACCACACAAAATAAAATTGGGTTTCTGTTAGCAAAAAGGAAAAGAGAACATTGGGCAGGCAGCTGTCAGTCTCTTCCACATTCTCCGAAAATCCTGTTCTCCCCTGACTTATGCTACCAAAAACATGACCAATGCCTCCATTGCATTACAGCTGATTGCCAAAAGACTTAAGCTAAGTGTCTCATGGAGAAGGGAAACAACTATTATGAGTCATCTACACCTTACTGCCAACAAATCTCATGTCATTTCCCGACAATGGGTTTAGAGGTAAGAGAGGGAAAGAGATGAGTGAGACGCCGCAATGAGGGCATCAGGTGCCATTATACAGAAGGGGCCAAGGAAGAGACACCAAAGACAATATGCTCACGTCTCTGTGAGGATATGATAAACTTCCCTTTAACATAGTACCCTGTGATCAGAGTTACAGCTGAAAAGCCTATTTTCTGCCCTGCTTGCATGCTCTGAGCAGCCATCCACATCACTTGTGTGGGTGGGGGTAGTAATGTGTCAGCCAGTGCTGCATGTTGGCTCCATTTTGGGGTTGGTGGCATGAAGACAACATTGTCTACACAGTGAGATGATCACTCTCTCTGCTCCTGGAATGAGGTATTTTACCCAGCACTGCCAACTCTTAGCAAACAATGCACCAGACCAGGAAGATCTCTGTCCCAACAGTGGGCTTGTCCCTAACTTGCATGACCAGATGCACTTAAATGGTCAGGGCCTGGGAGTACCTACTGGTTTGGTGCTCTAGTGCATTGCCCCAGACTTAGATGCTCATTTCCCCAGCTGCTGGAAGTGTTTGTAGCTCGAGGATCCCCCCTCAGTTTCTCTCTTGGATGTGCCTTCAGCCAAGGAAAGGAACTTGACACAAGCCTTTCACCCAGTCCTCTGATTTTGCCGATTCCATGCTTACTGTGCAACACTTGGGCAGGGGTTAATAAAGGCCCAACTCCCTTGCCTCAAGACAAGACAATCCTAAAAGCCCATCCCAGCTCTGGAAGACCTCGTAGGTCTCCGAGGTCTCTAGCGAAGGTATCACAGTCAACTTCTCCGTTAGCCTTGCCCTGCTTCCCTCTTCTTATTTAGATGTTTTTGAGGGTTACACTTTCAGTAAAATATCTGCACAAAAATCTCAGTCTCAGAGTCTTTTTTTTATACATGTGCTGCAACTGCCCATGAGGGGCAGAGACAAAGCAGAAATTGCCTCTCTGGGTCACAGTCCCCCTGGCTCAGTGTCATCTCTTTAATGATAGCACCTGGGTTTGTGCAGTGGGAGCCTCTGGCTACACTTATATAGCTTCAGAGGCTACGGATGACCTTCCAACACCATTGCTCTTTTTAATCATCTATAAAGGTCTGACAAGAATTTATATAGACCTTTGTGTGCCCATTATATTTTTAACCTGCATCACCTATTTGGTAAATTGACTTCATAATTTTACTTTATGGAGAATCGCTTGACCCCAGGAGTTCGAGACCAGCCTGGGCAAGATAGTAAGACCTTGTCTCTACAAAAAATAAACAAAATTAGTTAGGCATGGTGGAGTATGCCTGTAGTCCCAGCTACTTAGGAGGATGAGGTGGGATGATTGCTTGAGTCTGGGAGGTCGAGGCTGCAGTGAGCCAAGATCACACCACTGCACTCCATTCTGAACAAGAAAGTGAAGTCCTGTCTCAAAAAAATAAAAAGAAGAATTGTCCTTAAATAAAACCTCTTCTAAACTTTAAGGGGTACTGTCTGCCTATAATGGATTATAAATAATGCCCTGCCTGTACCCTATATTACATTTTTCCTGCTAAAATGCAACCCTTTGCTCACACAAAAAGTTATCTGACACCTTTTATAACCTTCTAGCAAAAGATTATGTTGCGGGCCTGGGGTTGGGAGAGTAGGGGTGAGATTTCCCCTAATAAGTTGGAAATAAAAGAAAGAAGATTTGGTTCCAAGGATTCAGCTAGTAAAATCCACATGCAATGTTTAGAAATCTAGATGAGTAAATAAGAGACTGTCTGTAAATATGTGGCCAAAGGATTTGAATAGTCCTCTTATTCCTCCCAAGGTGACCTGGGTCTCAGAGAGGCAGGACAGGAATGTGGTTACTATTTAGCAAGCAAAAGCCCCATCGATTGCATTGCAATGTATGAGCATAAAGGGACAGTCTGGATCATAAAAAATACAGCTCAACAGAACAAAAATTGGCTGTGTTTTTCCAGCATTGTCCAATCTAAGAAGACACTGAATCTGTAAGACAACCTTAATTAAATTACTAGAGAGGTGTTCTGTATCAAGGGGTAGGAATGATTCATCACACCTGACATGGCCTGGATAAAAATCTCCCAGACTCTCCACCTCCCTTTGCTCTGATTCCACGCTTACTATGCAACTTTAGAGTTATTATTTTGACCTCCCCTGGAAGAAGCTGTCTCCCAGCAGGAGAAATGAGAATTCCTTTCATTGGATCAAAATATCTTCCATTATGTACCAATAAGTTTTGCATCTTCTGATGTGCTTTGATTTTAATTTGGTTACTGTGAGTCAGTGCCCTTGATGCAGTTTGACTCCAGGACAATGACAAAGTTTAGGACTCATAGGCACAGTAAATTCACCAAGGTGAATGCCTCCCTGTGAGATCACTTGGTAAAGAACCATCCAGCCTTCATCCGATGACCTCTTATCTCTCCCAGTGAAAAGATGACAAGATCTTTGAAAAATTTATATATGTCTGCTTAATATTTTACAACGAGGAAATGTTGAAATGCTGAATATCATCGACAACTTTGGGGAATTCTCTGTAAACTTGCCCTTCCAGATCACTCATAAAAACAAGAGATAAAATGCCTCCGAGGCTGGAGAGACCTATTATATGTACATCCTCACAAGAGTGGTGCCTGTTTATTCCCACAATTGATACCATAAATATATAAAATATATTACTCTCTTTTGAACAAAATATGGTCCTCCATCCTTAGATGCTTAGCTGGAGCTGGGACTACTTACCAAAACCTTCAAGAAAATATGCATTGATTATAACATTTGTGCTTTCTCTAATCTTTGATTGGTTTTCTAGACCATCCCTGACCAGTAGACCTAAAAAGCAGATAGCTCAGAGCACTGAATTCCATTCAGCACATTTTCCTCCTGATAGGAATTTTCTTTGTCATCGCCCTGGCCCTGAACTCTTGGCCCAATTCTGCTTCCCAAATCCAGCCTGCCAGATTTAGCCTGACCTCCTGGATGATTCCCCCAGAGCTTTAACCTGTTTCCCAGATGCCATGTTGGCCTTCTGTCCTCCAACTCAGAAGTATTTAGGTTGTCTCAGGTTGGGTATCCATGACTCAGTCATCATTCTTTTTTCTCATGAAGATAGAGAAGAGGTTCAAACATATTTCTGAAACCCACACTTCCCTAGAATTCCATCTCCCACCAGGGAAAAATGAATAAAGTCGCTCTTGCTCTCTATACTCATGACCTATAAGAAGGCAGGGCTGAACCGCTATGGTGGAGGCCAAGCTGGCAGCACAGCTTGCAAGGTTGGGGTGGAGCTGCATGCCTGGACTCAGCTCTGTGAAGCAGCCCCTATGTCCCCACATTATGCTCCAGCGAGATTCAGAGAACGACTCCTAAGGCTTCCAGGCTTTCTTGTGAAATTATTATTATCATGAATTATATGTGGTATTGTAGGATGGTATTTTAAAATAGACAATGTCTTCCCCATCCTGTCACCCTAAATTTTCTATTTGTCATATTTTCCTTTTCTGTAATTCCAGGAGAAGAATGACATAGCCCAATGAAGATAGGAAACTATTCTGGACTTTGGAAGAATATGTAAAAAAAACAAAAAAAAAAACAAAAAAAAAAAAACAAGTTTTCTGTATTTCTTCTAGATGGGAGAAGACAAGGAATGAAAAAGGAAACCAAGATAATTTCATACTAGAGAGGTCTAGGCTCTGGAAAGGAGGTGACTAAACCCCTGGATAGATCTGGAGATTCTGAGATCAGGGAGTATCAGTGACACACCTCGCAGACCTGATCCTTCCTGAAACCAGTCTAGCAAACTGGGGAAATCAAGGAAAATGAAATGACTATGTGGTATATCTGAGAAGATGGGCCAGAGGCACCTTTGTAGAGTTACCCATAGCATAGAAAGATCGAGAACAGAAGGATATATTCTGTGTGTCCAAGCCTAGTGCAGACATGGGGCGTGAAGCCAGGGCCCACACACAAAAGGCCCTGTGGCTGCCTTGAAGGGGCTGCAGGGGGTACCTGGAGGAATAGAGGAAGACACCAAAGACAAAATGCTCACTCTTGAACCATGAGCCTCTACATAAAAAGGTCCTTGAACTTACTGGGACTAAGTTTTCATTACCTGACAAAATTGGGAATCAAAGTATAGATTAATATTAGTTATAGAAAATAAAAAAAATTCGTACCCATCTGTGAATTTGTGGATTTATCATAACCAATACAATGGAAACCTGGGTTTCCCAGAAAGCCCAGTGGAACGATTTTTGTCAGGTCATCCTTATTGGTGCAGTTAAAAAAATAGATGGTCTTTCTGCCATAAATTGGCATTGCCTTCCAAGGATTCTACATTAGTTTGCTTGGGCTACAAAATATGACAGACTGGGTGGTTTCAAAACAGACATTTATTTTCTCACAGTTCTGGAGATGAAAACCCTGGATTCCAAGTGCCAACATGACAGATTTCTGATAAGGCCTCTCTTCCTGGCTTGTGGATGGCAACCTTCTTACTGTGTCTGTTCCCACAGGGTCTTTCTTCTCTGGGGTGCAAGGACCCTTGATCTTTCAGGGAAACAGACGGAACTTTCTTCTCCTCTACTCCTCCTTCTTTAAGAACACAATCCTATTGGATTATGACCCCATCTAGCTCTAATTACCTCCCCACTCATTTAGCCCTAATTACCTCCCCACAGGTCCCTTCTCTGAATACAATCACCTTGGGGGTTCGGGCATCAACATAGGAATTTTAGGGGAGACACTATTCAGTCCACAGGAGACCCTATGATTCCAGGTCACCTTGCAGAGCATAATTGATAATTTGGAACATTCCAAAGTGATCATTCTTTATTATTCTCTATGTGCCCCTTTGAATCTCTTCCCCAGCCTTCTCTCCCTCCCAGTTTTGAGCCCCATACAGCTAATGTCCATGACTGCCCATCCAGAGACCCATTGCTTTTGGCTTTCCAATTGGGTTCCCCAATTTCTGCACTGGCAGAGTTAGAAAGAGGAAAGAAAGAGAGTTTGGGGTATTTATTCCTCCTGCTCATCTTCAATCAATAGCCACAGCTCCTGAGGGGCAGACATCCACTTCCTTGGCCACAGTTCTTGCTGGGTTGGAGTAACAACTTCCTCCTCTTTCCCCTTCAGCATAGGAGTGGCAATGCTTTTGCTGTTGGCGGTCCCTGGGTATTGCATGGTTGTTTATTAGTCCATTAACCCTGCTATACTTCTATAGTCTCTTCATTAAATTCTCTTTAATAAACCTTTCAAGTATGCCCAGGCTCTGATTTACACAGCAATATTGCAAAGTTCCAGTCAAGCTCCACCTCACTAGCTGAGTGGAGCTCTCTGATGCCACTGATGGAGCTGTTGTAAAGAAGCAAACCTCAAAAGGATGAGTGATTGGCCACTCAGGCCTCTCTGTGAGGCTAAGATAGCTCGACATCATGACGGAGCTCTTTCCTGGGGCAAGATGGAGCAAAGTGCCTGGTGGCTTGTTGGTGCAACCATGCCTATCTCAGGTCACAAAGCAGAAGTAGGGGTCACATTTAGTAAAGGACCACAGCTCTGCAGCTTTGCTGAGAACATTATTCCAGGTGGTGGTGTGATCTTGAGCTGGAACCCTAGCAGAATGATGGTGGGTGACAAAGAAAGGCAAGGTACACAGAGGATAAGAAGATGAACTAACATTTGCCCTCAAGGAGCTCACAGTCCAGTGGAAAGATAGGCCAGTAACCAGTTACAAAACAAGGAGATGAAAATTCGAATAGAAACGTGTACTAAGGACTTTCAGGGGAAAAAAGGAAGGAGCATTTTCCTGCTTTATGCAGAGTCATGGAGAACTTTATGCTTTATGCAGGTTTTAACCTGAGTAAGAAACCCTGGGAGGATGCTCCTGGTAGGTGAGAGGGATGTGCAAACTACCTTGGCATGAAGGAGGTGGGATATTCCCAGACCATGTGTTGCATGAACCAGCAGAGGAGGGGAAGGCCACAATAGTCAATATACTCTTGGAAATACCTTAGAGGACTGACATATCATTTCTTACTGTATCCAACAGATATTGTTTTCATTACTGAAGCAAGATTGTGTTTCTTCATCTAAGCAGCAGATGAAGAATTGGCTTCAGTTTTGAAGTCATGCTCAACAAATCATGTTCATCTTCAAACTCTAGGCTGAGTGGTAACATGCGTACACTAGGGAAGGAGTGAAGGCTCATAAGGGTAATGACTCCTAGCTCTCAGCCCACCACATCTAAGGGAAGAGAGCGTGTTCATCTAGCACAGCAGGAGTCAGAAAACACCATTCATTTAAATTGTCGCTTCCTGCTGAGCGAGGTGGCTCACACCGGTAATCCCAACCCTTTGGGAGGCCAAGGCTAGAGGATTGCTTGAGCTTGAGCCCAGGAGTTCAGGATCAGCCTGGGCTACATGGCGAGACCCCATCTCTTCAAAAATTTTGTGAAAACTAGCTGGGCAAGGTGGCATATATCTGTGGTCCCCGTGACTCAGGAAGCTGAGGCGGGAGGATCACTTGAGCCAAAGAGGTCAAGGCCGTGGTGCGCTATGATGGCGCCCCTACACGCCAGCCTAAGTGATAGAAAAAGACCCTGTCTCTAGAAGAAACAAATATATAAAGAAAGAAGCACTTCTTCTCCATATTCCTGTTTCTCTCATTCCAACAGTCTCCCTGCATTTGCCTATGATGTGATCACAGATGGTGGACACTAGGGTTTCTATTTGGCCTGAGGGAGGGTAGAGAAGGGGGCACAGGGTGGGGACGTGGGAAGTTGACCAAATGTGGCATCGTAATGCATCTCGTTGCCGTGATGGGTCGTTTGGAGACTCTCTTAAGTGCTGGGAATCTGGGAGAGGATCTGCAGGCCACTCTGTTGGGAGAAGAAAGGGTGGATTGAGGAGTCATGAGAATGGAGGCAGGGAAACCATTCAGAGACTCAAAAAACCAAGGACAGGGATCTCAGCTAAGAGGGCAATCCCTGGGAATAGAAGGGAACGCCCACTTCCACAGATATTTGGGTGGTAAATCTGACAAGGCTTGAGGGCTAGCATGGATTAGAGGTATTAATATAAGAGAAAAAAGAATAAAATAACTTCTAGATTCTTGATTTGAGGACCAGGAGAGATGCTGGCCATGATTGAGTTAGAATTCCTACAAGGAACAAGTGACCTCTCAAATTAGAATAACGTGAATTCTTTGTTTGTTGTTGTTATTGTTGTTTTTTACAAGGAGTGCAGTTAGAAAGGTGTTGGCAGGGTGCAGGGCAACTATAAGGGACTGTGTAGGAGCCTGGGGCTAAGTTCAAAGGTAGGAATTGGTTTTCAGAATCAAGAGGGCAAGTCCTAAAAGGCAGACACCTTATGAAGAGCGCTGGGCTTCAGGTGAGGGCTCAGCCAGCCCCAGCTGACCTCACAGGGAAGGAGCCAAGAGAGTAAACTCCTGTCTTCACCCTCCTTGCTCCCTCTGATCTCCTGCTGAGACTCTCAGGAGCATGGACACACACAGCTGGAGACAATGTGCACCTTAGCCTGCAGCTGTGACCCTTGCAGGCAAGGAGGGCAGAGTGGAAGGGGTAGGGAGAGGGTCTCAGGCCAGGGACAAGGTAAATCCAGCCCAGGAGCCTTCACAGAGATTAGGAGATCTGGAGGAAAAGCAGGCTTGAGGGAGAAGACAGCATGGTTAGCTCCTACGGGAAGGAAAGGCGAAAATTCAGGATCTTCGTTCTAGCAAATCCAAGGAATGCTATGGAGTAAAGAAGCATTAAAGGAGCAGCTAGTAAATGCCAGTCCCTGTTCTAGGTTGTTCAGGTAGCCAACCTCATTTCATTCTGAGTACAATGACTCCAATAAATATTTTTTTCTCCAAAGAAGTTGTGGCAATGAAAACGTGACTACTCTGAATTCAGACATCTAGTAAGGATTAAAAGCAGGATTCGAATCCAGGCCTGCCTGGCTTTAAGGAGCATGCTATTTCCTATGGGAGAGTTAATTAATGCTGTGCAAAAGCCAAGAGAGGATGAGAGAGCTGGCGTCCCACTTCTGTGCCTACAATTCTCCGGACAATTTATAAACAATTTCACACACTTTACCTCCAAGTTCAGATCAATGTCTATCTTCTATGGCTTTTTCATGCAGTGGTTTATTTACCCATCAGCTCCCTACAGACTTGGAAGCCTGTTTGATTATGATATTTGGGGGTTCCTGCAGTCACAGGGTTCCAATTAGAACAGAGAGAGGGTGGAGATAGAGGTGTAATGAGAGGGAGGAGTCAAGGACCCTGTGCCAAGGGCCATACAGGGGCACCAAGTGTACCTTTTGCTGCGGGCTGCTTTGCATTCTGGGCACCTGCGTAGTCTCCTCCCTTCATCCCAGTGGCTGTGGAGAAGGGCAAGGTGCCCTGTGTGTCTCCTGGAGGTGATCTAAATTGAGCAGAAACCTAGCCTGGTTGGGTAGACGGATTCCAGGCGTGGGCATTGCTTGCTCTTATCAGCCTGTAGAGGGACGGAAGGACCACCAAGTGCTGGGAAGGAGAGAGCTATTCTCCCCGTGGCATTGTGGCAGAATACTTGGAAGTGACCCTTTTTGCCCCATGGGAGTAGAAATTATATTTGGTTGCTTGTTATGATCTTTTCTGTATGGTTTTTCCTCTTCAGTTTTAGAAGTTAACACTTTTTTTAAAAACTCTCCTCTTTGTTTCCTTTTCTACTTTTTCCTCTTCCTCCTTTCTTTTTTTAAAATTAGTTTTTAGAGATGGGGTCTCGCTCTGTCCCCCAGGCTGGAGTATAGTGGTGCCATCATAGCTCACTGCAGCCTCGAACTCCTGGCCTCAAGCGATGCTCCCTCCTTGGCCTCCCAATGCACTGGGATTACAGGTGTAAGCCACCACACCTGGCCTTTCTTCCTTTTTTCTCTCCTCCTCCTAATATTCTTAGATTCCACTATCTGCACCTGTGTAATAGATTCTAAATCTATAAAATCTAAGCACTTTACCAAAACCTACTGAGGTTTTCATACTTTTGGGTCCCCAGGAAAGGAGAATTCAGATTACTGTCACTAAGCTGTCAGCCCCCAGCAGTGAGAGCAGCCACACTGAATAACGTAAACAGAAGCACAGAGGCCATCACCCAGAAGAGCGCTCTAGGGAGCCTCTCAGAGATTAAAATTATGCCACTGGTCAGTGAAGGACAAAAGGCAGGGACTGAGTGGGAATGGAGAAAGGCAGTGTGGTGGCAGAGTGCTAGGAAACAAGCTTTTCCACCTCATGGGGGAAGAGAGTTCAGTGATGAGGGAAAGCTGCTCAGAGATCACTTTGGGGTCCATAGATCCTCGAAGGTGGCACCCAGAGGGCCTCCCTGAGGCAGGCTGGAGAGGGTTTTCTGCCCAGTGATCTCATTTAGGGCATGTTAGGGACCCAAACAAGCTTGAGCAAGGAGGGAGCTTACCCCGGTGGCAGGGTGCAGGTGAGACATTGCAGTTTCCACGGGTTTCCTGAGAGCTGGGGAGCTGCAAACTGAAGCATGTGCCGCCGGGCCTCGAATGTCATCAGAGAAAAGAATACGTGTTCTGCTAAGACAGGTGAAGGAAATGCGTTTCATAGCCACATTTAACTAGCAATTATCAGTGTCTATTTCCAGTCTATGCTCTTGGCATTTGATATAGTATTTTCTGATCATTTCACTTCTTAATATTACATTGTGATAAGAATGATTGTCCATAGTTCAGATATTCTCAGGAGTGTAGAGATAGGGCTGAGAAATGCTTATGGGCAATCGTCTATGAAACCAATCACCTGGAGAAATGCATGTCACAAAGCTCCTGATTCAGATGTTACATACTTCTGGCATCTTTTAAAGGGGAAGAGAAGAGAAATGTCTCTCTTCCTCCTATTACAAACCTCTTGTCACTGTGTAAGATGCACCAAGCTCCCCTCCTTTCATATAATTCTCATACCTGTTGGATGAGTATACATGAAGATAATTTCCAGAAAAATCAGCCTTGCTGATTTGGTTCATCATTACCAACCACCTTGTGCCACTCGGCAGACAGTACTTAAGATCCAGGCAAAATGGAAATAAAATTTCTCCCTAGAAGCTACAAGTTGTTGCCAGGTGTGGTGGCTCTTGCCTATAATCCCAGTACTTTGGGAGGCCAAGGTGGCAGGATCACTTGAGGCCAGGAGTTCAAGATCAGCTTGGGCAACACAGCAAGACCTTGTTGCTAAGAAAAAAAAAAAAAAAAAAAAAAGCAGCAGAGACCTATAGTCCCAGCTACTTGGGAGGCTAAGGCAGGAGGATTACTTGGATCAGTAGTACAAGGCTGCAGTGAGCCATGACTGCACCACTGCACTCCTCCAGATTATGAGTTCTTTGTCCTAGGAAATTATGTTCCTGCGTGTTTTGGTTTCAGTGCTTTAGCCACCACCTGAAGATACTGTATATTTTCGAAACTTAATATTTTTTTCCACACCAGCCAGGTTGAAAAGTTTAAGTTGCTTTCTGGAAACAGTTATCTACCCTGCCATCCTCCTTCCCATGCTTTGTTTCTCATAGGTTTTGTCTGTCAAGCTGTATCTGACAAGCCTCAAATCATAGGGTATGAACTCTCCCAGCCTGAATGGTTGAGACTTGCTGGGGTTGAGAGAAAGTCCTCTCTGGCCTCGGTCTGATATCTTTCATCAGAGGATGAGCCAAGATTGAACATGGAGGCCAAGGGCCCTGGAACGTGAAATGCCTTGGATGATCTGGAGGAGAAGCTGCAGTGGCCAGGACAGCACCTGCCAGACTGCTGTGTCTCTGTGCCCAGCCTGGTGGCTGGGGGCGTGCTCCTTGTGTTTCTCTGTGACCCCTGCCTCCCTCAGCACCTTTCAGAGTTGGGCTCCTGGAGATGCATTTCCGGCATGAATGGCACCAGAGGCCTTAAGTGAGGGATGCCCTTGTCTTGGCTCCTGTTTACCCCATCTCTTATTTCTCCCCAGAAGCTCCTTGGGGCTACCTCATGTCTTCCCTGGGCTCCATTTACCAACCTAGCCTGCCCTCTCAGGTACCTTCCCAAAATTCAGGTGGTCTGGACTCTCTCTTTTCTTTCAAAGCTCACTTTCTATATTTGTTTCCTATTGATGTCACAAAAAATGAACACAGATTTAGTAGCTGAAAAGACAACAAATTTATTCTCTTTTAGTTCCGTAGGTTAGACATCCAACACTAGCCTCATGGGGCTAAAATCAAGCTGTCGGTAGGACTGTCTGTGCTCCTTTCTGGATGCCCTAGGGAAGAACTTGCTTCCTTGCCTTTTCCAGCTTCTAGGAAGCATCAATGCACGCTGGCTCCTGGCCTTTTCCTTCATCTTCAGAGCCAGCAGAAGCAGGTTGCATCCTTCTCACACAACATTATTCTGACCTTGCTTCTGCTTCACAGAGCATTCTCTGACTCTCCTATTCTGCCTCCTCCCTCTACTTAAAAAAAATTGTTTGCATAAATTTAAGGGGTACAAGTGTAGTTTTGTTACATGGATATATTATGTAAAATTTGGGCTTTTAGTGTAATTGTCACCCAAATAATGTACACTGTACTCACTATGTAATTTCTCATCCCTCAACTCTTCTACCCTCTCACCCATCCTAGTCATCAATGTCTATTATTCCACTCTTTCTGTCTGTGTATACATTATGTAGCTTCCACTTATAAGTGAGAATGTGTGATATTTGTAACTTTCTGTTTGTGAGTTATTTTAATTAATAGCCCACATTTCTATCCACGTTGCTGCAAAAGAATGATTTTGATGCAGGATTTTTTTCTCCTTATTTCAGATAAATCTAGGTTCTTGTCTCATAACCAGGAAAAATTAGACATGCCGACAAATTGAAAGGTGAGCAGGGTGGAATTGATTAAGTGAAACGAAAGTTCTCAACAAAAAGAGAGGTCTTGCACACAGGTTTCCACCTCACAAATTGAATACCAGGCCACACACGTGAGTTGAAGAGGCCAGGCTCCTCCCTTGCATAAGGCACATATTTCTGGTGGCTCCACTCTATTCTCCCAGTCCATGTGGGGTATCCCCCTGTGCAGGTTCCCCTATCTGCCCAGGTATCTGTCTGCCTCCTGCCCCTCTATCAATTTCATCCTTTTTTATGGCTGAATAGTATTCCATTTTGTATATATACCATATTTTACGGGGTCCACCTGTAACCAGCAGCTTAGCAGCTGAGCCACAAACTGCATTTTGAACTTTTTTTCCTTCTTCTTGCCCTTTTCCTCTCCCTACCCCAAGTCTCAACATCATAACTTTGAAACCAGCTGCATGTATGTTACCTCTTATGTTAAAATACAACCTTGGACTGTGCTGTGACCCCCTACTCCCTTTCCTTCCCCCTGCTATGCTCACATGCCTTATGCATATTTATTTACCTAAGTGCTTGTTAAACACACACCATGTTCTCTTATCTGGTCATATATTTCCTTAGAAGCTTTAGGAGTCAGATCCTGATAGAGACCAGACACTGCTGGAATTCTCACTCCAACAAAAGATTACTTCAAGGTCGGAACCCAAACCTGGGTGAAGAATAACTCACTTATAACCTGGCAGGATCCATGATGGTGCCAGCCCCTTCACCAAATGTGACCATAATTCAAAAGGATCACACAGCAAGTCATACCACCTGGCACCTCTGAGCCCCCCTTGCCTCTTCTGCATTCCAGACCCTGCTTTAAAAACCCCTGTGTTCCCACCACAGATTGAAGGTGGAATTGTTTACTGCTCTTCCTCTGCTAGCATAGAGAATAAAGGAAAATGTCGCTCCCTCTTATCACTGGTTATTATATTTGACTTCTTTCTACAAGCATTGAGCACCCTGACCCTTTTGCTAGTTACACACCTGATGTGTCTCCATCTCAAGGGTCCTTAACTTAAGGACATTGGCAAAGTGCTTTCTGCTATGTGAGGTAACATGTGCACAGGTGCCAAGGACTCTGATGTGAACACCCATGGGGTGCTGCATTTTGCCCAACTCCCCCTTCCTGGCTCTCATTCTTTCAGAAATTTCCAGAAGTCTAACACTAATTTGATATACTAATTCACAATCAGGAATGAATGGATGTGTTAGGCCCTTCTTTTGCATTTCTGTAAAGAAATACCTGAGGCTGAGTAATAAACAAAGAAAAGAGGTTTAATGGGCTCACAGTCCTGCAGGCTGTACAAGAAGCATGGTGCTGGCACCTGCTTGGCTTCTGGGGAGGCCTTGGGGAGCTTTTGCTTATGGCAGAAGAGGAAGCAGGAGCAGGCACATCACAGCAAGAGGGAAAACAAGGGGCCTGGGAGGTGCTGCACACTGTTAAACAACCAGATCTTGCAAGAACACACTCACCTTCTTGAGGACAGCATCAAGCCATTCATGAGGGATCTTCCCCTGTAACAAAAATACCTCCCATCAGGCCCCACCTCCAACACTGGGAATAACATTTCAACATGAGATTTGAAGGGGACAAATATCCGAATCATACAAATGGATTGATATACTACTCTCCCTCCCCCACCACACACACATTATGTTTACATTTTAGCTGCTGCCTGCAATGTCTAACCCTGGGGTAGTTAGCCATGCAAGAGGCTGAGGCATTGTGCTGGTCCTGGAGGAAGTGTCATTTCTGTTTGGGGTAAAGAGAACCTTCCAACCTTTCGAGTCACAATATAGAGGCATGGCTTGGTCTGCCTAAGGTCAGAAACGTTGTCCTACAGGTCCTTTATCAGAGCACGTATCTTTGGATCCAGAGTGAGCATGATAAGCTAGGGCAGAGCAGCAGCATCATTGAAAAGCAGGTACTGTTACTTCCCTATACCAAATGCCTGCTGCATCAAGTCATCAGAAAAAAAAGGTTTTCCATATGGCATTAATTTACAGGGAAGAATACATCCTTCTGCACTTTGTATCTCTTCTAGTGAGTTAAGTTCCCTGAAGGTAAATTGCAGTAGATGCTTTTGATCTACTTACATTTAGGAAATACATGCACATGCAGGCACCCACACACTCATGCTCCCTCATTCACACCTGCACATCTGTGAACATGGGTGCTCCATGGGGACCATAGGGCAATGAGCACAAGCCACTCAAACTCGGCAAATTCAGTACCAGACCCTCCTTTTCTGCCTCTGGTACCTTGCAGTGAGAATGCCCAGTTCAGGAGGTAAAAAGTGTTCAACCTTTGCAGAAGGTTTACAGGCAAAGCAAGGCTATCGATTGTCCCATGATGAGAAAATGAAGAAGGATGTGGCGCATTTTGCGATATCAATCCGACCTATTAGCAACAGTGGCAGGTCACTCCATCCTCCCCAAATCTTCTTCATGTTCTAAGCACCATGGGCAAAAAGGAAGTAGAGCTTGGGTGAAAGATTCCTTTTTTAGGAAGAGCAATGTGTGTGTAACAGAGAGAGGAGAGAGAGACAGACAGAGCAAGAAAAAGAAAGAACAGGAGATAGAAAAAGAGCTAGAGAGAGACACAGAGAGAAGCATTTCTAATGGGGTAGACAACAGCATTGATCAACTTTAAGCTAGGAAAACAGGCAGTTCAGTTATGACCTGCCAAGATGCTAAGGTCATAAATTCTTGAGAACTCGAATTGAAGAATAAGTAGTTGTCTGAACGAATAGCATGAAGAGACAGAACAATCTTTCAGAGGCACAAGATACTGGTCTTCACAGCTAGATTTCCTTGGCTTTTGGAAGACCCTGTTCTTTCCTTTACCAATTGTCATGCATGAAATTCCACTATTAGAGACTGATCCTGGGAAAAGGGAAAGTCTAAATTTTGCAGGAAGATCCCATTTTAAAGGAAAAATAGTACTTCTTGGATGGGGAACCTGATCGTACTAAATATTAATGTTATCAGAGATGATTTTTAATGAGGAGAAAGTGGCTGGGGGTGAGGAGGTAGAGATTTTGGAGAACAATGAATAGATAGTGAAAAACCCAGACAGAATTAGGAAAGAGAGAGGTGATACAGAAAAAGCAAAGTTAACTATGAGGCTGGACGGGGAGACCAAATAGAATAAGGGCTTTGTCACAAACACCAGGATTTGTGTCTTGGTTCTGCCTCCTGGGAGCTATGGCCTATAAGTTTCTTACCCTCTGAAATACTGTCATGCAAATATCGTGTTCCAGAAATTAGACATAAAGCTCTGGTTGTTGTAGAGGTTTGAGTTAATGTCTATGAAGTACAGTGTCTGGTGCATACTAGGTGCCAGATAACTCCCTGTTACTGCCCTTGTGTTATAGAACTGAACTGGGATCTGCTTGCCCATTGCAGTAAGACCAGATATCCATTCCAATGTTTGCAATGGGAAAAAGGAAGGTGTTTTTCCCAGGGTGCCAGGCAAGGAGGACCAGGAAGCTAACATTCTAATTCTGACTTCCCTGGTGGCTCTCAGGTAAGGGTTTTTAAAGGCAGGGGTATACTTCAGGAAAGCAGAAGTTACAGGCAAAATCATAAATCAATACATGGAGGGTACATGTTGCTTTTGGCCTAAAAGAGTGGGGTATCTTGAGGTGGAGGCTTTTACAAATCATAGGTAGATTGGAAGATTTTCTGATAGCAACTGGCTAAGACAGAAAAGCTTTGTTCAAAAATTTGGGATCAGCAGAAAGGAATGTTAGCTCCAGTTTGTGAATGCAACTCCCTCCAGGCCCCTCAAGAAGAACTTTAGAACAAAGAAAGGTGGTCAGAGTCCCATCTTCAGAACCCCCTTTTCTGAGGTCTGTGTGCCAGCAGATCTGTTTGCTGGGAGTCTTTGGTGGCGGTCCAGGCTCCTGAAAAACAACTCAGGGACATATATCAAGATGTTACCTTTAGTTTCTATAGGGGAACCAAACCTCTTATGACTCTAACTTCTTTGGCTATTGTTTTAAGTTACTATTACCTTTTGCTTATCAAGCTACTCATTTACTTCTCAGGACTAGCTGGGTGCCTGGAATTTCCCTTGAAGGAACTCAGTATTTTCCTTTATTTCCATGCTTGGGGACCCACAGGCCCCTAAAAACAGGGTCCCTGCTCCATCTAACTTGAGGAGGAGATTATGGATGCTCTAAAAGCCAGGCAGGGTAGGTGGGGAAGGTTGGCGCTGAGTGTCTGACCTTGTCAGCAGGTCACATACTTTCATTGTGTCCCATCCCACTCCAAGCAGCCCCCAAAAATGGCAAATTAGGATGCTATTCCATGGACGAAGCATGGACCAGGACAAGACATCACTTTAGGAATTCTCTCTTCCTTATCCTGATTCATTTCTCTGTCTCTTTAGATCTTTCCCAACGTCATGGAAACACGCTGTTATTTACTCACCTAAAACATATTTATCTTGACCTTTGGTTCATTCCCCACTTTCTGCCCCACTGTTTTGCTCCTCTTTGCAGCAAAACTCCCAGAAAGACTTTTCTCTTGCTGTCGGAAACCCCTCTCATCCTGTCCCCCTTGAGGGTACTCTCAAGAGGCATTTCCCTCTCCCCCAACTCTGCTGAAAAAGTGCTTGTCCTGTAACCCAAAAGCAGGTTAGTTGCTCATCGCATGTACAGTTTAATTAATAAGAAAGAGGTCTGATTTTAAAAATTTAAAAAATGAATTTATTCAGAAGCTAGTTTGGAGGAAGGGGCACAAAGTATCCTGTCTTTAAATGTGCCTCGTCACCTTTGGAGCAGAAAACAGTTATTTTTATAAGATAGGGGAGGAAATGAGTAAGGACAGGGGTACCTCAGTTAGCTTGGTGTCTTGTCTATCGGACAGTTGAGCTGGTGCTTTCCTGGGCAGAAGAAAGTTTTAAAATTGGCCAAGCAGGTGGACAAAAGTTCCGAGTCAACCCAGGAAGGATGGAAGTTTCCAGGCAAACCTCTGGAGGTGAAAGTTCCATGGCAGGTATGCTTTGTTCTGCAAACTGACTGTCGACAGATCAAGGAGAGATCTGCAGGAGTACATAATTAGAAAAACTTGCCCTGGAGGTAATGTCTGGTGAAACAGAGGTGTAAGGTTATATTTGCATTTTTGAAAAGCTAAATAGGAAACAGGGAGCTGGGAAAATGAGAAAGTAGAGAGACAGAGCAAAAAATGATTAAACTACCTCTAAAAAAATGAGGAGACTTAGTTAGAGTCCCAGACACCAATAATTTCCATGTTGCTAACTCCACAGCTCAGCTGTCAGTCTGCATCTTATTTGACACATTGGGTGCATTTGATGCAGAGATCACACTCTCCCCCTTGATCACACTCCCTCCCTTGTTCTTCTCTTAGCTTCCTGGATTTCATAGTTTCTGCTCCTGGTCCTATCTCACAGGCTATTTCTTTGTAGTGGCCTTTGCTAGTTCTTCCTCT
The DNA here is from genome assembly GCF_000001405.40 of Homo sapiens. Lineage (NCBI taxonomy): Eukaryota > Metazoa > Chordata > Mammalia > Primates > Hominidae > Homo > Homo sapiens. Next base: position 40,406,553 of record NC_000008.11, read on the forward strand.
TCTTCCAAACCTTTTCATGAGGAAGAGTCCCAGACTCAGTTCTTTTTCTTCTCCTGGCTGCTTACTTTTACTGCCTTAGTGATCATACCTAGCCTCAGGCTTTACATACAATCTGTGCTGCTGATTCATTCTTTTGCCTTGTACCTTCAGATTCTTCCTCCAGCCTCCTCGGCCTAGTTCATGCCACAGGAAGCTAAGGCTGCAGATCACGCTACCCAGGCCCCCGTGCCAACTGGCTCCTGTCTGCTCTGCCCATAGACAGAAACTGCAGGAGCGGGAGTTTTCCAGGGTTCTAACTCTCACTGCTTCAGACACACTGTTCCCTCTCGGCTTCTTCAACCCGAAACGTGGTAATGGCTTTTCCACCTCTGCTGTTCGCTGGGTGCCCACCATTCCTTGTAAATCCCTTCTATCCTGCCAACATCCCTTTAGACAGCCCCCGATTTGATTCTTTTCCGTTGGAGCTTTTGAATGTGTCCCTGTTTCTGCAGGAGCTGGCCTGATAACGCTAGCTGTGTGCAGATGACTCCGGGGCCTGCAGCGTCCGCTCTGATGCTCAGACTTCTCTTCTAAACTCCAGAGTCATGGATCAAATGGAATACTTAAAAACTTCCTTTGGGTGCCTAATAGTTATTTCACATATCACGTGTTTCAACGGGAGCATCTGATATTGACCCCAAACCTACTAATTTCTTTGTCTTCCCCTTCTCAGTAGAGACAACACCATCCTTTCAGATGTTCATTCCCAAATTCCTAGGCATCTCTGACTCACTCCTCTCCTTCTCTCTCACTCTGCATCCTACATCAAACCCATCAAGGAAACATATTGGTTCTAACCTTAAACGAAATGCAGAATTTGAGCAATTTTCCTCTCATGTCCATTACTGCTACCTCAGGGCAAGCCGCCGTCCTTTTTTGCCTGGACATTGTGATGACCTCATTATGATGGGTTTCCTTGCTTTCTCTCTTGTCTCTCAACGGCACAACAGCCAGAGAAATTCTTTGCAAAAAGTAAGCTCAGGCCAGGCACAATGGCTCATGCATGTAATTTCAACACTGTGGAAGTCCCAGGCAGGAGGATGGCTTGAGGCTAGGAGTTTGAAACTAGCCTGCAAAACACAGTGAGAACCCATCTATACAAAAAATGTAAAAAATTACCCAGGCGTGATGGAGCATGCCTGCAGTCCTAGCTGCTCAGGAGGCTGAGGCAGGAGGATTGCTTGAGCCCAGGAGGTCAAATCTGCAATGAGGACTGATCACCACAACTGCACTCCAGCCTGGGCAACGAAGTGAGACCATATCTTATTTAAACAAAAAAGAAGAAGAAAGAAGGAAAGGAAGGAAGGAAAGAAGGAAGGAAGGAAGGAAGGCAGGCAGGAAGGAAAATGATTGGTCCATGAAGCAGTATAGCACATTGGTTAAGAGAAAGACTGAACCTGGAATTATGCTACCCTGTCTCAAAAACAAACAAACAAACAAAAAAACGAAATAAGTTTGGGTCTTGCCACTTCCCTGCTGGGGACCTTGCAATAGCTCCCCATTTTCCACTATGGTCTAAGAGTCCCTTCGTGATATAGATGCTTATGATCCTCTGACATCACTGCAGCCATACCAGCCACCTGCTATTCCTCAATGACGCCAGGCAAGCTCTAGTTTCAAGGCCTTTACACCGGTTTCCACCTGGTATTCTCTCCTCTGATATCCTATTGACTAACTCCTTCACCTCCTTCTTCTTTCCTTTTCTTTTCTATTTTTTCTTTTCTTTCTTCCTTCCTTCCTTCCTTCATCCCTCCCTCCCTCCCTCCCTCCCTTCTTTCTTTCTTTCTTTCTTCCTTCCTTTCTTTCTTTCTTTCTTTCTTTCTTTCTTTCTTTCTTTCTTTCTTTCTTTCTTTCTTTCTTTCTTCCTTTGTTTTCTTCCTTTCTTTCTTTCTCCTTCCTTACTTCATCCCTCCCTCCCTCCCTCCTTTCTTCCTTTCTCTCTCTCTCTCTCTCTCTTTCTTTCTTTCTACCAAATATCACCTTCTCAATGAGTCTTGGGCTATCCTGATCACCCTATTGTAAACAGTTGCATACCCATCTCCCACATTTCCAGTGTCCCTTCATTGCACTTTTTGTTTTCTCATAGGATTTATCACTTGTTAACAATATAATACTTGTTATTTTATTAGGGTTTTTTTGTGTTTAATTTTAAATATGTCTTTGTAATGACATTTTGTATTGTATTTTGTAATGCACTTACTAGGTTTACTGTTCATCATCTCTACTCTATGTTAAAGTATAAGGTTTATAAAGACAAGTGTGTTTGCTTGCTTGTTTTTTTTTTCTCACTAAAATAGTGTTTAGGATATAAAAGATGCTTTGCAACTTTTTTTTTTCCAATTAATGGAAAATCGCTGAATTAAGAAAGTTTACAAAGCTAGCTGAAAGCATATCCGGGCTGGGCGCAGTGGCTCATGCCTGTAATCCTAGCACTTTGGGAGGCCGAGGTGTGCGGATCACCTCAGGTCAGGAGATTGAGACCAGCCTGGTCAACAAGGTGAAGCCCCATCTTTACTAAAACTACAAAAATTAGCCAGGCTTGGGGCAGGCACCTGTAATCCCAGCTACTTGGGAGGCTGAGGCAGGACAGTTGCTTAAACCTGGGAGGTGGAGGTTGCAGTGAGCCGAGATGGTGCCACTGCACTTCAGCCTGGACGACAGAGCGAGACTCCATGTCAAAAAAAAAAAAGAGCTTATCTGCCACTTGAAGCTGTATCTGTTCATCCCACCCTGTATTCTGTTAGCTGTGCTATGTGTCCTCCCACCACAGAGCAAAGCAATGAAGAAGGGAGGATCTAGAAGCACACAAAGTCCAAACCAGTCACACCACTCACCAGCTTTGTCATCTTGACCAAGTTACTCAACTTCTCTGAGACTCATTTGGCTCATCCATAGAATGGAATAACAGAGCCAACTCTTAAGGCCATTGTGAGGAATAAGTCAGAAATAGGTACGCATATGCACATAACCCACACACACACTCACACACATGCACACACACACTCACACATCTGCACACCAACATGTATATTACACTTAGCACAGTGTAATATACATGGGCAGAGGAGAAATTTTTGATGTGTAAAATTGGAGATTTAATTACATGCACGTTATTAGGCCTCCAAAAAAGTGGGTAACATCATTTAAACCTGAAAATCACACCATTACCTTAACTCTTCACCCTTTGAAGATACAGTTTCTGGGATCAGCATTTATCTTTCAACAGGTTGAATATTCAATAAGGCTCTACTCTTTGGGTTACCCATTTTTTTTTCTCAGAAATGGGAGCTAGAAGCAGTTGTTTAAATTCTAAGACATTTCTTCCTATATCTTCAGACAATTCTGAATAGGATCACAGAGAGTTTTTAGCAATTCATCCCCAACAATGGATTGAGAGGGGACTTAGGCCAGTTGCTCTAACAGGGAAGCCTGTGGCCTAAGGCAGATCCCTGAACACCTAGGTATTCATGGTGTTCTGCATGCACCGCATGCACTGGACACATTCCATCCACATATGTGAGTTGCTGCCAGTTACTCTGGGACTGAGCTCTGCCTTGAACTAAGGCCAGGTGACAGGGTCCTGACACCTGTGTAACTGTTGCAAGTATCTTTTCTCAGAATCCCACTCCCTAGACCCTGGTTCTTTACTGTAGTAACTGCTGGCTGAGGTCTTTTCCAAGGTTCATTCTCAACCACTGCTACCATCTTTTCCTAAGAGTCCTGTGGCAGTGCAGTGAGACTCAGCACCATGGATATACTGGATAACAACACCATGACAGACCATTGACTGTGAGCTTTTCATTCTGAGACTGACACTTAGAGCCTGGCCCAATCCCCGGAAGTTCCTCTACGCCCACCCTCACCCCGCCTTTTTTTTTTTTTTTGAGACGGAGTCTCGCTCTGTCGCCCAGGCTGGAGTGCAGTGGCGGGATCTCGGCTCACTGCAAGCTCCGCCTCCCGGGTTCACGCCATTCTCCTGCCTCAGCCTCCTGAGTAGCTGGGATTACAGGTGCACGCCACCACACCTGGCTAATTTTTGTATTTTTAGTAGAGAAGGGGTTTCACAGTGTTGGTCAGGCTGGTCTCAAGCTCCTGACCTTATACATGATCCATCCCCCTCGGGCTCCCAAAGTGCTGGGATTACAGGCATTAGCCACCGATCCCAGCTGAAGTTCCTCCTTTTACTCCTTTTACTCATTTCCTACCTAGAAAAGATTAAAGGAAGGAGAGATGAGGAACCACACATCATGCTAGTCTGCAAAGGACGTTAAAATATCAATGCAATAAATAGAAATTATGATACCAATTAACTCAGGTTTCCACAGGGACTAATTGGATAACTGGTGAAATGTTAATTAGTCCTGCCTTTCAGAGTCCCCTCAAAGGTAAATGAAAATAAAAAATTATATATCAAAAAACTTGCATGTTGCAAGCACAAATCTACTCTCGACCAGATGATTGTGCTCTGGAATTTGCAGTTGTAGCCACCTCAAATTCTGAATCTGGATAATGTGCATTGCAGTTCTGTTTCGCTGAGCTTTCTTTACAGCATGTAGCCTACTTTGGACATAGATGAATTATTAGGCAAATCTTTTCTGAATATCTATTAATATAAATATCAATTAAAATATGCTTTCATGTAAATATGTCACCAAATAAAGGTCATCATATAAATGTTGAATAAATGTTTAAAGAAAATCATTCTGAAGAGTCATCAGATCATTAGTCCATCCACATTGCCCACAAGTCTGCCTGGTCTTGGGATTTACCATTCCTCACCATCAAGTAGTGTTTTACTGAAGCCCACGCTGTAAGCATCAGAATTTTCTGCTGTACTAGTTAAAAATGCAGACTGGTGACTCCAATCTAACCTCATGAAATGAGAAGAAAAAGACTAAAATCTGCATTTTATCAAGGGTCAAAGTGAACTACATATGGCCCCAGAAAGACTCCGTACTTCTATGTTTGAGTCCTTGTGGACGAATGGTAACCTAGCTTAATAGCTGAATGTTGGCCAATCCCAGCGGCCATACCTCAGCCCCTCATAGACTGCTGGGTGTTCAAACTGTTTGAATAAGGCAAATGATAATCCATCCCACTGTTTCTGTATCTCACTTCCGATTGCTGTACGTCACTTTACTTTTTTTGTCTATAAATTTGTTCAGACCGTGAGGCATCCCTGGAGTCTCTCTGAATCTGCTGTGATTCTGGAGGTTGTCTGATTTGCAAATTGTTTTTTTCCTTGGATTTTTTTTTCTCAATTAAACTCCATCAGATTTAACTTGTCTAAAGTTTTCTTTTGACACAAGTAACCCCAAGTGATTTTTGTGCATACTTCTAATGTAAAAGGGTTATGAGATAAAGGAGGGAAGGAAAAAGAATAGACGAACAAATGAATGGATAAAGGAATGGATGAATGATCAATCAAGCCACTTTTCTTTCTCAGGGAAAGAAAGGTTTAAGTCGCTTTTTTCCCCTCAGAGTTGGATCATGTTCCCCTCTCTCATCCCCCTGTAATTACAGCCGACCTTAGTCTGGGGTGTGGAGGTTACTGAGCTGGGAGCAGTGAGTTCTCATCAAGCAGCCAGTGGACTCTCATCCATCTCTTCTGGTAATTAATTCTAATACAGCTCCATTTAATACAAAGGAGAGATACCCTGTAGGGGATGGTTTTACAAGATATTACGAAGCCAAATTAAAATCCTTTACCTTATTTTGAAAACAACCGTCCTTAAAAGGGCTTAGAAATAATAATAATAAAAAGGCAGTTTAGCAAACCTAGTTTCTGGCCAAGGAATATTTTCAAGATGTGTTCATATGTATTGAAGCACTTCCTAGGAATCTTGACTTGGGCTAAAAGGATCATGGTAGTTGCTTGTCCTAGAATTACAGATTTACATAAAATTGGAGCTAGAATAAAAGTCGCCAACACTAAAATGATGCTCACTATGTACTAGGCACTGCTCTGGGCACTGCACAGGCTCAAAATCCTTTTCGCAGGTGTGCAACCTAAGGCACTGGGAGGTTGAAAAGCTTTTTCTTTTTCTTGACTGACTCCTTCACTTCCTTCATCTTTTCTTTACCTTTCTTTTCTTTTCTTTTTTCTATGAAAATGAAAAAAGATATGATCTTCAGGGGTCATATCTTTCTATGATATGATATGTGATTCTGGAGGTTGTCCGATTCGCAGATCTTTCTATGATTTGACCCCCGAGATCATATCATAGAGACATTTGAGCCAGGATTTAAGCCTGGGTAATCTGCCTTTGACCACTACACTGACACTCCCTCAGGGATCATCAGCTCCACCCAGTTATTTTCAAAATGGAGAAAGTGAATCAAAGGAAATGTAACATGGCCAGGGAGTGGCTGAGCTGTACTGAAATCTGGGCATCCCTGTCCATTTCTGTCAACTGCAGGGACACAGAACTCTAGAGATGGAAGGAAATGCCTAGACTTCGCGGAATCTTACACCACCCCCAACCCCCGTCTGGCCACCCTCTCCTTTCTTAATCAGTTAAGTGGTCTATTACTTAGCTGAGCAAGGAGGGAGAAAGGTCTCAGCCTTCGTTTTTCCTGAATTTCCCAGGGCCTTTGCCAGGTCTGACCCCTTGTTCGCTTCTATGTAGCATTAAAAAACCTTTTACTCTTTGGCTTAGAAAAGTTGTCTGTGACAATCTTTTTATGTATGTGAGAAATGTCCTCTAAATAGGAAACTAGAAAGCTCTGAGGTGGCTGGGCCTGCCTGGTTAGCTTTCTTCTTTGGAGTTTTGCTGACCCAGTCCTCTTTCATGCTGGGTCAGATCATATGAATAAGCAGGACTGGCTGTGCTTCTGGAATCTGATCACGCCAACTCTGGAGGGAGATTTTTCTGGATTCCAGCACTGTGGGGCCACCTACCAAGTGGTCTCTGCCAGCCAGGAGAGGCAGGCTTACAGTCCTCATAGCTCCTCAAAATCAAGCAAAATCAGATGATTCCTCTCCCTGTATTTGTTTGTTATTTCACTTTCAATTTGGTAGAATGAGATGCCTAAACTTTCAGTTGGATTTGATCTTAATATTCTTTGAGCTCTTGCTAAAGCCCTCCTATAAGATTGTCAAGTTTAATTTATTAGATTCAACTACAAAGTCACCGACTATAAGTTCACTAAACACGTCTTCATTCCAGGAGAAGCCATCTGGCCTGTTAACCATAGCTGGTTATTTGTATCATAAAAGAATTCCAAACATTTTTACAATCCATGAAGTATTTGCTATTTTAGGCGAAATCCTATTGCTACTAACTCCAAAGTTCTTTCCAAACTCTTTAAGTGAATTTTGTCAGAGGTGGGGGAGGAATGTGGCTTTAAAAATAATGAGCTGTCAAATGGAGTTTAGAAATCATTTAGTTATGTAGAAATTTTCACTGCAACAGCTATCCAAATTCAAGAAACACCCCTTTGATATGCAAATCAAGGTAGTTAATTTCAAGTCAGACTTTGGCCTTTTCTAGAGATGAAGGCTTATCTTCCCTCTCCTCACGCGGCATACTTTCTTGGGTTATCGCATCCAACAATGACCTCACCCTGCACCTGTGCTGTATAATTCCATATGCGTGCAACTTCCAAATATATATTTTTAAACCCTTTTCTAAGCTTCAAACTCTTGTGTTTAACTACTTATTTAGATGTCTATTTGACATCTTTACATAGCTCTACCTCATTCTCATCAAAACTGATCTTCTGCCCAAAGCTGTTTATTCTCCTGTTTCTTATCCTGATGAAAATATCTAATCACCCAGTTCAGTAAGCCTGAGAATACTGACAATCGCTCCCTCCACTTCCCCACACCAAAACAGTTACTGACGGTATTGAACGATGTTGACTGCCTACTGCACATCTGTGTCCCCCTCCCCCATTTCTAGAATACCCTGATTTTGATCATTTTTTTTCTCTCTCCTCCCCCCATCTAGACACAATCCATTTGCTACTGGAGAAGTAAATCCTACCATCAACTTCAAGAATGTTCCAGAGACACATATATAACATATATAACAGTAATTCCATTACCCCTGGCCAATGACTGATTCGGGAATAGGCCATAGGCTAACGAGAACCAAAAAGAGGTTTACTAGGCGCTTCTGGGGTGGTTATCCTTTCAGGGCCAGCTTGTCGAGTTAGCTTCTGGAAATGAGCCTCTCTCTCTGGATGACTTCATATGTGGATATGAGGTCTGGAATGGGTGTAACCATCTTGCTACCATCTTGAGAATGAAGTCAACACGAACAACAGACAGGAAGATCAAGTGAATGTTCAGAGTAGGAGCCACTGCAAGTCACTGAAATTCATCCCCTTTCTGGACTTAATGTTTGGTTACCAAACACATTTATTTACTACTGGAGCTGGTGTGTGCTGTTTGTTTTCCTATTACTTGCTGCCAAAAGCTCCCTAAGTGATTCATCATGTCTTATCAGTGTCTAATGTCTATCTCCCCATCACTGTCTCCACCGCCACTATCTTACTATCTTAGGTTAGGCTTTCCTTGTTTCTCACTTAGATTAATAGAACAATCTTCCTAACTATTGTTGCTGCCTCTAACCTCAATCTGCAGTAATCCATGCTCTGCAGCTGGCAGAGTGATTTTTCCAATATATATATGTATATGAAAAAAAAAAAAAGGAAAAGAAATCTGGTTATCTCAAACTCATGCTCAAAATCTCTTCAAGTTTTTACTTTTTCAAATTTTTTCTAACCACTTAATGCAAAAAGACCTTATGGTTTATACCTACTTGGAAAACACTGAAAAAGGATGAGATTTTAGAAAGAGGAAGGGATCAAACTTGACCCAAGTCTAAACAGAGGCTGAGGCAGAAGGCCAAGAGACCAAAAGGTACAGCAGCCCCTTGGAAAGACTATGGCCCAGCTTCAGTGAGTCTCTCAATCAGACTATGTGGGCAGAGGTGAAGGTACATGAGCCCCATAGGATCGTCTTCAAGGTCAAAGTCAAGATCAAGGTGTATTCCAATTACAACGTGATAGTTTCCACACATAGGAAAAGCTGCTAGCTGCTCTGCCAACATAGAAGACTTGGGAGGTGATTAGTTCCCTCATTCCTCTCTACCAGCTCCCTGGAAAAGGACCACTCAAGCCAAATTATTCCAAACAAACAAAAGGCAAGCTGTAAGAGTAGGAGATACACAGGTTGGCCAAATGGTAAATCACATTGCCTATAGAAAATTAAAAGTCCATGGAATATTATTAAATGTCATTCATGATCATACTCTAGGCTTTCTCCTCAATAATAATGAATACCTATTGTTTTGTTTCCTTAACACCACAATACTCACCTCCCTTTTTCTTGGAATGAATGGTCACCTCCCCTGGCATTGTCACATTTTTCCCAGGAATTTTCATATTGCTGTAGAGCCCTAACCTGTTTTTATAGCCTTCATAAGTTGTTTCAGAGGTGGGGCTCTGATCCAAGCTGAGGCAATCAGAGGACTTCCCTGGAAACTTTTGAGTTGGAACTAGGAGAGTGAGACAGTCTTTGTTTGAGTGTGCAAATTGCATGCTGTAAAGCAGCTGGTGGCTATATTTCCTGCCATGTAAATTGGAAAAGTGGATGATGTAAGCAAGGAAAGAATGAGACACACACAGAGAGAGAGAGACAAAGACTGAGAACAGATATTAGAGAAAAGAGAAATGCCTCTCAGCATTTAAATTTTCTAATTACAGTTGCTTCTAAGATTCAGACCTATGGCTGTCCTTGGGCTCACTAAAGTAGCATGGTTCTTCATAATAAATAATTATCCTTCTTTTCCTCCTCCATCTCCTCCTTGCTTAAACTATTTCTACTTGATATTTATGACATTTGAAGCCAAAGTGGTCCTAACTAATATGCCCATATCTTTCCCCATCATTCAACCATACCTGATTCTGCAGATCCCTCAAGCTACAGGCTTTCAAGCTGACTTTTCCTCTCATACCTCCATGCATTTGCCCATCATTCCTCTGATTCTCACTCTGGAATTCCTACATTCCCCATTTGTCAATTCATTTCTGAAGTCACTTTTTGTACCTCCATCTCGAGGTAAATGCCTGTCTCAGTGCTCTCAGAGGGCCCTGTGTATAACTCTCCCATCATTCTTAAAATATTCCACTATAAATGCCTGTGTTGTGCCATCAACTTTGATGCTTAGATTGAGGTCTTTTTAGGGCAAAGGACTCCTTCTAGCTCTCATTTTCCAGCTCCTAGCAAGACATTCATTTGATAAATATTTCTTGACTGACTAATTAAAGGAATTGATCAATGAATTGATCAAATAAAAGCCATATAGAAACTTGAGTGCATTTTACAAGCTAGGAATAAGTAAATAAAAGGTTAGATGTTGATATTCCTGTAAAACTGGCACATACACATTCTCCTGGTGACATTGCAAATTAATATACCGCTTTTGGAAGTCAATATAATAATATACAGTAAATGACATTAAAATGTTCACAACTTTATCCAAACATGAATTTTTTTCATAAGAAAATTCTAGAAAGGAAAAAAGTATAAGTCTGTTTATGGCAGCAATTGATAATGACAATGAATTAGTCAGCATTCTCTAGAGGGACAGAGCTAATAGGACAGATGTATATATAAAGGGGAGTTTATTAAGGAGTACTGACTCACACGATCACAAGGTGAAGTCTCAATGTGCCGTCTGCAAGCTGAGGAGCTAGGAAGCCAGTTCGATTCCCAAAGCTGAAGAACTTAGAGTCCGATGTTTGAGGGCAGTAAGCATCCAGCATGGGAGAAAAATGTAGGCCAGAAGACTAAACCAGTCTAGTCTTTCCATGTTCTTCTGCCTGCTTTTATTCTGGCCACGCTGGTAGTTGATTAGATGGTGACCACACAGATTGAGGGTGGGTCTGCCTCTCCTAGTCCACTGACTCAAATGTTAATCTCCTTTGGTAACATCCTCACAGACACACCCAGGACCAATACTTTGCATCCTTCAATTCAATCAAGTTGACACTCAAGATTAGCCAACACAAACAACAAAATTAAAGGAGAGGGAAGCTATTAAATTATAGTACATGAAGCTGATAAAATATTACAGCTATTTTAAATAAAGAAAAATTCAAAGTTAGAAAAAAAGTTTCTTATATGTTAAATTTTAAAAAGCCAATTTGTAAAAGGGCAGACTCATGATGCTTTTTAAATTTTCAAGCATAATTTTAAAACCTAGAAGGCAAATAGGCAAAAATGAAATTGGTATATTGAGTAATTGCATTACCAGTATTGTATTTCTTTTATAAAAATTTTATTTTAATTAAAAAGATGTAATAATATTTATTAAACAGAGAAAATCAAATACTGTTCTCCACATGATGAGGTCTTCCTAGTAATGCCTGCAGAACATTCTTCTGGATGAGATATTGATATACCTGCCTGAAAAATTCCTGAAACATGGAATTCAGTATATTCAACTGAAAGCCATTATATTAACTAGTCACAGTCAGCAAATTTGCATAATGATTTATGGACATTTGCCCTAAAAATTGTGCGGGAATATGAAGCAGCTGTTCAAGAGCTTGGCTTTGGTTTTGCTAACAAGAAGCAGATAGCTGTGGTTAATGAAAAACAACTGCTAATAGATAATTCCAGTTTAGCTTTGAAGTATATTTCCAGTATTGTCAATACATACAGTGACTGAAATACAGGTCTAGAACCTGGATACCCACTTCACCCCCTTCCTCTCCTCAGATTCCTCCCTCGGGGATGGACTTTATGGGGAGATAGCACCGGGAGGCAATCCGGGAGAGTGTTGCATGGGAGGGGCCTGCATCCTGTTCTGGCTGGTGGTAATAAAATATTAGCACAATGGCATAGACAGTATAGTTTGTAAGAAGCTAGGAAGAAGAGAACAAGGATCAGCATAGATCTGTGATAGTTCCGTTGTTGACTGTCTCTCCTTTACTGCTCCACCAGCCTAAAACATTAGGATGCTGATTATGGGGCCTCTACGAAGTGAATTCCACCCAAGAACACCAGGTGAGTAGCATCCTAACCAACCCTGGGACTGTGCTAAGACAGCCAATTCTCAGGATTCTTGATTTTTAGCCTTAGCTCTGTTGTATGTGTTGAATGGATTATACTCTTTGGGCATCAGTTTGCTCATCTATAAGAGGAAGTGTTTAAAAGAAGATTACTGAGGCCACTTCCAGCTTTGCAATTCTCTAACTACCAGTTAGGATGGGTTTCATATTAGACATATTGTCTTTAAGCCCAAATGCATTTGGTATATTTGTGATTGCTAAAGTCCTCGGTCCATTTTTCTGAGCCAATCTTTTGAGTTTGAATGCAAAGTGGAATGACAGTGGGACTCAAATTAGAAGTCAGGTAATTGGTGAACTGTGCAGTGGAATATTTTTAATATATTCCAAGTTTCAGTTCGTATACCACAACTTAATTGAATTTTCCCTAAAGCCCTTCAATTAAAAATAGTGCAGAAACTAGCATTTTCAAGATAAATGTGAAACCTTGACCAAACTGCAAAAAAAAAAAAAAAAAAAAAAAAAACCAAAAATGGTAAGTTTTTGAAAGGTTAATAACATTTTTCTAATCGCAGCAGTAATGGAGATGGAAAAGCTATTTTCTTTTTCATGGTATACAACAAATTTGATCATTCCATCTCCACTTGACACTGTCAGGAATCCAGCTGAGAGGCGAGTAGTCCTTGAAACAATTGCTAAAGAAGAAGGCTCACCATTGGCGGAGTCTCATCTAATCTCTCTCTGATCTGTGTTAGCACAGGCCACAGGCCCTGTACTTCCAGGCCTCATCTTCATTTCCTGCTTCTCTGGGCTTCTGGCTTTTCTCTATCACAATGTTCCTGTATTTCCTGTCTTTTTCTATCCCCTTCCCTTGGCTCTTAGGTCCCCCAACCCCGCTTCAACGTTTTCTGCCTGGGAAAGTCCTCCGAATCCTTTGAGAGCCAGGGCAACTGGCTTTGGATACAGTTAAATCTGTGTAAACCTTCTGGATCAATTGTTTATTCTTTGTGTTACTTGAACTGAGTGTTCTATGCAAGAAACTTGCCTTCTAGTGAAAGAAAAGGCAAGGATCAGCTCTCAGTTGGTTCTTCAAAGATACTTAGGGATTTGCCACTTGCACACCAGGATAAACAGAGCTCTAAGGAAAGGCAACAGCATGCACAAGACATAGAGGTGTGGAAGGAATAAAAAAACCTGACATAACCCACTGACCAGACACAAGGTCAGGGAAGGAAGAAGGAATCTGGGGAGGAGATGAGAAAGTTAGGCAGGCACCAGATAATGAGGGGCCTTTTGTGATAGACTGAGAAGCTTGAAATATTATCTTTAGAGAAATGGAAAACCTTTGAAAGATTCCGTTCTAAGAAATCCTTGATTATTTCTTCCAGCTCTGTCATAGTCTGACTGAGGTTTTCTGTTTAAACCTTCTGGATCCAACATGGTATTAATATAAACTCCACCGTTTCTTTCTGTGGGGGCACATGATGTGTGTCTAGGTAACTGTACTTCTTGGTCCACCTAGAACAGTCCTGGTTTCACCTTTAACCTGGTTGAATTATTAATAGTGCCTCCTTTTTACTCTCAAAAGTGACCCAATTTGAGCACTACATATTATTCTCATTGCCTCAAGAGGTCATATATGGAGAAATTCAAAATTATTTCTAAAAGGTTTAGGACATAATTTTGAAAAGAAAAGCCAGAAATCCTTCTTAGGAGAAGCTAGAAGATATCCATCCACCAAGGATTGTGCCCCGGAGGCTGATTAGAGCTCAGAGAGGCAGGTGGGGAGCATGGTGGGTGTTCAAGTCAGCTCTGCAGCAGAGGTCACAATGCTCAGATGCCCGCCCTACACCTGCCATCTGTGTGTCATTGGACTAAGCAATTAATCACTCTGTGCTCTAGTTTCTCATCTATAAGATGAGGACCACATTAATAGTGCCCACCTTATACTACCCTTGCGAGACTTTAATGTGTTAAAATAGTTAAAATACTTTCCAAAGCCTGACATGGAGCGACCTCGATAAATGTCGGCACTTATTATTGGATTGGTAGCAGTATATGACCTTACTTTTGAATGAGGTTGCATATGCTGTGGTTCTGCTGGTCCTCACTGAGCATCCCACATTTTTCTGTCCTGCACAGATCTGGGATCTCATTTCTTTAAAAACATATTAGGGCCCATAGAAAGAGAAATGCTTATGCACTGTTGTAGGAATATAAATGAATACAACTCCTTTGGAAAACAATATGGAGATTTTGTAACAAAACTGCAGATAGAACTAGCATTTCATCCAGCAACCTCACTACTGGTATGTAGCCAAAGGAAAATAAAACATTTGTATCAAAAAGATATCTGCCTGTGTATATTTATCATAGCACTATTCACAATAGCAAATATATGGAATTAACTGAAACATCCATCAGTGGGTGATTGGATAAAGAAAATATGGTACCTATACACACTGGAACACTATTCAGCCATAAGGAAGAGTGAAATTATGTACTTTGCAGCAACATGAATGGAACTGGAGGCAATTATCTCAAGTGAAACAACTCAGAAACAGAAAGACAAATATTACATGATCTCACTTATAAGTGGGTGCTGATTAATGTATACACATGGACATAGAGTGTGGAATGATAGATACTGGAGACTCTAGAGGGTGGGAGATGGGTGAGGGGTGAGAAATGACTTAATAAGTACAATGTACATTACTTCGGTGATGGTTACATTAAAACCCAGACTTCACCATTGTGCGTCATATCTATGTAACAAAACTGCCCGTGTACCCTTAAATTTATACAAACAAAAATACTTTAGGACCTTCATTACTTATTGGTTTAAAGGTTATCTTTCTCTCTTTCTTTCTTTCTTTTTTTTTTTTTTTTTTTTGAGAAAAAATCTTACTTTGTTGCCCAGGCTGGAGTGCAGTGGCACTATCTTGGCTCACTACAACATTTGCCTCCCAGGTTCAAGTGATTCTCGTGCCTTGGCCTCCTGAGTATCTGGGATTACAGGCATGCACCACCATGCCCAGCTGATTTTTGTGTTTTTAGTAGAGACAGGGTTTTACCATGTTGGCCAGGCTGGTCTTGAACTCCTGACCTCAAGCAATCCACCTGCTTCGGCCTCCCGACGTGCTGGGATTACAGGCGTGAGCCACTGCGCCCAGCCTGCTTAAAAGTTTACAATGGAATAAGTAAACCAAGTTCTCTTTAAAAGCAAGATTTCATTAAGGAAAATGCAGCTATAGCACTTGATCATAATATTAAAATTATTTATTGACTTCTCTGTCTCCCCCAGTAGAAGCAGGTCTCTATGAGCATAAGGACCATATTTTACATGGCTTCTTCTCTTGCTATCTGACCTCCTGTGTGCTTCATAATAAGAACAGAATAAGCATTTGTTGGAGAGAAATTGAGATTATTTGACAACAGAAACAAAACTATATGAAACAGCTCTTTGGCTATCATTTAGTAGCTTTTACATTACATGTTTCATGCAATTTCTCACAGTACAGTCAGGTAGATTTTGCCCTCTAATAGCCAACATCCAGTAGTTGGGAGATATAGAATAAACAAAATTAGTAGTCTATATAGGAAACTTCCAGCACCCAGCCTGGAGTGAAGTATGATTAGATTTAAGTGTGAGGAAAGGCAGAAAATGCCAGCAGTACACTTGCTAGATAGGGGGTGGTTATTTTTAAAGATGACATTAATTTTGTAACCCAAGGTTTTATTTCTTCCTTTAGAGGTAGTATATTGAGTGATTAAAACACACGGACTCTGGGAATAGATTTCTGGACTCTTCTGGCACTGGTACTTACTAGCTACACAACCTTGGATGAGTTATCTAGTTATCCAAGTTCCTTAGAACACAGAGCATAAGGCAGAGATTATGTGCTCACCTCACTAGCGAGTGCAATCCCAGTGAAAATGAGTAAAGGAAAGGGGAAGTGAGGCAGAAA
Organism: Homo sapiens; assembly: GCF_000001405.40. Taxonomy (NCBI): domain Eukaryota; kingdom Metazoa; phylum Chordata; class Mammalia; order Primates; family Hominidae; genus Homo; species Homo sapiens. Next base: position 40,422,584 of record NC_000008.11, read on the forward strand.
AAGGGGAGAACAATTGTAAGAAAGTACAGAACTGGGCTAATCACAGCTGCACGACAAGCTGATTTCTCAATATCTTCAAAGACGTGAAACTACTTCCTAAGTTTAGGAAATAGGAGTTCAACTGCCGATTCATATTTTTCATTGATCAAAGTTTACCATTACTGTGAGTTAATTTCCCTAAACTTCTAGTGTTTCCATGCATGGGAAATGAGTGAGTGCCATTGCGGACCACAGGGAGCCCCAGGCAGGGGCTGAGAGACAGGTGGCTCATGTGGAAGGTGGATACCGTAAGCCTGGTAGGCTGGTTTTTGTTTTTTTTGCTTTTGTTTTTTTTGTTTTTTTTTTTTTTTTTTTTAGACAAGGTCTCACTCTGTCGCCCAGGCTCAAGTGCAGTGGTGCAATCACAGCTCACTGCAGCCTCCCCAGCCTCTGGTGATCCTCCCACCTCAGCTTCCCGAGTAGCTGGGACTGCAAGCGTGCATCATCATGCCCGGCTAACTTTTATTATTTTTGTAGAGGTGGGGCTTCGCCATGCTTCTCAGGCTAGTCTTGAACTCCTGGGTTCAGACGATCCTCTAGCCTCAGCCTCTCAAAGTGCTGGGATTACAGGCATGAGCCACTGTGCCTCGCTGACACTGTCAGGTTGTGTTTATAAGCAACAGCAGGGCTGAGCCATTGACCTATAGGAGCAGAAACAACAGCATCAGGAGCCCTGATCCATGATGCTGAGGATGATGAAGGACATCGCTAGACTGGCTCTGGCCAGACGGGCCCTGGATCTACAGTGATGCATAGACTGAATCCAGTGTATCATCTGACCTCTCTGTGCCTTTGTTTCCTCAACTTCAGTATGGAAAAAATAATCACTCATCTACCTCCCAGGCTATTGTGAGGACTGAACAAGTTAATATATGCAAGGTGCTTAGGAAAATTCTTCACACTCAGGAAACATTGCAGAAATGTTAGCTCTCGGTAGTGTTAGAAAAGTCATGACAGTTATTGTATGTATTCAATTCCAACGTTCCTTGCAGCCCATTTTTATCTTTTTTGTTTCCTCTTAGGAATATATTGAAAGGTGGAGTCGTGAGGGCTACTTTGGTGCTAAATGATGTCTCAAGCATGAAAGTCCCCTCATGCTCTGTGCTTTGTCAGTTGATGTGATGTTCATGGAGGAGACAGAGACAAAGCAAGTCCTTCCAAATAGCCTCTGAACTCATCTCCACCTTGGCTCCAAGGCGTGCTTAGGGAGAAGTCACCAAATCCCCCAAGTTCATATCATGGTAGCTACATCCATCGGCTTGACTGGATATCCTTCCCTGGAATCACTGTTGTTCAGAAAAGTATCTACTGGAAATTCAAAGACAGAGCTTCAGCTGTAGCAAGGGCTTAACACAGAGCTTGCATACTTGGTGGCTTCCTAGAAAAATCCAGCTTGAGGAGGTGTTCTGTTTGGATGTCAGAATGTTAGCAACAATATTTTAATTGAACTTTCAGTAGTGTAGTAATGATTCCCCTAACAACGCTGTAGAATAGGCCACCAAGGAGCTGCTGTTTCTGCTGCAATCAGTAGAAGCCAAGATTTAAATGTGTTGAAACCAACATTTAAAATTATCCTATCTTTCATAAAAATCCTTTTTTAAAAAAATCAGAAGATTGGATAAACCTGAGCCTGAATTTCTACATGGCAATAATTAGCTGGCACCAAACAGTGACTTTCCACTTCAAACGGGACAGGTTTGCAGTTTTCATCACTCTATATTGTCTTACCCAGCCTATTTCTCTCATTTATATTACTTCTTATTGCAGACATTTCAATTTTGAACCCTGAGCCTAAAGCTTTCTAGGCTGAGATGGCCATTTATCATAGAAACATAAGCTCTCAGACTTTAAAGTTACTTTCTTTTTATTTTCTTTCTTTCTCTCTCTTTTTTTTTTTCTTTGAGACAAGGTCTGTCTCTGTTGCCCAAGCTGGAATGCAGTGGGTGCAATCATAGCTCACCGCAGCCCTATACTCCTGAGTTAAAGTGATTCTCCTACTTCAGCCTCCTGAGCAGCTAAGGCTACAGACACACACCACCATACCCAGCAAATTTTTGTAGTATTATTATTATTATTTTGTAGAGACAGTGTCTTGCTGTGTTACCCAGGCTGGTCTCAAACTCCTGGGCTCAAGCCATCATCCTGCCTTGGCCTCCCAAAGTGCTGGGATTACAGGCATGAGCCACCGCACCTGGCCTTAAAGATACTTTAAAGATGATCAGGTTCCAATTACTGTGGCTTCACCTCCACTCCCTAAACTGGTCATTGATTATTTGTTTGGTCTGACTTTTCAAACTGGAATTGGTTTTTGTTTTTATTAATATTGACATACATTAAAAAAAAAACAGGCATAGAGAAAGAAGAAGAAAAATGACAAATTATGACAAATTATATATCAGAGAGCACTAGAAATGTTGGTGCATATGTGTGGTGGGTGTGGCAGATTGACTCCCTAAACTCCATTCAAATTCCCATAGCATCTTATACTTCACTTTAGAAGCTGGACATGTAAAGGGTGCATTTCTCAGGCTCCCTCAAACCTCAACTTTCCCATATGATCCATCAGCCCCCAAGCCAAAGCACAGTGTGAAGTCTGGACGGTGGAAATGAGATGGAGTTTGTGTTTGTGCTGCATCTGCAGTTCCCCCTGACAAGCAGCATAGATGTTTAATCGGTAAGGCTGCAGTACAGGGCCCATGTTGTGTTCAGCCCATGACATGCACAAAGCGCCTGTGTTGCTGGTGCAACCTTAGTTGAAGAAGTGCAGCTTGAGCTAGCGGTGGCTGCACAGCTTGGGGCTGTGACTGATGATTGTGGCAGCTCCTTCATGGCCTGACCTACAGTGTTGTTCAGGGAGTCACTACTGGAAGCTCAGCCTAATGTCTGATCCTTAAGCTTTTCAATGATTTTGCAAACACTTAATTTCCTGTGTCAAATCCCTCTGTGCCGAAAATAGTTGAATGGATTCTGTTATGTTCAACTGAACCCTGACTAAGAGTACATTCTCCCAACTTTCACTATGCATGTTTTTATAAAAGTAGACTGCTTTTTCATGTAACAAATAACGTAAGCCTCACTTTTTAATTAAACTTCCACAAGTGGAGATAATTTTTATTCCACATTCAGTTGTAACAAAGAATACAGAGAGATTGCATGTATCTTTTACCTACCTTTACCCATGGTAACATCTTAGAAAACTAAAGTACAATATCAGAATCAGGATATTGAGGTCATTACAATCTACTGATTTTATTCTGATGTTCCGTGTTTTATTTACATGCGTGTGTGTGTATGTGTGTGTATAGTCCTATGCAATTTTAGCACATATGTAGATTCACGTACCCACCACCACACTCAAGAAACAGTTCCAGCCCCACAAAGATCCCTCAGGCTGCCCTTCTATAACCTTGCCTACCTCCCTCTCAATCCCCTCCCCCATCACTAACCTGCACAACCCCTAATCTATTCTCCAGTTCTGTATCATTGTCATTTCAAGAATGTTGCATAAATATGATTATACAGTATGGAACTGCTGTGGTTTGAATATTTGTGTCCCCCTCCCCAAATTTATATGTTGAAATCAAATTCCCAATGCAACAGTATTAAGAGATGGGGTCTTCAGGAGGTGATGGGGTCATGAAGGCAGAGCCCTCATGAATGGAGTTAGTTTCCTTATAAAAGAGGCCTGAGGGAGCTTATTTGCCTCTTCCACCACCTGAGGATACAGCAAGAAGGTGCCATCTATGAAGCAGAAAACAAGGACCCGCCAGACATGAAATCGACATGAAATCAGCTGGTGCCTTGATATTGGACTTCCCAGTCTCTAAAACTATAAGAAATAAATCTCTGTTATTTATAAATCACCTAGTCTAAGGTATTTTGTTATGGCAGTTTGAATGGACTAACACAATAATCTTTTAAGAGAGACTTTTAAAAACTCAGCATAATTTCCCAGTAACTCATCCAAGTTGTATGTATCAATAATTCATCCCTATTGATTGCTGAGTGGTATTTCATGTTCTGATGTCTACAGTTTGTTTAACCATTCACCCATTGAAGACATGTGGGTTGTTTCCAGTATTGGACTATGATGAGTAAAGCTGCTATGAATATTTATGCACAGGTTTTTGTGTGAACATAGGCTTTTGTTTCTCTGGGACTAATGCCTCAAAGCATAATACTAATTTGTATGGTAATTGCATATTTACTTTTATACGAAACTACCAAACTGTTTTCCAGAGCGGCTGTACTGTTCTGCTTTCCCATCAGCAATGTACAAATTATCTAGTTTCTCTGCATCTTTTCCAGCATTTGGTATTACCACTTTTTCTTAAATTGTAGCCATTCCGATAAGCATATGGTGGTATCCTATTGTGAAGCAGGCATCATGTTTTATGTCAATTTATATAGCATCACATTATAATTGTATTGGCTTTTTCATATAATTATATCCAGCATTTATATCCCATAGCATGTCTTTCATTTCTGTAACATTTTGACATACTTTGTCACATACGATTTTGACTACCTTGAGGTTTGCTGTTATCATTATTCCTTTTCTCTGATGAGGAAATAGAGACTGAAAATAAATGAATCGTGAGAGGTTACTCAGAGGAATGTAAATAGGTTTATTGAGCAACTATTACATTCTAAGCTCATTTTATTATCTCCTTTAATTATATTAACATTTCTGCAAGTTTATACTATTATTCCCACTCAGAAGGGATAAGAACACGGATGCTTATAGCCACTAATATGTGATCAAACTATAATTGTCATGCATTTTTTTGTTGAAAAAAAACTAGACATAGAAACAGGAATAGAAGGGAAAAAAAGAAAAAAACACACATATTATCACATGATATAGTGAGACCCACTAGAAAATTTGGCATATATCTATGAGCTACTGCAGAGTGACTCCCTAGCTTCCTCAGACTCTATACCCAAAGCTTTTTCTACAGTGCTGCTGTGCAGCTGGTAAGTGAGAAAAAGCTGGGATTGGAACTTGGTATCTGATGTCTAGTGTACATAGCTCTCTCATAACATAGTTCTCTCTCTAACTTGAGAAGATAAAAAATGCATTAAAGTGAAATTAGGGGATATTCTGATTTTGTGCTTTTACTGATTAAAGCGTTTTCACCTTAATGCTCCATTTTCCCACCTCCTCTCTATCTCTATTCCCGAGCTATGATCTTGGGGAAACTCTGCTCCCCAGTTCAGTGCCTCATGGTAGAATGAATGCACATCCTTGGAGCCTTTGTTTGCAAAGTTTGACTGCACAGTTCTGTACCTCAGTTGTGAGCTCTGGGAGGGATGAGGAGACTGAACTGAGAACCAGCGGATTTAGTTCAAGAATTAACCAATCCTGGGAGAGTCATATCGCCACATCTATAAAATGCAGGGTTTGGACCAGAGCATCTCCAATGTCCCTTCCAAATCTTTAATTGGCTTTGGCTTTTCTTTTGATTGTATCACTTACTCTACATTACAGCCTGCACAAAAATGTTGATGACTCCACAAGCTTCTTTCAATAAGAAATGATGAGTTGACTCCTGACACCTTGACCCCTTCAGAGATGAGATGTCTGCAGAAAGAAAATGTAGCCTTGCACATATGAAACAATTTGATTATTTCCTAGGAAACACAGTTTCAAACAAAGGTACATACAAGCTAGTGCATTCTCACTACAAAAACTAAAATAGAAAGGAAACTAAAATTGAAGGTCTATGTTTACATTTTAATTATCTTTTCTTCAGAAGTGTCTCTTCATGTCCTTTGCCCACTTTTTAATGGGCTTATTTGTTTTTTGCTCACTGAGTTGTTTAAGTTTCTTATAGATTCTGGATATTAGACCAGTGTCAGATGCATAATTTATGAATATTTTATCCCATCCTGTAGGTTGTCTGTTTACTGTTTTGATAGTTTCTTTTGCTGTGCAGAAACTGTTTAGTTTAATTAGGTCCCATTTGTCAATTTTTGTTTTTGTTGCAATTGCTTTTGAGGACTTAGTCATAAATTCTTTGTCAAGGCCGATGTCCAGAATGGTATTTTCTAGGTTTGCTTGTAGATTTGTTGTAGTTTTAGGTCTTATATTTAAGCCTTTAATCCATCTTAATTTTTATACATGGTGAAAGGTAGGAGTCCAGTTTCATTCTTCTGTGTATGGCTAGTCAGTTATTTACTTATTTATTAAATAGAGATTATTAAATAGGATTATTTATTAAATAGAGAATCCTTTCCCCATTGCTTATTTTTGTTGACTTTGTTGAAGATCAGATGGTTGTAGATGTGTGGCTTTATTTCTAGGTTCTCTATTCCGTTCCCTTGGTCCATGTGTCTGTTTTTCTACTGTGCCATGCTGTTTTGATGACAATAGCCTTGTAATATAGTTAGAAATTGGGTAACGTGATGGCTTTGGTTTTTTTTTCTTTTGCTTAGGATTGTTTTGGCTATTCAAACTCTTTTTTGGTTCCATATGAGTTTTAAAATAGTTTTTCTATTTCTGTGAAAAATTACATGGAGAGTTTAATAGCAATAGTCTTGAATTTGTAGATTGGTTTGGGCAGTATGGCCATTTTAACAATATTGATTCTTCCAATCCATGGAGCATGGAATGTGTTTCCACTTGTTTGGGTCATCTATGATTCCTTTCAGTAGTGTTTTGTAGTCCTTGTAGAGATCTTTCACCTCTGTAGTTAGAGGTAGTCCCAGGTATTTATTTGTGTGTGGCTTTTGAAAATGGGATTGCATTCTTGATTTGGCTCACAGCTTAAATGTTATTGGTGTATAGAAATGCTATTGATTTTTTCACATTGATTTTGTACCCCTGAAGCTTTTTTTTATTTTTTTATTTTTTATTTATTTATTTTTTTTAGAAGGAGTCTTGCTCTGTTGCCCAGGCTGGAGTGCAGTGGCATGATCTCAGCTCACTGCAACCTCCACATTTCAGATTCAAGTGATTCTCCGGCCTCAGCTTCCTGAGTAGTTGGGATTACAGGTGCATGCCACCATGCCTGGCTAACTTTTTGTATTTTTAGTAGAGACAGGGTTTCTCCATGTTGGCCAGGCTGGTCTCAAACTCCTGGCCTCAAGTGATCTGCCTGCCTCGGCTTCCCAAAGTGCTGGGATATCAGGTGTAAGCCACTGAACCCAGCCTGTATACTGAAACTTTACTGAAGTTGACCACAAACGTATGAAAAAATGCTCAAAATCACTAATCACTAGAGAAATGCAAATCAAAACCACAATGAAATACCATCTCACACCAGTCAGAATGGCTATTAATAAAAAGTAAAAAAATAACATGTTGGTAAGGCTGTGAAGAAAAGGGAACACTTGTACACTGCTGGAGGGAATGCAAATTAGTTCAGCCACTGTAAAATCAGTTTGGAGATTTCTCAAAGAACTTAACAGAGAATTATTATTCCCTTTTAACCAGCAATCCCATTTCTGGGTATTTATCCAAAGAAAAATAAATCATTCTACCAAAAAGACACCTGCGTTAGTATGTTCATCGCAGCACCACTCACAGTAGCAAAGACATGGAATCAAGCTAGATGCCCATCAGCAGTACATTCCATTTAAAAAATGTGGCATTATACACTATGGAATACTATGCAGCCAGAATAAATAATGAAATTATGTTCTCTGCAGCAACATGGATGCAGCTGGAGGCCATTACCTTAAGCAAATAAACTCAGGAACAGAAAACAAAAATACTGCATATTCTCACTTATAAGTAGGAGTCAAACACTGGGTACTCATGGACATAAAGATAGAAACAAAAGACGCTGGAAACTGACTACCAGAGAGGGGAGGGAGGGGATCAAGGGTTGAAAAACTACCTCTCGGGTAATATGCTCACTACCTGGGTGACAAGATTATTTGTACCACAAACCTCAGCATCAGGTAATATGCACCATGTAACAAAGCTGCACGTGTATGCCTTGAACCTAAAATAAATGTTGAAATTTAAAAATAAAAAATAAATTTTGATGATCAGAGTTGACTTTTCCTGAGGTGTCTAGGATATTACTGGCTTGGAAGAAGGATTTGCTGCTTGTTTACACCAGTCACTTACTCAGCCATAATGCATAACCCAGGTAGGATAGCAGGAGCAGCAGCTGTGGATGGATTGGGATGAGTAACAGGATACTATTTGCCCACCACAATCCTTCCTGCTTTTCTTTTTCTTTTTTTTTTTTTTTTGAGACGGGGTCCCGCTGTCGCCCAGGTTGGAGTGCAGTGGCGCCATCTCGGCTCACTGCAGGCTCCACCCCCCGGGGTTCACGCCATACTCCTGCCTCAGCCTCTCGAGTAGCTGGGACTACAGGCGCCCGCCACCTCGCCCGGCTAATTTTTTGTATTTTTAGTAGAGACGGGGTTTCACTTTGTTAGCCAGGATGGTCTCAATCTCCTGACCTCGTGATCCACCCGCCTCGGCCTCCCAAAGTGCTGGGATTACAGGCGTGAGCCACCGCGCGCGGCCCTGCTTTTCTCATGCTGTCAGACACTTCACCAGCAGGAAGGGAGCAGAGGAGTGGTTAGTCACCAGGCCCCCCTGCCTCATGCCACTGCAGTGATTAATAAATTACATTGAAAACTACAAGGTATTCTGTTGGCCAAAGACCTTCCAGAGCTGGTTCTGACACAACTGTGGTAGCATCTCTTTAATTAGGGGGCCAGTATCTTCTGAGCACATGGAAAAATAAAACCGAACCCTAGTTGGCTTCCACTTCTTATGCTGTTAAAGCCAGGAAGGACCTGGAGATTATTCAGTCGGATACATCCACCTTAGAGACAAGTCAGTGTTGGCTCAGGGACTGATAGCCAGTTAGCAGAAAAGCCAGGGCTATAGATCGGGTTTTGTGGCCTCACTGTTTCTCAGAAGTCCCTTGCATCTTAGTCTGCTGCAGCTGCTAATGCCAAGACTGCTGTAAAGAAACAGAATCGGCCAGGCATGGTGGCTCATGCCTGTAATCCCAGCACTTTGGGAGGCTGAGGATGGCGGATTGCCTGAGCTCAGGAGTTCGCGACCAGCCTGGGCAACACGGTGAAACCCCGTCTCTACTGAAAATACAAAAAAATTAGCCGGGGATGCCGGCGTGCCTCTGTAGTCCCAGCTACTTGGGAGGCTGAGGCAGGAGAATTGCTTGAACCCGGGAGGTGGAGGTTGCAGTGGGCCGAGATCCACCCACTGCACTCCAGCCTGGGCGACAGAGCGAGACTCGGTCTCAAAAAAAAAAAAGAAAGAAAAGAAACAATCTACATTATTTTCGTATTGTTTTGTTTTTAGCAATGTGTTTGGGGGCAATATATGTGAGAGCGGGGCTCTGCCTATTAAATATCCCTGTGCCTCAAAGGCATCAGGTGCTATGCCGGCAGATTACAGTGATGCAAAGCTGTAGATCCCTGTTAGTGCCTCCATATCACTGGCCCAGCTGTGATTTCCCAAGTTCTAGAACAATATTTTAAAAGTCTGGATCAATATAATGATTCTACCACCTGTGACCTCTTTCTATCTGGTGTAGAAAGCCAAAGTAAGCAACAGAAAAAAATACACAGGAGTGGATTAAGAAAATGTGGCACAGGGGGGAGGAGCCAAGATGGCCGAATAGGAACAGCTCCAGTCTACAGCTCCCAGCGTGAGCGACGCAGAAGACGGGTGATTTCTGCATTTCCATCTGAGGTACCGGGTTCATCTCACTAGGGAGTGCCAGACAGTGGGTGCAGGCCAGTGTGTGCGCGCACCGTGCGCGAGCCGAAGCAGGGCGAGGCATTGCCTCACCTGGGAAGCGCAAGGGGTCAGGGAGTTCCCTTTCCGAGTCAAAGAAAGGGGTGACGGATGCACCTGGAAAATCGGGTCACTCCCACCCGAATATTGCGCTTTTCAGACCGGCTTAAAAAACGGAGCACCACGAGACTATATCCCACACCTGGCTGAGAGGGTCCTACGCCCACGGAATCTCGCTGATTGCTAGCACAGCAGTCTGAGATCAAACTGCAAGGCGGCAACGAGGCTGGGGGAGGGGCGCCCGCCATTGCCCAGGCTTGCTTAGGTAAACAAAGCAGCCGGGAAGCTCGAACTGGGTGGAGCCCACCACAGCTCAAGGAGGCCTGCCTGCCTCTGTAGGCTCCACCTCTGGGGGCAGGGCACAGACAAACAAAAAGACAGCAGTAACCTCTGCAGACTTAAGTGTCCCTGTCTGACAGCTTTGAAGAGAGCAGTGGTTCTCCCAGCACGCAGCTGGAGATCTGAGAACGGGCAGACTGCCTCCTCAAGTGGGTCCCTGACCCCTGACCCCCGAGCAGCCTAACTGGGAGGCATCCCCCAGCAGGGGCACACTGACACCTCACACGGCAGGGTATTCCAACAGACCTGCAGCTGAGGGTCCTGTCTGTTAGAAGGAAAACTAACAACCAGAAAGGACATCTACACCGAAAACCCATCTGTACATCACCATCATCAAAGACCAAAAGTAGATAAAACCACAAAGATGGGGAAAAAACAGAACAGAAAAACTGGAAACTCTAAAACGCAGAGCGCCTCTCCTCCTCCAAAGGAACGCAGTTCCTCACCAGCAACGGAACAAAGCTGGATGGAGAATGATTTTGACGAGCTGAGAGAAGAAGGCTTCAGACGATCAAATTACTCTGAGCTATGGGAGGACATTCAAACCAAAGGCAAAGAAGTTGAAAACTTTGAAAAAAATTTAGAAGAATGTATAACTAGAATAACCAATACAGAGAAGTGCTTAAAGGAGCTGATGGAGCTGAAAACCAAGGCTCGAGAACTACGTGAAGAATGCAGAAGCCTCAGGAGCCGATGCGATCAACTGGAAGAAAGGGTATCAGCAATGGAAGATGAAATGAATGAAATGAAGCGAGAAGGGAAGTTTAGAGAAAAAAGAATAAAAAGAAATGAGCAAAGCCTCCAAGAAATATGGGACTATGTGAAAAGACCAAATCTACGTCTGATTGGTGTACCTGAAAGTGATGTGGAGAATGGAACCAAGTTGGAAAACACTCTGCAGGATATTATCCAGGAGAACTTCCCCAATCTAGCAAGGCAGGCCAATGTTCAGATTCAGGAAATACAGAGAACGCCACAAAGATTCTCCTCGAGAAGAGCAACTCCAAGACACATAATTGTCAGATTCACCAAAGTTGAAATGAAGGAAAAAATATTAAGGGCAGCCAGAGAGAAAGGTCGGGTTACCCTCAAAGGAAAGCCCATCAGACTAACAGCGGATCTCTCGGCAGAAACCCTACAAGCCAGAAGAGAGTGGGGGCCAATATTCAACATTCTTAAAGAAAAGAATTTTCAACCCAGAATTTCATATCCAGCCAAACTAAGCTTCATAAGTGAAGGAGAAATAAAATACTTTATAGACAAGCAAATGCTGAGAGATTTTGTCACCACCAGGCCTGCCCTAAAAGAGCTCCTGAAGGAAGCGCTAAATATGGAAAGGAACAACCGGTACCAGCTGCTGCAAAATCATGCCAAAATGTAAAGACCATCGAGACTAGGAAGAAACTGCATCAACTAACGAGCAAAATCACCAGCTAACATCATAATGACAGGATCAAATTCACACATAACAATATTAACTTTAAATATAAATGGACTAAATTCTGCAATTAAAAGACACAGACTGGCAAGTTGGATAAAGAGTCAAGACCCATCAGTGTGCTGTATTCAGGAAACCCATCTCACGTGCAGAGACACACATAGGCTCAAAATAAAAGGATGGAGGAAGATCTACCAAGCCAATGGAAAACAAAAAAAGGCAGGGGTTGCAATCCTAGTCTCGGATAAAACAGACTTTAAACCAACAAAGATCAAAAGAGACAAAGAAGGACATTACATAATGGTAAAGGGATCAATTCAACAAGAGGAGCTAACTATCCTAAATATTTATGCACCCAATACAGGAGCACCCAGATTCATAAAGCAAGTCCTGAGTGACCTACAAAGAGACTTAGACTCCCACACATTAATAATGGGAGACTTTAACACCCCACTGTCAACATTAGACAGATCAACGAGACAGAAAGTCAACAAGGATACCCAGGAATTGAACTCAGCTCTGCACCAAGCGGACCTAATAGACATCTACAGAACTCTCCACCCCAAATCAACAGAATATACATTTTTTTCAGCACCACACCACACCTATTCCAAAATTGACCACATAGTTGGAAGTAAAGCTCTCCTCAGCAAATGTAAAAGAACAGAAATTATAACAAACTATCTCTCAGACCACAGTGCAATCAAACTAGAACTCAGGATTAAGAATCTCACTCAAAGCCGCTCAACTACATGGAAACTGAACAACCTGCTCCTGAATGACTACTGGGTACATAACGAAATGAAGGCAGAAATAAAGATGTTCTTTGAAACCAACGAGAACAAAGACACCACATACCAGAATCTCTGGGACGCATTCAAAGCAGTGTGTAGAGGGAAATTTATAGCACTAAATGCCTACAAGAGAAAGCAGGAAAGATCCAAAATTGACACCCTAACATCACAATTAAAAGAACTAGAAAAGCAAGAGCAAACATATTCAAAAGCTAGCAGAAGGCAAGAAATAACTAAAATCAGAGCAGAACTGAAGGAAATAGAGACACAAAAAACCCTTCAAAAAATCAATGAATCCAGGAGCTGGTTTTTTGAAAGGATCAACAAAATTGATAGACCGCTAGCAAGACTAATAAAGAAAAAAAGAGAGAAGAATCAAATAGACACAATAAAAAATGATAAAGGGGATATCACCACCGATCCCACAGAAATACAAACTACCATCAGAGAATACTACAAACACCTCTACGCAAATAAACTAGAAAATCTAGAAGAAATGGATACATTCCTCGACACATACACTCTCCCAAGACTAAACCAGGAAGAAGTTGAATCTCTGAATAGACCAATAACAGGCTCTGAAATTGTGGCAATAATCAATAGTTTACCAACCAAAAAGAGTCCAGGACCAGATGGATTCACAGCCGAATTCTACCAGAGGTACAAGGAGGAACTGGTACCATTCCTTCTGAAACTATTCCAATCAATAGAAAAAGAGGGAATCCTCCCTAACTCATTTTATGAGGCCAGCATCATTCTGATACCAAAGCCGGGCAGAGACACAACCAAAAAAGAGAATTTTAGACCAATATCCTTGATGAGCATTGATGCAAAAATCCTCAATAAAATACTGGCAAACCGAATCCAGCAGCACATCAAAAAGCTTATCCACCATGATCAAGTGGGCTTCATCCCTGGGATGCAAGGCTGGTTCAATATACGCAAATCAATAAATGTAATCCAGCATATAAACAGAGCCAAAGACAAAAACCACATGATTATCTCAATAGATGCAGAAAAAGCCTTTGACAAAATTCAACAACCCTTCATGCTAAAAACTCTCATTAAATTAGGTATTGATGGGACGTATTTCAAAATAATAAGAGCTATCTATGACAAACCCACAGCCAATATCATACTGAATGGGCAAAAACGGGAAGCATTCCCTTTGAAAACTGGCACAAGACAGGGATGCCCTCTCTCACCGCTCCTATTCAACATAGTGTTGGAAGTTCTGGCCAGGGCAATCAGGCAGGAGAAGGAAATAAAGGGTATTCAATTAGGAAAAGAGGAAGTCAAATTGTCCCTGTTTGCAGACGACATGATTGTTTATCTAGAAAACCCCATCGTCTCAGCCCAAAATCTCCTTAAGCTGATAAGCAACTTCAGCAAAGTCTCAGGATACAAAATCAATGTACAAAAATCACAAGCATTCTTATACACCAACAACAGACAAACAGAGAGCCAAATCATGAGTGAACTCCCATTCACAATTGCTTCAAAGAGAATAAAATACCTAGGAATCCAACTTACAAGGGATGTGAAGGACCTCTTCAAGGAGAACTACAAACCACTGCTCAAGGAAATAAAAGAGGACACAAACAAATGGAAGAACATTCCATGCTCATGGGTAGGAAGAATCAATATCGTGAAAATGGCCATACTGCCCAAGGTAATTTACAGATTCAATGCCATCCCCATCAAGCTACCAATGACTTTCTTCACAGAATTGGAAAAAACTACTTTAAAGTTAATATGGAACCAAAAAAGAGCCCGCATCGCCAAGTCAACCCTAAGCCAAAAGAACAAAGCTGGAGGCATCACACTACCTGACTTCAAACTATACTACAAGGCTACAGTAACCAAAACAGCATGGTACTGGTACCAAAACAGAGATATAGATCAATGGAACAGAACAGAGCCCTCAGAAATAATGCTGCATATCTACAACTATCTGATCTTTGACAAACCTGAGAAAAACAAGCAATGGGGAAAGGATTCCCTATTTAATAAATGGTGCTGGGAAAACTGGCTAGCCATATGTAGAAAGCTGAAACTGGATCCCTTCCTTACACCTTATACAAAAATCAAGATGGATTAAAGATTTAAACGTTAGACCCAAAACCATAAAAACCCTAGAAGAAAACCTAGGCATTACCATTCAGGACATAGGCGTGGGCAAGGACTTCATGTCCAAAACACCAAAAGCAATGGCAACAAAAGCCAAAATTGACAAATGGGATCTAATTAAACTAAAGAGCTTCTGCACAGCAAAAGAAACTACCATCAGAGTGAACAGGCAACCTACAACATGGGAGAAAATTTTCGCAACCTACTCATCTGACAAAGGGCTAATATCCAGAATCTACAATGAACTCAAACAAATTTACAAGAAAAAAACAAACAACCCCATCAAAAAGTGGGCGAAGGACATGAACAGACACTTCTCAAAAGAAGACATTTATGAAGCCAAAAAACACATGAAAAAATGCTCATCATCACTGGCCATCAGAGAAATGCAAATCAAAACCACTATGAGATATCATCTCACACCAGTTAGAATGGCAGTCATTAAAAAGTCAGGAAACAACAGGTGCTGGAGAGGATGTGGAGAAATAGGAACACTTTTACACTGTTGGTGGGACTGTAAACTAGTTCAACCATTGTGGAAGTCAGTGTGGCGATTCCTCAGGGATCTAGAACTAGAAATACCATTTGACCCAGCCATCCCATTACTGGGTATATACCCAAATGACTATAAATCATGCTGCTATAAAGACACATGCACACGTATGTTTATTGCGGCATTATTCACAATAGCAAAGACTTGGAACCAACCCAAATGTCCAACAATGATAGACTGGATTAAGAAAATGTGGCACATATACACCATTGAATACTATGCAGCCATAAAAAATGATGAGTTCATGTCCTTTGTAGGGACATGGATGAAATTGGAAACCATCATTCTCAGTAAACTATCGCAAGAACAAAAAAACCAAACACTGCATATTCTCACTCATAGGTGGGAATTGAACAATGAGATCACATGGACACAGGAAGGGGAATATCACACTCTGGGGACTGTGGTGGGGTCGGGGGAGGGGGGAGGGATAGCATTGGGAGATATACCTAATGCTAGATGACACGTTAGTGGGTGCAGCGCACCAGCATGGCACATGTATACATATGTAACTAACCTGCACAATGTGCACATGTACCCTAAAACTTAAAGTATAATAATAATAATAAAAAAAGAAAAAAAAAAGATTAAAAATAAAAAAATAAAAATAAAAAAAAAAAAAAGAAAATGTGGCACATATACACCATGGAATACTATGCAGCCATAAAAAATGACGTGTTCATGTCCTTTGTAGGGACATGGATGAAATTGGAAATCATCATTCTCAGTAAACTATTGCAAGAACAAAAAACCAAACACCGCATGTTCTGACTCATTGGTGGGAATTGAACAGTGAGAACACATGGACACAGGAAGGGGAACATCACACTCTGGGGACTGTTGTGGGGTGGGGGGAGGGGGGAGGGATAGCATTAGGAGATATATCTAATGCTAAATGACGAGTTAATGGGTGTCGCACACCAGCATGGCACAGGTATACATATGTAACTAACCTGCACATTGTGCACATGTACCCTAAAACTTAAAGTATAATAATAATAAAATAGAAAAAAAAATACACAGGAAAGTTATCACGGGTTACATACAGGGAAGGCAATTCGGCTAGATGCAGTGCTGCAATGGGCTTGTAATCTTGTTAAGACTATTGTTTCCAACACATGGGACACAATAGAAAGCAATTTACAACAGGCTAGGTCTGGTTGGTATAATGATGCAGGGGAAACACTGGAAACTCGACAGGAGTGGGAAAGAAGACTGTGCCAATCACAGCTTTATTTCTAGTGCCCAGCACAGCTCCTGGAGTATGGTAAACCCTCATTAAATACAGTACTCTACCTAATCTAAGATAGCACTGCTGTTAAGAAACATAATTTTATATTTTTTACTCTTAAGAAGCACAAACAGTAACCACTAAACACATCATACTGGTTTTTGAGATGTTAAAATGTAAATAAAAAGTGCATCCTAGAATCAATGAAAGAGGGTATTTGTAAATGGAGAACAAATGAATGACCTGGCTTAGAATCCTGGGGTTATTTATTACTCACTGCATGTGGGATACTGGGCAAATCACTTCGTTTCATTGTCCTGAAAATAGAAAATAATAATAATAAACCCTATTTCAAAGGGTTTCTTTCATCATGATTAAAATATATTAGTCAGGATAAAGTGTTTTGTAAACTCAAAGTTTTAATAGAAAATATTAATTAAGTTCCAAAATTAACTCATATGCAATCATTGCAACGGCTCGATTAGAAAGGGTTTTGTGTAAACTGTAGCATCATGGAAGAAAGACTCATTGAAAATTACAAGATGCACATTGTGTCTTGACGGATGGAGACAGTTTAGACTAATAAGCCTTTCCATGGGCTTTAAATCATCTCTAGGCACAAGGTTGAAGTGAAAGCAGACTGACGGACGCTGTCATTAGACTCAGACCTAGATTCAGGGGCAGAAAGAAGGCAGCTTCCCAAGGTATCTATCAACAAAGAACAAAAATTCACGGGCCAGGCACTTTGGGAGGCTGAAGTGGGCGGATCGCAAGGTCAAGAGATCGAGACCATCCTGGCCAACATGGTGATATCCCATCTCTACTATAAATACAAAAATTAGCTGGGTATGGTGGCACGCACCTGTAGTCCCAGCTACTCAGGAGGCTGAGGCAGGAGAATCGTTTGACTCTGGAAGGCAGAGGTTGCAGTGAGCCGAGATCATGCCACTGTACTCCAGCCTGGTGACAGAGTGAGACTCTGTCTCAAAAAAAAAAAAAAAAAAGAAAAAGAAAAAGAAAAGAAAATCACTGAAATATGGCATCACTTAACTCATTTTCAGGTCCAACTTCTCATTTAACAGGTAAGCCATGAATTGCTTCTAAACCAAAGGACTTGGACTCAAGTCTGGAGCAGAAATTGTACACCACTCCTCTCTAATGCTGACTTGTGTCTGTTGAGTTTTTTATATTATTCAAGTTGGCAATCTCAATTGAGGTTCTGAACAAAACATTACTGGCCCAGCCGTTTGGGAGACCCAGGTGAGAGGATCACTTGAGGCCAGGACTTCAAGAGCAGCTGGGGCAACATAGCAAGACCCCATCTCTACAAAACAAAACAAACAAACAAAAAAACTTAACCAGGCACGTGGCGTGTGCTGTAGTAACAGCTACCCCAGAGGCTGAGGGAGGAGGATCACTTGAGCCCAGGACACTGAGGCTGTGGTGAGCCATGATCATACCACTGCACTCCAGTCTGGGTGACAGAGCCCTTAAAAAACAAAAACAAAAAAATACACACACAAAATTTACTGAATGTAGTACAGCTTACCAAAATTAAATGACTCTTTCAATTATCTATGTTTTAAACCATTAATTTTTGTCCCAAGAAATTTTCTGCTCCTGAAAATAATGAAAATAAACCGGAGAACAAAGAACTATTAAAAATAAGAAACATTTTACAAAGTTTGTTTCTTTTTTTTCCCATGAATATTGTCTCTGCTTTACCAAAGAAAAGCAAATCAGTAAGCTGAAGAGTTTCCCTAAAAAATTGAGATCAAATTTGGTTCAAGATATTAACAGAAATCCCTTTGTTTCCTCTTCTACTAAATAAATGCTGAGCAAATATTTAAGAAATATTAATTTGATGATATCATCCCCTCTAGCGTACCCTCTTGTCTTTATCTGGCTCTGATGAGCACTGCTCCTTAATCTTTCTAATGTGACTGTTTAGAGGAGTGTTCCTTCTTCTCACTCTACACAGGAGAAGGGTTGAATAAACATCCTAAAATCTAGATTTCTTCCAAGCCACTTTTTATTTTTCTAGCAATTATTCCTTCAGGCAGCACTTTAGTTTGGTTTGACACAGTCATGTCATCTAAGGATAATTCAGGGAACACTGGCACCTAATATCTAATGAATAAGCACTGAGCTTATATGTAACCTGGATGCCACCCCCTTCTATCCCTGTTATTTGAGATGAGGAGTGCATGGAGCTTCTCCCAGGAGAATCATGGGGAGTTTATCACCTAATGAACCCTTCTTTCCTAAGGAACAGTCCAAAGTAGATTTGATTATTCGGTTGGCTACTGAAATTCTCTAAAGCTACCAGTTCCTATTTCCTCTGCCGCTGTTTTTGTCCTGTGGTCTCTGCTTTCTCAACTGCATGGCCAGCATGCACTGGTGGTATTCTATTTCCTAGCATGGCCCTTGAAGTGCAGCCCTCTGCCATCCTTCTGAACATTTGCCATACCCCATCATTTGAGATCTTTTCTTACCTCCTTGTGGGCTTCATCTCTTTCCTTTTCTATCACTTGTGTGTTGCACAAAACAGTGGCGAGGGAAGAATGTTTCCCCACTTTTTATGATAAAGGTATGTCTTGGTTTTCTAAGGCTGCTGTAACAGATTACCACAAACTGAGTGGCTTAAAGCAACTGGCGTTGATTCTGCCATAGTTTTGGAGATGAGTAGTCCAACATGAAGGTGGTGACAGGAGCATGCTCCCCTGGAGGGTCTAGGGGAGAATCCTTTGTCATCTCTTCCAGCTTCTGGTGGTCCCAGGAGTTTGCTGGTTTGCAGCTGTGTAACTCTAATCTCTGCCTTCATCGTTACGTGGCTTTCTCCTCTGCCTCTCTCCCCTGTGTTTCTCTTGTGAAGACACTTCCCATTGGATTAGGGCCCACTAGGGTAATCTAGAATGATGCCACCTAGAGATCCTTAATTTAATTACATCTATAAAGACTCTTTTTCCAAATTAATTCATCACAGGTTCCAGATTATGACATGCACATACCTTTTGGGGGAGGTCAGGATTCAAGGCCTACAAAGGTCTTGTTTTCTTTTTTTTTTTTTAAGATTTTTCATTTTTTTATTTATTATTATTATACTTTAAGTTTTAGGGTACATGTGCACAATGTGCATGTTGGTTACATATGTATACATGTGCCATGCTGGTGCGCTGCACCCACTAACTCGTCATCTAGCATTAGGTATATCTCCCAATGCTATTCCTCCCCCCTCCCCGACCCCACAACAGTCCCCAGAGTGTGATGTTCCCCTTCCTGTGTCCATGTGTTCTCATTGTTCAGTTCCCACCTATGAGTGAGAATATGCGGCGTTTGGTTTTTTGTTCTTGCGATAGTTTACTGAGAATGATGATTTCCAATTTCATCCATGTCCCTACAAAGGACATGAACTCATCATTTTTTATGGCTGCATAGTATTCCATGGTGTATATGTGCCACATTTTCTTAATCCAGTCTATCATTGTTGGACATTTGGGTTGGTTCCAAGTCTTTGCTATTGTGAATAATGCCGCAATAAACATATGTGTGCATGTGTCTTTATAGCAGCATGATTGATAGTCCTTTGGGTATATACCCAGTAATGGGATGGCTGGGTCAAATGGTATTTCTAGTTCTAGATCCCTGAGGAATCGCCCTACTCATCTGACAAAGGGCTAATATCCAGAATCTACAATGAACTCAAACAAATTTACAAGAAAAAAACAAACAACTCCATCAAAAAGTGGGCAAAGGACATGAACAGACACTTCTCAAAGGAAGACATTTATTCAGCCAAAAAACACATGAAAAAATGCTCACCATCACTGGCCATCAGAGAAATGCAAATCAAAACCACAATGAGATACCATCTCACACCAGTTAGAATGGCAATCCTTAAAAAGTCAGGAAACAACAGGTGCTGGAGAGGATGTGGAGAAATAGGAACACTTTTACACTGTTGGTGGGACTGTAAACTAGTTCAACCATTGTGAAAGGTCTTGTTTTCTTAGTGTCTGCATTTGCACTGTAACAACTCTTACTCAGCTTGCTTTTCAGTTCTCACCTCCTCCTCTGGAGAAAATTCAATTAAGGCATATCAAGTGTTGAATCACAATGTGATACATGCAAAAACAAATTGTGCCTGATCTAAAGATTCAAAATAGACCCAATCTTAGAACGATACACCCTGTATATGCTTTGTCAGCTGTAATTAATTTGATATTTGGTATGATCTCATAGCCACGGAATGTCATTACATTGTGCATACAGTAAGCTAGCTGCTGTCCCTCCCTCTAGAGGATGGCATGGAAGATCCACAGCTGTCACGATATCCTGCTTGACTTACCAGGCTGCGGCTGTGGCCTGAAAGCCCTAAGGGAACAATCTGGACTTACGATCTTGGTTGTCTTGAGGCTGAAAAGATATGCCTGCAATCTTTGTCACTGCCTAAAATACAAGCTCTTCCAGTCACTGTTTAATTTTCTCTATAGTCACTCCAAGAATGTGCCAAACTTTCTCTTTCTCTTTTAATTCAGTCAGCATCCTGCTAGTCCTTTCCCTCTGAAATTCATCTCTGCTATCTTCTTGAATGCACCTTCAAGATAAGCAGACTAATTTACGTAGTTAATTCTGACCCCAGTGCTCCTACGTAAGGTAATCGCCCCTAAGTCTGTTGATCATCAGAAGTTCTGAAGAGTATTTAAAAATACTTGCTGATTTCCAGGGCTTATTCTAGACCTACTGAGTCAGAATGTCTCAAGTCACAGGACTTCGGTTTCCAAATATTCTCCGTAAGTTATTAATGAATTCATGTGTTGATTAAGGACCATCAGCATCCATTGGGGATTACAGATATCCACTAATGGGAAATAAAAACAAATTAGCTAGAATGCCTAACCTTTGGTTTGGCAGGAGAAGTATAATAATATGAAATCTAAACTCAAGTGTCAGATCTTTTAATGGAAAGAACTGTCAAGTCCTATCTGCTTCTTATTCTTAGAAAAATATTATTCTGTCAAAAGAGTTCTCTCCCACTTGCTACTACCTGTTTATATAAAAAGCAGTTTTATCTTTCTTCAGAGCAGCTTTACAGCAGGTGGTCCTACAGGGGACTTTTCTGGAGACCATATTTCTTTCCTCCCATAAAGGTGAGAGCAACACAAGAAAGGCTCAGAGTGACATCTCATTTCTATACAAACACGCATTCTTGCTTACTCACCTTAAACATTCCATATTTACCTTTATCTGACTTCATCATCAAAACTTGTCAGATTTTCTTTTTTTCCCTAAGAATTGATGTTAAACAGGTTCTACCAAGTTTTCAACATTACCTTAAATGTCTAAAGTCATTCTAACTGCATTTTATACCTAGAAATCTACTTCAGTTTATGATTCACACTTGGCTTGGAATTAAGCTATTTATTTAGAAGATGGTTTCTTCCTTTGTTTTGCAGAAAAGCCAGTTTCTCTCTCTCTCTGACTCTTTCTCTCTCTCTCTGTATTCTCTCCCCTTCTCTTTGCTCCTTCTTTCTCATTGTTGTTCAAGGTTCAAGCAATGTTTTCTTGTAGTATGTTAAAAGCTGATATCAAAGTTATTTTGCTTTAGGGAGGAAGGGCATATGGATTAACCTACCATGTACGTATGTCTGGAGTTTTGATAATAAATATGAGAAGTAGATAACATGGATCTATGGAAAATATGTTATAATTGTCCTTCTGAAAAAGTCAATACTTATTACCAGTGAAAAACGCATGTCTGTTTATTAAATCTCTTACTATCTTTCCAAGATTCCAGTAACAAAACAAAAAACAACTTTTTGGTTGTCAGTTGATAATTCACTCATCTTGAATCTCCCTAGACATACTGCAGATGAAACCCAGTGTGTTCATTACCCATGAACATGTCTTATTGGAGGACTTTTGACCTTGGGGACCCATTCAGTTCTTTCCTCCTCCATAAACTGTGATGACTAAGTCAGCCCACAGTGACAATGGAGTTTCTGCCCTGGGTTCCTTCTTTATCACTGTGTATTCATGTATCCAAAGCTTATACTAGCTTCTGCAAGACAAGGATTGTGTCTCAGCAGAGGTAGTTACAGTGCAGTAGAAAGAACTCTTGATAAAGAAGCAGGTAATTTTTTTGTGAATGTTGCCTTCCATGTCATGTGATCCAAGATTTTCTTCATTTTTTTTTCCAGGCAAATCAGATGCAAGAAAGAACATCTTAAGGGTCCACTGAAGGTTTGGAGCAGAGAAATGAGCCAATAAATATTTAAAATATTGGAGAACCAGTCTCATCATCTAGCTGGTTTTCTCATTAATGAGTTGCATGAATCTTTAACACATGCTTACTTCATGTTTGCATGAATCACATGGTTTTCAGCTTTTTGAAAATTGTATTTGACACTTTGGGAGGTTCTACTGAGATTTCCAGTTGGCTTATTTTCTTCAGTCAATTAAGCGCTGTTGTCCAAGAGGACTCTCATGGGCTATTTAGGCTGACATGTCTTTTCTCAGCTTCTGGAGTGAATCCTCAGAGGCAATACAAATTTGCTTTTATGACCTTTTTTTTTTGTCCTCTTCCATCTCTCCCTTCTTCCTCGCTTTCTTTTCTCCCTCCCTCCTTCCATCCTTTCCTCCTTCCTCTCTTCCTCCTTTCCTCCCCTCTTTTTACTCTTTCCCCTTACCTTCCTTTCTTTCCCTTACTTTTTCCTTCCCTTCCCTTTCCTTCCTTCCTCTTTCTTTTTTCTTAACTCCATGTTTTGTCTTTAATCTCTGTTTCTAACTGGCTGAATTAGGCTGCAGTTTTAATTTGTTTGTATCCCCTCTGTTATTGCCCTTGGTGGCAGCCATGATTGCTGAGTTTATGATCTGACCGTTGGGTAATCTCCATCCAGTGAAGATAGGAATCTAGGCTCATTGGGTCAGAGATAACAGAGAATTGTCTTAAATATTTTGTTTGTGTCTTTGTGCAAGAAGATGTCTTGTTTCCACTGGAAGGTAGAACAGATCTTTAAGATCTGTATTGGTGAATTTATTTTTTTGTTTTCTATGTTTTTCTTCTCCATGGCTAAAGTTATAAAGCAGAAGCTAAAAACTCTCTGTGTCTGTAATTGAGAGAAGACTTTGCCTCTCACTGGGCAAGTGTGATGTATATATGTGTGCCTGTATGCATATATTAACATACTGAATATAGTAACACATTACATTGTAAAACCCCTTAAAATGTGTTCTGTTCTAATTGGTTTATGTACATTAATAAGAACTTCTTTCAATCTAATACTATTACTCTCACAATCTAATACTCCCATAACTCCCAGAATAACAAAAAAAACTAAACTTCTAATGTTTTAATTGTGCTAGCATTAAAAAAAATTGCTTCTCATAGAAACTGCTAAGTCAGAAGCTAAGCTAAGCTCACATGATGAAATGAGCTCTTGAACAAATCAGATACATTTTGGTTTTAAAACATCTATATATATTTCCCTGATTTTACTGGTGAAGAATATAAAAATTTGCCTTTTATTTTTTTAAGGAAAAATGTAGGTTTTTGTTTTTATTTTCTTAGCTAAGAGACTTGTTATTCTAACCTTTCTAAACTTCTTATGCTGTTTTACTTACTAAAGAAGCTTATATTACTCACATGTTTCAGATTATAAGTAATATAATATGTGCTTAAGTTGAATTATCATTCTGACAAATGATTTTTATCAATAGCAATTATTTTCTGCAGTGTGTCACTTTAAATAGAGTTGTCCTATTCTGTAGTTAATTTTAAGATCTTATAAATCATATTAATTGAATTGCTTAATATATAATCTTCAAATACTTGGCTAATTTCTAAGTAAGATAGAATGCTACCCAGAAAAAAAAAGTGTGTATGCGTGTCTCTGTGTGTGTGTGCACGTGTGTGTTTGCATGTATGTGTGTGTATGTGTTCTTTGCTTCTTAGCTTCTTATTTTTATCCAATATAGATTGGCTATATCTCTGGGTAATATTAACAAAGGTGATTATTTTTTGCCACTTTAAGTATGTAGAAGATGTTAAAAAGATATTTGTGGCTGCAGGGGTCATGTTATACATGCAAATGTATAACATTTTATGATGTCTGATGAGAAAACCGGGTTAGTGCTTGTTCTATGACTTAAAGCAAATGTTGGCAAACTGTGACCTGTGGGCCAAATCCAGTCCATTGTCTGCTTTGTGAATAAAGTCTTATTAGAACATAGTCATACTCATTCATTTACACGTTGTCTATGGAGCTTACCTTGTGGCCCTCAAAGTCTAAAATAGTTAATATCTGGCCCTTTACAAAAAGTTTGCTGACCCTTGGCTTAAAACTTCCAATCCTTACAGGTAGTAAAACCCTTCCAATCCTTATAGGTTCCTTGGCTGGCCAGGAATTTTAATAGAGAAGAGAAGAACTTACTCACTTTTACAGACATTGCAGGCAAAACTAGTAGAGACAAATGTCTTGGGTTTCATTTTCTGGCCTCAGATTAGAAAAAAAAATAGATAAGAACAATAAAACACATCTCTGAAACAAGAGAAACTCTTCCATTTCTCCAGACAGAAGTTAATTTTCTGGCCTTACAAGTTGCTTAATGCCATAGGGCTCTAGATTTGCTGACAGTATTGAAAGGTGGCTTATGTATGTTAATTAACACTTTTTGCCACAACTATGTACATGAATCAGGCCCAAACACAATGAGATCAGCTTTTCATAATCAATAATAATCTTTGGAAATTATTTATAATCAAAAGGGAGACTGTTAAGAATAATTATTCAAACCTTAAAACTGTGACAAAGAAAACTGAGTGTCCCCTCAATTTTCTCACAAGCTTACCTGTGGATTATCTAATTATCCAGGGCCGGTGTCTTCAAACTTTGACCCACAGGACAAATATTGTGGTCACCTTTATTGGTAAATTGCCTGTGGCTGCATGTGTAGGCAAAAATGAGTCATTGCTACAGAAACCATGTGGCCCACAAAGCCAAAATAAGGTAATTTCTGGCCTTCTACAGGAAAAGTTTGCCAACCCCTGCTCTTGAAATGTTTCTCTTTGTTTGACTTGCTAGTTACTACTGATAAGGGTAGTTTTCAACTCTGAAATTGTAGGTGGTGACTTATAGAAAACTGATAGCAATGTAAATGATAGTTGTCTGATAGGAATGCAAAAAAAATTGCTTGGTAGATACCCAAAATATTTCTACATAATAAAAGAGATCATCTCTAAAGTTGCAGTTTTATTACACTGTAGAATATTAATTAATTTTGTATGAAAATTAACCATCTCATTTAAGCATTCTTTTAGCCATTATAAATAGGTCACTCTCCAATTCTCTTTAAAAAGCTTCACTATTTTGCTTATTTTCTCATTAATTAAATAAATCTGTTCAGTGCTCACTTTAAAAGCAAAGATGATTAATACAGAATATAATTTTTACCTTCAGAGGAAACACTGATAAAATTCTTACGATGTAGTTATGATTTTAATTAATATCAGTCCTGATTAGAATAAAAAATGAAACCACATGATAAAATACCATTTTATAGCCATTATTATTGGCAAAGAGTAAAGTCTGATAATATCAAGTTTTATAGAAATTATGAAAAAAACTATACTTTTTCATGGTTTATGGGATTTTACATTAGTAAAAAGGAAAACCAAAGGATAATTTTCATTTATCTAGTAAATTTGAAACTGCAGATAAACTATGACAGAAAGACTTTTCTCCTAAGTATAAACCCTAAAGAAATCTATACATATGTACACAAGGACACATGTACCAGAGTGTTCATATCACAATTGTTTGTAATATCAATCATGCAAACAAACATGGAAATAAACGTTTTCACCAAAAGCATAAAAATATTTTAGTATATGCATACAACATCAAAAATAAATGCATTACAGCTACATGCGATAATATGAAAGAATCCCACTGTATGGTATTGAGTTTAAAAAGCAAGTCAAAGAAGAATATAAACACTATGATTGCATTTATGTATAGTTAAAAATCATACAAAACTAAATTATTTAGGGATACAAACATATGATAAAATTATAAAGAAAAGCATGTGAGTTTAACACAAACTTCCACATAGTGGCTGTCTCTGAAGGTGCAGTAAAAGCTTTAGAACATATCAGAGATTTTTTAAAAAAATTTATTTCTATAGGTTTTGGAGAACAAGTGGTATTTGGTTACATGAGTAAGTTCTTTAGTGGTGATTTGTGAGATTTTGGTGCACCCACCACCCAAGCAGTATACATGGAATCCAATTGGCAGTCTTTTATCCCTCACCCTCTTCCCACCCTTTCCCCTGAGTCCCTAAAGTCCATTTTATCATTCTTATACCTTCACATCCTCATAGCTTAGCTCCCACTTATGTGTGAGAATGTACAATGTTTGGTTTTTCATTTCTGAGTTACTGCATCTAGAATAATAGTCTCCAGTTCCATCTCGGTTGCTGTGAGTGCCATTAATTTGTTCCTTTTTATGGCTGAGTAGTATTCCCATCAATAGTACAATGCCCATAAATCAATAAGTGGATAAAGAAATTGTAGTATGTGTGTGTATATATATGTATCTTTTTATGGCTGAGCATATATATCATATATATGATGGAATACTATATATATATATATATATATGATAGAATGCCTTTTTATGGCTGAGTAGTATTCCATATATATGATATAATACTACTCAGCCATAAAAAGGTGTGTGTGTGTGTGTGTATATATATATATATATATATATATATATATATATATATATATACCACAGTTTATCCACTCATTGATTGATGGGCATTTGGATTGGTTCCGTATTTTTGCAATTGTAAATTGTGCTGCTATAAACATGCGTGTGTAAGTATCCCTTTTGTAAAATGACTTCTTTACTACTTTATCTACTGGTAGATACTCAGTAGGGAGATTGCTGGATCAAATGGTAGTTCTACTTTTAGTTATTTAAGGAATCTCCACACTGTTTTCATAGTGGCTGTACTAGTTTACATTGCCACCAGCCATGTAGAAGTTTTCCCTTTTCACCACATCCACCCCAACATCTATTATTTTTTGAGTTTTTTATTATGGCCATTCTTGCAGGAGTAAGGTGGTATTGCATTGTGGTTTTGATTTGCATTTCCCTGGTCATTAGTGATGTTGAGCATTTTTTCATGTTTGTTAGCCATTTGTATATCTTCTTTTGAGAATTGCCCTTAGCCCACTTTTTGGTGGGGTTGTTTTTATCTTGCTAATTTGTTTGAGTTCATTGTAAATTCTGGATATCAGTCTTTTGTTGGGTGCACAGATTTTGAAGATCTTCTCCAACTCTGTGGGTTGTCTGTTTACTCTGCTGACTGTTCCTTTTGCTGTGGAGAAACTCTTTAGTTTAATTAAGTCCTAGCTATTTATTTTTGTTCTTGTTGCATTTGCTTTTGGGTTCTTGATCATAAAGTCTTTGCCTAAGCCAGTGTCCAGAAGGGTTTTTCTGATGTTAACTTCCAGAGTTTTTATAGTTTCAGGTCTCAGATTTAAGTCCCTGATCCATCTTGAGTTGGTTTTTGTATAAGGTGAGAGATGAGGATCGAGTTTCATTCTCCTACATGTGGCTAGCCAATTATCCCAGCACCATTTGTCGAATAGGATGTCCTTTCCCCACTTTGTTTCTGTTTGCTTTGTTAAAGATCAGTTAGCTGTAAGTTTTTTGGTTTATTTCTGAGTTCTCTATTCTGTTCCATTGGTCTATGTGCCTATTTTTATACCAGTACCATGCTGTTTTGGTGACTATGGCCTTATACTATAGTTTGAAGTCAGATAATGTGATGCCTCCAGATGTGTTTATTTTGCTTTGTCTTGCTTTGGCTATGTGGGCTCTTTTTTGGTTCCATATGAATTTTAGGATTGTCATTTTTAGTTCTGTGAAGAATGATGGTGGTGTTTTAATGAAATTGCATTGAATTTTTAGATTACTTTTGGCAGTATGGTCATTTTCACAAAATTGATTCTACTCATCCATGAGTATGGGATGTGTTTCCATTTGTTTGTGCCATCTAAGATGATTTCTTTCAGCAGTGTTTCGTAGTTTTCCTTGCAGAGGTCTTTCATCTCCTTGGTTAAGTATATACCTAAGGGTTTTTTTTTTTTTTTTTTTTTTTTTTTTTTTTTTGGCAGCCATTGTAAAAGGGGTTGAGTTATTGTAAAAGGGGTTGAGTTCTTGATTTGATTCTCATCTTGGTCACTATTGGTGTATAGAAGAGCTACTGAGTGTGTCCAATAGTTTTGTATCCTGAAACTTTGCTGAATTCATTTATCAGTTCTAGGAACTTTTTTGGAGGAGTCTTCAGGGTTTTCTAGGTATACAATCATATCATCAGCAAACAACAACGGACTGATTTGGATGCCCTTTACTTCTTTCTCTTGTGATTGCTCTGGCTAGGCCTTCCAGTACTATGTTGAATAGAAGTGATGAGAGTGGGCATCCTTGTCTTGTTCCAGTTCTCAGAGAGAATGCTTTAAACTGCTTTTTTCCCTGTTCAGTATAATGTTGGCTGTGGGTTTGTCATAGATGGCTTTTGAGGTGTGTCCCTTGTGTGCCAATTTTGTTGAGGATTTTAATCATAAAGGAATGCTGGATTTTGTCAAATGCTTTTTTTGCATCTATTGGGATAATCATGTGATTTTTTGTTTCAATTCTGTTTATGAGGTGTATCACATTTATTGACTTGCATATGTTAAACCATCCCTGCATTCCTGGTATGAAACCCACTTGATCATGGTAGATTATCTGTTTGATATATTGTTGGATTCGCTTAGCTAATATTTTGTTAAGGATTTCAGCATCTATGTTCATCAGGGATATTGGTCTGTAGTTTTCATTTTTGGTTATGTTCTTTTCTGGTTTTGGTAGTAGGGTGATACTGGCTTCATAGAATGATTTAGAGAGGATTCTCTCTTTATCTTGTGGAATAATGTCAGTAGGATTGGGACCAATTCTTTGAATGTCTGATAGAATTCAGCTGGGAATCGCTCTGGTCCTGGACTTTTTTGATTGGTATTTTTTTTATTACCATTTCAATCTTGCTGCTTGTTATTGGTCTATTCAGGGTTTCTAATTATTCCTGATTTAAGCTAGGAGAGTTGTATATTTCCAGAAATTTATCCATCTCCTCTAGGCTTTCTAGTTCATGCATTTAAAGGTGTTCATAGTAGCATTGAGTGATCTTTTGTATTTCTGTGGCATCGGTTGTAATTTATCTTTTCAAAAAACCAGCTTTTTGTTGCATTTGTCTTTTGTATTGTTTTTTGTTTGTTTCAATTGTATTTAATTCTGCTCTGATCTTGGTTGTTTCTTTTCTTCTGCAGGATTTGGGTTTGGTTTGTTCTTGTTTCCCTAGTTCCTTGAGGTGTGACCTTAGGTTGTCTATTTGTGCTCTTTCAGACTTTTTGATGTAGACACTTAAGGCTATGAACTTTCCTCTTAGCATTGCCAGAGGTTTTGATAGGCTGTATCATTATTATCATTCAGTTCAAATATCTTTTAAATTTCCATTTGATTTCATTGTTGACCCAATGATCATTCAGAGGCAGGTTATTTAATTTCCATGTGTTTGCATGGTTTTGAAGGTTCCTTTTGGAGTTGATTTCCAATTTTATTCCACTGTGGTCTGAGAGAGTACTTGATATAATTTCAAATTTCTTAAATTTATTAAGACTTCCTTTGTGGCCTATCATATGGTCTATTTTGGAGAAAGTTCCTTGTGCTGATGAACAGAGTGTATATTCTGTGGTTGTTGGGTAGATGTTCTGTCAATATCTGTTAAGTTCATTTGTTCTAGGGTATAGTTTAAATCCATTGTTAGAATATAGCAGAGATCTACCAAGAACTTTAAAACTAACAGCCATGGTTTCTTTCTTAAATTGAGTGGCAAATAGTTGGAAATTTGGTTTACAGTTACTTTTTAAATCTTATAAATTTTCTTTTTAAAATCATCAACATATAATAAAAATAAATACTTAAAACTAACAGTCTTGCAGTAACCACCAAGATTTGAGGCAGCTGGAGCTTCATCTATCAGTCAAGACTCTTTAGGTTGCAGATGAACAACAGCAAAAACAGGTTTGAGCAAAACAGCAATGTACTGGCTCAAATAAACGTAAAATCTAGGGCCTCAGCCATAGCTCAATGGGAAGGAATGTGAGGGAAGAGCATGGCCAAGCTATGCCACCTGATCCTGACATCTCTGAGCTCTACTTCCTCTTGGTGTTGGACCCATTCTGGGATGGCTTTCCTCCTGGGTTGGCCTGATGGCTGTAGGGATGCCATTATCACATTTTCTAGGTTCAGGCCTTCAAGCATCATAGAAAATAAAACTTGTCTCTTATCCAGTAGTCCTGGCACATGTTTTTACTGTTGCATTGGCTCATTTTGGATTATATGACCATTGTTGACCAGCACTAGTCAGAGGTATATAGCGTTCAGATTGACTGGAACTAAACCATGTGTTTACTCCTTGAGCTGGAAATGGAATTAGCTCCATTAGATGTGCATAAGCAGGAGTGGAGAAGAGACAAATCGCCAGAAAAAAATAAAGATTATTTTGCCAAAAGAAGGCAAATCCAGTCTAGGTGGCCAAAATTAAAAACCAAACCAACTGCAGAATCTAAGTCATTCCCTCAGTGAGGTAGACCAGAAAGCCTAATCCAATTTAATTGAAATCAGGAGAAATGTCCTTGAAGGTGAGTACCTGTCTATGCCTGGGCTCCCAGAAAACTGAGCCTGAAGCAGAGGCTTTCGTGCTTTTAATTTACAGGGAACTCCACAGAATAAAAGGGTAAGGAGAATGTAGCAAGGAAGGAGAGAGAGAGACAGTACAAAAGTCACTGATGCAACATCATCATTAAGTGTGACATGCTGCTCTGCCCTTGAGGACCATCCACCAAGAAGTGCTATAAATTGGCCCCATTCTTTACTAGTTAAGGTCTACCCCACAAGTCACTGATGCATGGTGCTGAGCAGAGAAACCCTGAACTGAGAAGCAAGAGGCAGTTAGCATAGGCATAAGGTGGGAAGCTTCCAGGTTGTGACTGTGTGTGTTTGTAACCCTACAGAGCTGGTTACTGCAATACCAGATTAAACAAAAAGCAGGTGAGACAGGTTGCATCCGATGCTGTGCCTTGGGTAGGGAGACTCATGGGAGCAGAATCCATGACAAGTCCTTGCTCTTACTCCGTTGTATTCTTCATAGTGCTGGCAGCCAAGAGTTACAATTCCCATCACATCAGTGCTACAACAGGGCTTCCTCTGTCTTGCCTCAGAGGCTTCAGACCTCCATTGATCCAGTTGTTGTTTCTCAAAAACTGTCCAGAGGCAGCACTGTCTAGCAGACCATCAAAGATCAGGTAGGAAGAGTCTGTTCTCTAAGTAAGGAGTCTTCAAGCCCCAGGACACAAACTAGTACTAGTCCGTGGCCTGTTAGGAACTGGGGTGCACAGCAGGAGGTGAGCAGTGAGCCAGTGAGTGAAGCTTCCTCTGTATTTACAGCCACTCCCCATTGCTCGCATTACTGCCTGAGCTCTGCCTCCTGTCAGATTAGCAACAGAATTAGATTCTCATAGGAACATGAACCCTCTTATGAACTGCACACATGAGAAATCTAGGTTGCATTCTCCTTATGAGAATCTAATGCCTGATGATCTCTCACTGTCTCCCATCACCCCCAGATGGGACTGTCTAGTTGCAGGAAAACAAGCTCAGAGTTCTTGCTGATTCTACATTATGGTGAATTTTATAATTATTTTATTCTATATTTAACAATATAGCAATAATAGAAATAAAGGCACAATAAATGTAATGTGCTTGAATCATCTCGAAACCATCTGCTCTAAGGTACATTGCTGATTTGTCTGGTGACTTGCTAGATTGACTGCCTGATGCCTGGGGAAAATTTCAGCATATAATCAATATCAAGTCAGGGGTTTTTGTTCAGTCTCACTTTTACCCAAGTCCAGCAACTATAAGCAAAAGTGGACACCTAGGGGGAGCTCAAGGCTGCCGTGAGAATGATAAACAGATGAAAGGCATTGGGGATGACTTGACTCAAGGCAGCAGAGAGGACTTCTAGAGTACGCGGATTGCATATCGTCAGGCGAATAGTATTCAGAGTAAAAGGACTGTTTTCTTGTTGTGTGAAGTGTTATAGCTCCTTGAAGGTTAACTTTTCATGTAGCATTCTGCACGGCTCTGATGCATAATTGGTTTCTGGGAGGTCAACAGTGCCTCATGGAAAAGCCCATTTGAAAAAAATCAATCTCAAACATTAAAGTGGAAATAATTCCATGCTTAGCTACAGAAACTACAGAAACACATTTCATTGATGAAAAGCTTTTAAAAATAATGTAGACCTTCATTTCCTAATCCATAAAATGAGAGGATTGGATTTGGTGATCTCAAAGGTCATTGGTTTTCCTTTGTCTCCATTGCTAGGAAGCTGAAACTTCTGTTGCTACAGATTTTAAAGAGGAGTTTGGGGTTTGGGTTTCTCTCTCTCTCTCTCTTTTGTTGTATCCCATTCATCTTTTCAGCCATGTTAACAGCTTTGGTATATATGGATCTCTGGGCTTATGGTGAGCCATGATCAATTCCTTTGGTGAGCATAGATAACCAAGATTCCTTTTGTCACTAATTCTCTGATCCTAATAATGACACCATACTTGTTTTTCCCATTTGAAAAATATAAGCATTAATTCCTGCAGCTCTCTTTACCCAGCTGTTGAAACTTGTGTAAAGCATTCGATATAAGTAGCAGTGGTGATAGACTCCCAGATGTCCTGTGTTCTCAGAGCTTGGCCTTTGACCATGACAACCTTAGGATGCCCCAGTGTCCCAGCTTTCATCATTACCCTGGCTCCCTCACCAAACACACACTCCATCTCTTCCATCCTTCACTGAGGTGTAGTCACAGAATTAAATCGTCATATATGGCTCCTACACTCTACCTCCTACCTCAGTGGCACAAAGACATTGGATATACCTGAGGCTGTCTTCACCCAGGTCATTTCATGCCTCTTGGGGTGCCCAGCAGACTAGGCACCAGCACATGGAAAGAAGACCTTGTGACTGCTGGGCCCCTTACCAGGTGGTCTCTCTATATTTCAGAGCTGATCTCTTGAGTATGGAGGTGAGAGGTGCAAAGAGGTGTCCCCCAGCCCAGGTTCTTCTCTTTTCCTTTCCTGTACCCCTTCCTTTGCTGCTGTGCCAGTTAAATTATTGGCAGCCACAAATTGAACTCTCTTTGTAATATCCTGTTTTAGCTTCAGCTCTTGAATTTCCCTTTGTTTGCTTTTTCTTTTGCTTTTATCTCTTCTCTCTTTTAATCAAGTGCCTCTTCCCTTCAGAAATAGCTTACAGGCTATTTTATATTCTACAGTGTAGGTCCAGATTTTTAAATAGAGGGAAATGACTTTCATACATTCTTTTTTCAGCTCATTGTGGTGGTCTAGAAAAAAAATAGGTAAAGCTGTGACTTATCACACATATAAATCCTGGGCTTGCACCTTTCAGAGTTGGTTATTGGTCTTTGTGAAATGTATGGTGTGGAGGCTCCACATTAATGCACCTTTCCTTCTCGTCACTTCAGGCGGAAAAATCCATTCCTGACTGCAGTGGTGAAGTGGATGCATGGAATCCCCAGCAAGGTCCTGGCAGGCAAGTCCTTGTTGGCCCCAATAAATCAATGATGGTGGCGGGAGACTCACTCCCTCCACGGGCTCCGCATAAGCCAGAGCACGCAGTGGCAGACAAAGGAGGGTGAAACCAGCATGTGTGTGCCTCTCATAAATGCTTTCCCTATGTTCATAAATTGTCATTTAATTTTAATAACAACCAATTAGAAGATGATTGTGAAACCATTAAACAGATGAATAAACTGAGGCTACCAGAGATTATGTCTTTCCCCAGGCTATACTGCTGGTGGGTAATCAAGCCAGGATTACTACCCAGATTTGTCCGACTGCAATACTCATATTCTTTTTACCAGGCACCGTGCAAAGTGGTGTGCATGTATTTTCTCATTTAATCATGATAAAAATCCTCAAAGATGGATATTAGCATCTCAGATTTACAAATAAAGAAACTGAAGCTTTGCAGAATTCATTAACTTGCCTGAGTTCTTGCTGTTATGAAGTGGCAGAGGGCACTCCAACCCAATCTCACTCCAGAGTCCACATTTGTAATTACCCCACCAAACAGCCACAGCACTTGATCCCCAAGAGGGTGGCATGAAATGCTCAATGCCTTATGTTCAGAGCAGGCAGATTTTGACTTCAGTAGGCAAGATCTCTCAGACTTCTGTTTGGCTTCCATCAATATGTACTTAAGCCCCAGGGAGCTGCCCCAGACAAACTATGTGCTGATCTCCCCAAGACAGGCGCATTTGCTCAGCACACCCATTTCCATCAGCATTTTTTTTTTTTGAGTTTACTGCTCAGTTGGGGCAGCTGCACCATCAGCAACCCATCTGGCAAAAGCTGCAGCCCACTTGTCTGTAAAGGATGCACCAGGAGGGCTTGACAAAAGGGAGCAGCTTTGCTACCAGCAGCAGGATCCCATTTGGAAACAGAAGCAGGGGGCCTGGAGTCCTGCAGTCACTACTCTGCAGGCCCAGCCAACCCTGGCAGCAGGAGCCAGTTGCTATGGGACAACTCTGTTAACTTTTGTGCATAAGAACTGCTTACCAGAGTCTCAGCTGTCCCCATCTCCCTTCAAACAAAACAGTGTCAGCAGAACCCCTGTCCTACAGAAAACAAACAAACAAACAAACAAAAACCCTATGGAGTCAGAACTCACTAGGAAAACAGTAAACCAAACTAAACCAAAAGCAAAACAAACTCAAACTTCATCATAGAAAAATGGCTTACACCCTGGGTTCTACAACTGGGGTCTGTAGCATGTACTCCTAGTGCTTCAGAATTTCTATTTTAGGAATGAATCCTTTCTTCTTGGTATTCTGGCATCCTCCTTAAAACTGTTGAACTCTCCCTTGGGTTTATTTAGTTATTTTTCAAAAAAGCAAGTGGGGAAGCATTAAGTCTGTCACTGGAGGAAGCGTAATGCTGGGAACGAGGGAACTGGTTTCACGGTGGGTGGCTTTGACATGGCAGCTCTTCCAGAGCTCTAGCCCAGAGGCTGGATGGCCAGCAACAGGTGCACCTTTGATAGCAAAGGAGCTGCCTTGAAGAGGGGCTCAGAAACCTCAGTGCACTTCAGGAAGAAGCCCGGGGAACTGTGAAGCACACCTCACCTTGAAGTCTTCCCAAGGTGGTAAAAAGGTATTACTTTTAAGATGGGCTCCCAGCAGTCCTTCTTCACATGGATCAGGACTCCACCTACAGTTCTGGCCAGATGGAAGCCATCCCTGATGTGAGAAGGCAGCAATTGCTCATCACAGCAGAGAGGAGCGAGCAACGGTGAGATTGAAAGGGAACAAGTGCAGAGTGAGGAAGTAACGTCTACAGGGCATTTGAGGACTGAGGCACAGGCTCTGGGCTCAGAAGTTTTAGGGA
Organism: Homo sapiens; assembly: GCF_000001405.40. Taxonomy (NCBI): domain Eukaryota; kingdom Metazoa; phylum Chordata; class Mammalia; order Primates; family Hominidae; genus Homo; species Homo sapiens. The sequence continues at coordinate 40,458,477 of NC_000008.11, forward strand.
ATGGCAGCTGCCAAATGCTAGCATTAACTGAGGAAAAGAATGCATTCCTGGGAGGCCGAGGCAGGCGGATCACCTGAGGTCAGGGGTTCGAGACCAGCCTGACCAACATGGCGAAACCCTGTCTCTACTAAAAATACAAAACTTAGCTGGGCATGGTGGTGGGCACCTGTAATCCCAACTACTCGGGAGGCTGAGGCAAGATAATTGCTTGAACCCGAGAGGTGGAGGTTGCAGCGAGCCATGATCGTGCCATTGCACTCCAGCCTCGGCAACAGAGCAAGACTCCATCTCAAAAAAAAAAAAAAAAAAAAAAGAATGCATTCCAAAGCATGCTATGCTTTGGTCCTAGGGTAAAACCTGCATTTATGGAAAGTATCTTATCCCCTGATGCACTAGTTATTGCTCCAAGACCCAAAGAAACTTGACTGATAACCAAACAGGGGGGGAAAAAGGAATAAAAACTTGGAATGTTACCATTTGGGAACAGAAGAGTAACATCTTGACAGTCTGTTCTCCACAGGGAAATACTGAGATATATCACAGAAGGTCATGTTTATTCCAGGATTAACAATCATAAAAGTTAGAGATACCCCTGAAATACATAAGGCTTATAACCTCGAAACTGAGAAAACTGTTCTTTGTTTACTAATGTCTAATAATTCCACTTCTCCCAGGGGATCAGATGTATGAAGTTACGTTTGCTTCAGTCAATTGAGAATGGCGGAAGTGATTCTATGCCATTAAGTCATAAAAAGTCAAGCAGTTTCCACCAGATTCAATTAGGGGCCTCCCTCTCAGAACCCATAAACTCCCCTAAGAGATGCTCCAGCCACATGGAGATGCCATGTGCAGATATTTTAAGTCTTCAAGTAATGCTAGCCTACGTAACAGATATGTGAAGAAAGAAGGCCTGAGTTTATTCCAGATCCCAGCTATTTAAGTCATCCTAGCTAAGGCCTCATTGAGCAAGGACCATGAGTGATTTGCCATGAAAATTTAGGATAGGAATCTGGATGGGCATGGTGGCTCATTCCCATAATTCCAGTGCTTTGGGGGGCCAAGGCAGTAGGATCCCTTGAGGCCAGGAGTTTGTGGCCAGCCTGGGCAACATACTGACACCTCCTCTCCACAAAGAAATAAAAAATTAGCTGGGCACGGTGGTGCATGCCTGTAGTCCTAGCTACTTGGGAGACAGAGGAAGGAGGATTCCTTTAGTCCAGGAGGTTGAGGCTGCAATGAGCTATGATTGTGCCACCACACTCTAGCCTGAGGGACAGAATGAGACCCTGACTAAAAAAAAAAAAAAGAAACAAAACAAAACAAAAAACCTCCCAAAACAAAAATAGCACAAGTATGAAATGGTGTACCGTAACCATCGATGTATTTGTTATCTAGGATTTGCTGTTTGTTTAATGTACAAAAATTAAAGGGATCTATTATTCATCTTGGTAAGTATGATACAGTTATTTTTATGTTTTCTATTTTTTGCATTATGAATATAATTCCAAGATAAATATGATGAAATGTGAAATAGTGTTCTTAGGTAACACTATTTTTATTTTTCTAAGTGCCACATATTGTTCTAACACTTTGAACATTAAGTAGTTTAATCCTCACATTCTCATAAGTTATTTTTATCATTTTACAAAAAAAAATAGAAACTGAGGCATAAAGTGGTTAAGCAGCTTTTCAAAAAATGATGCATGGTAGATAGCAAAGCTGAGATTTTAACCTAGACATTACCCATGTCTAGACCCCTATGTTTTGTTGACTCTGTGACTGTCACAATGGCACATTAAAAATGCTAATCATCTGTGGTCTCATAAATGCCATTCTGCCAGTAGGTGACAGTTTGGAAATGACGCAGGACTATGTGGAGTCCTTTTCATCCCTCATCACCACCCCCTGAATTAGGAGAACTGATAGATAGTTCACATGTTTCAGGAAGTCATTTAAAAATATTAAATAGGATGGTCAACTCAGACAGTAGAGAGGCTAGTCAGAAAGTGTAGCTCAAGTCTTCCTGCAGAGCAGTTGGGCTCAGATAGAATCGAGGGACAGAGTTCTTGCTAGAAGAAAACGATTTCTTTCCAGTCCTGAAATAAGTCCTATCTGCAGCTTCCACTTCCTATGGGCATTTATGTCTTCAAGATCACATCTTCCATTATCTCGCCAGCTTCCTATGCAATCATAGGTGAGAGAACCGCTTCCTAGGTCTCCAGCTTCATAGTTTTTTTCTGAGAAGTTGATTTTTTGGGTACATTTAAAAAATCTGTATATGTCCTTTTTTTGGATAAGTACCATGTGAAAATGGGAAAATAAAAATCAAATCACAAATCAGAAGAACTAACTTGTGGTTTTGGTTCTGGGCGTAACTAGCAGAAAGACTTTAAACTTACCATTTCCCTTCGATGGGCCTATGTTTGCTCATCTATAATATGAAGTTTCATCCCATTAATTCAAGCAGAAAACATTTTTAAAGTGTCTTTTGTGTGCCAAACACAATAAAAGGCGCTGGGGAAATGATAGGGGAAGACCCAGTCCTGATCTCCACACAACTTAGAGGGTATTTGTTTTTCTACAGTAGGATACTGCACATAACATAACTGATATCAGTGCAATGATATAGATATATTTTTTGGGTAGGGGGAAGGGCATGTAAGAATTTGGGACAGATAATCCCCAAAGTTCTTTTATTTAGGTATAATTTTCAAAATAGTTAACAAAGAGTAAGGGAATGCATTGCCAAGTCCAAAACTATGCACGAGTATCATGCACCAGCTAACTATTGACCTTGCCTCTAAAGTTATAGCAAACACTGCTTTTTGCCTCATTTCTTCTTTGCTAACGATGTTTAGTTTTGTTCAAGTGGAAATGTGCCAGGTCCCAGGAGATGAACTGTGGTTATTCTCAGTTGAGCCTCTGGATAGCATCTCCTCCATAAGTGATTGATCTAGGGGTAATATTGGCTCAATTCAGACCAGTGAAATGTAAGATAATGTCTGCTGGAGAGCTTCCAGGAAAGATTTTTCTTCCAGATGAAATGAGAGGGTCACAAGAAGAACCCTCTCTCACTTGCTGTTTTGTTCACTTCTTCCTCTCTCCGAGAGCCCTGGTCACTCTCCTATTTCCTACCCTTGGGCACAGTCATATGAAGATTTTATATCCAGTGTTGAAGTAGTCACTTGGCAACCCCAAAGAGAATGGCAAGAAAATCTCAGACATATCCACCAGCTCCGACTTGGAGGTGCTGTACCCATTTAGAATCCAAATGCCTATAGATTTATTATTAAGTAAAAATATATATCACATGGCTTAAACCACTCAGTCAAATTTTCTATTATTTGCTGCTAAATACATTCCTAACTCATGCAGTGGTATAATATTTTCTGGCACTGAACTTCCTATTTATGAGCAAGAGAAACTTGTGTAAAGTGAAGACTCTAATTATATCTTTTAGACATACCTAGCTCAGAGGTTCCTCTAGGCTGGCATATTTGGAAGGTTTAGCTTTTTAAATCAATCAATCCAAGAGAACTGCCTCTTCCCTTTTAGGTCTGCCCCATTTTCCCCAGGACTGCTCCAGTGGCATGGTTCTTTGATGCTCTGTGAAAAGGTCATGTCAACAAAGGCCTCTTTGTTCCCAGGTGGGAATTCCAGGCTCTGCAAGGGACAAATATGGCATACTACATTTAGACATAGGTTCTTTTCCCCTTCAGCCTCTCACATTTCTGTCCTATTCTGACCCTTGTGGAGAAGAGATTGCTTAAAATAATATCTTTTTGTAAGTTATGCTAAGAAATGGTAAATATCCTACAAATAATTGTTTTTATGTTTGCTTTACCTCAGAAAGTAAGAGATCCATAACTTACATGCTAAGCCCAACTCACATCAGATCTAGACCCATTCTCTTCAGGATTTTGGGTTGACAGAGATAGGGGAAGCAATGCAACTGTGCTTGAATTACCTGAAATACAAAGCTCAGGGTTTTAAAATGGTAAATGTAGATTCAGTAGGTCCCAGTGGATAAGGAATCTGAACTACAGTTTAAACATAATAGGGAACTCTTACAGGAACAAAATGTCTCTGAGGTTAGGGAATGCAGGGGATTATGGCAAGTTTAGAGGTTGCACATGGTGTAAAAGTCATGAAACTTAAGTAGCTACTTGCTCTGGAGCGATATTTTTGGAAGATTGGAAACTGCTGAGAAAGCATGTGTTAAATTATTGACCACCTGGCAGAAAAAAGATGGAAGGACTCCCAGCTTTTGATGAGGTTAGAAATATTTTTGCATCATTGAAGAGAGGAGGATGTCATGAGGGGAGATACATTTTGCAAGGCTTGAGCAAGTACTGGTGGGAATCTCATAAACCTCAGCTCTGCCACTCCACTTCATGCATTTTGAGAGGTCAAAAGGATTCACCCTGTTATTTCGATTCATTCAGATGGCAGAGAACAAAAGTTGCCCACAATCAGAGAAACAAACAGCAAGGGGAACCAGGACCAGAAAGAGAAGCAGAAAATATTGTACAGAAGCAAATGTATAAGTTTCTTCAAAAACAAGTAAAGTGTGAACTTCTTGGCTGGGCGAGGTGGCTCATGCTTGTAATCCTAGCACTTTGGGAGGCCAAGACAGGCAGATTGTGTGAGCTCAGGAGTTCGAGACCAGCCTGGGCAACATGGCGAAACCCGTCTGTATTAAAATACAAAAGAAATTAGCCAGGTGTGGCAGCGTGCACCTGTAGTCCCAGCTACTGGGGAGGCTGAAGCAGAATTGCTTGAACCCTGGAGGTGGAGGTTGCAGCCAGCTGAGATCGCACCATTGCACTCCAGCCTGGGCAGCAGAGTGAGACTCCATCTCAAAAAAAAAAAAAAAGAGTGAACTTCTTAGGCAGATTCCTGGAGTCTCCTTTGTCAAGGGAGGCCCCATCTCTACTTCTAGAGAGGGAGAAAGCAGTTGTGAAAGATGGCACTGTGGAAAAATTTGGAGGTATAAGTGTAATTGGACAAATGGCTGGGACCTCACCGTAGAACCAGTCAAGCCTCAAGAAGCTCTTGGTGCTATTTTACATGTCTGCCCAAGCCTACTCCATCAGGGGGATTTCAGTGCCTTCTCCATGAGGTTAGTGGACTCACCTAAAACAGGGAGAGTTATGCCCAGCAGAGCTGGAGAGCAAGTATCAGGTATTTACATACCCCAATTAGCTGTGAATGACATTGAGTCCCACATTCAGCTACCACAGCTAATGGGACCTCAATGATCTGAGCCTAGAAACATGCCTTAGCTGGCTCCCTCCCTTCAAACATTTTCTTTTTTTTTGTTTTTCTGAGATGGAGTCCCGCTCTGTCACCCAGGCTGGAGTGCAGTGGCGCGATCTTGGCCCAGTGCAACCTTCCACCTCCCAGGTTCAAGAGATTCTCCTGCCTCAGCCTCCTGAGTAGCTGGGATTATAGGTGCATGCCACCACGCCCGGCTAATTTTTCAATTTTTAGTAGAGATGGGGTTTCACCATATTGGTCAGGCTGGTCTCAAACTCCTGACCTCGTGATCTGCCCACCTCGGCATCCCAAAGTGCTAGGATTACAGGCATGAGCCACCGGGCTGGCCTTCGTACACTTTCATACAGATATTTCTCCTAATAAAATTCTTGCATGTATAACCTGTCTTGGCATCTGTTTCTCGGAAAACCTGGACTAATGCAAGAGTTTTCTAGATCATGCATTTTCAATGTGGGTGACATCACCATATTGATGAGGTATGGGGATAAAAATTGGTTCTTGGGTGCACAAGAAAACTATGATATTATAATAGTTTGTGTCCTTCTAAAGGGCCATTGTACAAAAACAGATATACTACATCTCTGGTATTAAAATTTTATGGGGTTGGGTGGGAGAGATATATCTAAAAAGACTCCTTGTGGGGACATAATTTTAAAAGGTTGAGAAACTCTTCAAAATGAATAATTCTGCCTGAGAGCAGTGGTTTCAGAGCTTGCATTAAAAATGTCTCCATGAATTCCTCATAGTCAAGCCATATGTGAACATGCCTCTCTGATTGTGAGGTATGGATTAAAGGACCCAGAACAGATGAACTAGGACTGATTAATACACCCTGCCCCAAACTTAGGAGGTTTTAGATACTCAGTAAGAAGCCAGTGGTTCTCAACTTTAGCCCTAAGAAGTAAGAACTTCCCCATATGCTTACTGCTCCATCATGCCTGGACGTATCCCAGGGCAACCCTCTGGAGATCTCTTCCTTGATAGCACAACTTTAAGTCTGTAACAATTATTACCTGGATAGCCAAGAGCACCTTGAAAAACTGTTGGAAGGTATTGCTTGATGGATCTCTTGCAATTCTTTACATTTTGTGATGAGGTATTGACAGTTTATTTCCTAAATACCTTAAAATGACATTTCTATAGCAAACAGCCTTTGAAGATGGAAATAGTGTCTCCCTCCAAGGAAGAGGGAATATCTGTTTCCTGACCAGGATAGTAAAGATAATGGAACCTCCAGATCAGAGGTTGGGCATGTTTGCTAGGAGCCTCCTTATAAGATTCGGGGTTGACTGAACTTGGGACTCTTTAGACTCTTCATGGTCCTTAACAAAAGCATGACCAGGGAGGAATCTTGTCCTTCCTCAGTGAGGAAGTAAACCGAGCAAGAAGATGAAGAGAATGACCGACATCCAAGATTGGGGATTCGATGGTGCTTTTTCTTTGAGAGAGACTGGTGCTCATTTTCCTGCAACATCAGGGGAGAGTAAGTCACTTCCCATTGACCTTAACCTAGATGCCCTAGAATCCAAGCTTGCAAAACCCAGTTGATGCAGTCAGAATGAGAATGTGGTGAAGATGTAGCATAGTCTCTGCTCCACATTCCATGTGACTAGACGCTTAGGGTGCTCTGATGCAGCCATTCCTTCCACTCAGCTCTATCTAACAACTAGTGGAAGAAGAAGCAGAACCCCATTGTTCTGAAGATGGAAAAACTATACAGGGCAACAGAGTGGCAAGGTCACCTACATGCCCTTCACTGCATGACATCGTCATCTGAGTGAAAGTTTCTTTTAGTTTTATTACATATTAGAGCTATTCTAAGAGAAATCAATAAACAAAAGAGAGTCCACTCTATCTTGTAGATGCTTCATGCTAAAGAATGTGTGTCTATTCTTCACATAGAACTAGGAGTTGTGGGAGAATAATGGTTTTATGGTGAAAGGGAGAGTATGAAAAAAAAAAGAGGTGGTAATGGGATGCCTATCCCAATGAACTTCCTAGAAATCCAAAGGGAAAAAAAGGAAATTACAAAGAAACTTATACTGGACTGTAAAAGTGTTCATGATAAGCCAGTATATAATTATTCTATGATACTATATGTAATATATATTATATATAATATTACTATAATTTTTACTAAAATTTATTGAGGACCTACTATATTCCAGCCACTGTTCAAAATGCCCTATTAACTCAATTAACTTTCTCAGCAGCACTCTGAGATAAGACCATTATTATTCCCATTTTATACATGGAAAAATGAAGTCACAAAGACAATAGTAACGTGACAAAAGTTACAGAGTTAATAAGCTCCAATCCAGCCTCCTTATTTCCAAAGCCCGCACTCTTGACTTCTCTAACACTCTACAGCTTCTCTAATATTCTATTTCTCCCTCCCAGATACTCC